>NC_000007.14:96749203-97052233 GCF_000001405.40 Homo sapiens | reverse complement strand
ACAAAGTTCTTGTGCTGTGTTTTTTAGCTCCATCAGGTCATTTATGGTCTTGTCTAAACTGGTTATTCTAGTTAGCAGTTCCTGTAACCATTTATAAAGGTTCTTAGCTTCCTTGCATTGGGCTAGAACATGCTCCTTTAGCGGGGAGGAGTTTGTTATCACCCACCTTCTGAAACCTACTTCTGTCAATTTGTCAAACTCATTCTCCATCCAGTTTTGTTCCCTTGCCGGCGAGTAGTTGTGATCCTTCGGAGGAGAAGAGTTGTTCTGGTTTTTGGAATTTTCAGACTTTTTGTGCTGGTTTTTCCTCATCTTCGTGGATTTATCTACCTTTGGTTTTTGATGACCTTCTGATGGGGTTTTTGCGTGGGCGTCCTTTTTGTTGATGTTGATGCTATTGCTTTCTGTTTGTTAGTTTTCCTTCTAACAGTCAGGCCCCTCTGCTGCAGGTCTGCTGGAGTTTGCTGGAGTTCCACTCCAGACCCTGTTTCCTGGGGTATGACCAGCAGAGGCTGCAGAACAGCAATGATTGCTGCCTGCTCCTTCCTCTGGAAGCTTTATCCCAGAAGGGCATGCACCAGATGCCAGCTGGAGCTTTCCTGTATGAGGTGTCTGTCGACCCCTGCTGGGAGGTGTCTCCCAGTCAGGAGGCATGGGGGGTCAGGGACCCACTTGAGGAGGCAGTCTGTGCTAGGAGATCCACTGCTCTCTTCAGTGCTAGCAGGCAGAAACGTTTAAGTTTGCTGAAGGTGGGCCCACAGCTGCCCCTTCCCCCAGGTGCTCTGTTCCAGGGAGATGGGAGTTTTATCTCTAAGCCCCTGAGTAGGGCTGCTGCCTTTCTTTCAGAGATGCCCTGCCCAGAGAGGAGGAATCTAGAGAGGCAGTCTGTCTACAGCGGCTTTGGAGTGCTGTGGTGGGTTCCACACCCAGTTTGAACCTCCCTGCGGCTTTGTTTCCACTGTGAGGGGAAAACCGCCTACTTAAGCCTCAGTAATGGTGGACACCCTTCTCCCCACCAAGCTCGAGCACCCCAGGTCAACTTCAGACTGCTGTGCTGGCCACAAGAATTTCAAGCCAGTGGATCTTAGCTTGCTGGGCTTCATGGGGGTGGGATCCACTGAGCAAGACCATTTGGCTCCCTGGATTCAGCCCCCTTTACAGGGGAGTGAGCAGTTCTGTCTCGCTGTAGTTCCAGGTACCACTGGGGAACGAAAAAAACTCCTGCTGCTAGCTTGGTGTCTGCTGAAATGACCTCCCAGCTTTGTGCTTGAAATCCAGGGCTCTGGTGGTGTAGGCACCCGAGGGAATCTTCTGGTCTGCAGGTTGTGAAGACCATGGGAAAAGCATAGTATCTGGGCCGGATAGCACCGTCCTTCATGGCACAGTCCCTCATGGCTTCCCTTGGCTAGCGGAGGGAGTTCCCCGATTCCTTGTGCTTCCCAGGTGAGGCGATGGCCCACCCTGCCTCTGCTCGCCTTCCATGTGCTGCACCCACTGTCTAACCAGTCCCAGTGAGATGAATCGGGTACCTCAGTTGGAAGTGCAGAAATCACCTGCCTTCTGCGTTTGTCTCTTTGGGAGCTATAGACCCTTGCTGTTCCTATTCGGCCATCTTGCCTCCCTGCAATGTGGATAACTTTTTAAGAACTTTAGATACTGATGAGAAAAGAAAAGAATTTTCCTGTATTTCCTGAAATATAAATCAGATATTTATGAATCTCAAATTAAGCTCATAATCTTCAGTTATCTTCATCAATTCTTCTATAACAACAAGCCTTAAAAAAGCTTAAGCAATCTGAAAAACCTGATACATATTTAAGATGTTTACCCACTGGTATTTTGAAGTCTATATTTTTAAGTTACAATGCTTATCCACAGAGACATTTACATATTTTCCATTAAGAATCATGTTAGTAATACTTTAGGGAGTTTGTTAAGTCATTTATAGGATACTTCAGAGCAATCAAAAATAAACTGCTAGTATTACTTTATTCTATCAGAAGCCATACAAATTTTTCCTAATTTATGTGATGCAATGATATTGGTAATATAGATAGTTATTTCTACTTGAAGTGAAAATATGGCAACAGTAGAAAATCAGATATTTGGTGGAAATTCCAACTTTAAGCTTTATAAAACAGAACTTTTTGATTACTAGTAACTGGGAAAAGAAAAAAAACGTTTGTGTTTAGTTTTATGAAAATGTATTTTCAAATTAACAATTATTGAAGTTTGATGGAATGTTTTAATCTGACCTAAAATTTAAACGTTCAGATGGGAAGCCCAGATTAGAGAGGGAAAAACGCAATGAAAATTCCGGGAAAAGTGTCCCGAGAGATATGTGTGCTACATGACGACTTGTCTGGCATTCACTTTAGAAATGCTCTCTCTCCGGATGCTCCCACACTCCAACATGGGACCTATGCCAGTTGCACACCATGTCCAAGCAAAGAGAAGTATCTTGTCTTTCCCAAATCCAAACCCTGCAGTCAATAAGATGGGAAAAGGAGCTTGTGGCTACACAGGGCATAACTGTTTCACAGTATTTAAAGTATGTTTTAAATATATTTTAAAATATGTTTTAAACATATGAATTCCCATATTTGTATGTTTGTTTAGTCAGGTGTTACTGTTTGAAGGTGTGCAGGTGGTTCCCTCCATAAAGTTACCCAGACAAGGGAGCTCAAGTGCAGGCTGACTGTGCACACTGCTAGGGCTGTGGGACCTGAAGGAAGGGGCACCTTTTTCTATTTCAAACAAAGCACCATATGCCCTAGTGGCAGTCTTCCATCCTATATACTGTGCTCTGTCCTTTTCAAGTGGTGCTATGCACCTAAAGAGAAGCGGCAACGTTGTATATTTCCTGTGTCGATTACAGATGCTTATTCCCCTCCCCCAAAATAAGCAAATAAGTTAATAACCCAACAACTGTGAGATGTAGAGAAAGTAGTACATTTTAGAGAGGGTATTTTCAGTTTCTGTCCTCACCTGTGAATGCAGAAAACTACCACCAAAAGCAATAATCACGGAGAAAAAAAAAAGAAAAGAAAAGAAACAAAGAAAAAGCAGGGTTTTTAGGTACTCAGGGAGGTGGAACAGAAAGACCTCTATGGTGCTGTGCTTTGAGGAGCCTGAAATGCCTGGAGAACCACCCAAACATCTTCCCCACTGCCTTGCTGAAGGTCATGAAGGGTTAAGACATGCATTCTCAATGGGGATAATATTCCCTTCAGGTGTGCGGGGGATTGGTTCTTGGGGGAAAAATTCTTGCTCTTTTTGTGTATGGCTGTATAGAAATTCTGTACAGACAGACTGCCTATCTGTAGTAGTAAAATTTCATAGGGGAGATGATTAGCAAAAAAAAAAAGTCTGTAAAGTTTCCTGGGTCAGGGGGATACAATGAAGAAAATCAGGTTGAGAAACACTTGATTAGGCATTTTCCTCAGAAAAGCCCTGTCAAGGCTATGTTGGCCAGAACAACATAGAATTAAATGATGGATCAACAATTACTGAGCAAACAATATGTGCAGAGTTCTATATTAGCTACTATAAGAGAACCCAAGAGACAAAAAATTCCGTCTCTTATTTTTTAAGGTATGTATTGATTAGTTGGATTGAGAGAATCTAGCACCCAATAAATAGATGTTGATATGGGTATCAATGTGCAAATACATAAAGAACTATTCGGTGAATAAGACCTACTATTTAATAGCACATCAGGGTGACTATAGTCAATAATAACTTCTTTTTTTTTTTTGAGACAGAGTCTTGCTTTGTCACTCAGGCTGGAGTGCAGTGGTGCGATCTCGGCTCACTGCAACCTCTGCTTCCCAGGTTCAAGCAATTCTCCTGCCTCAGCCTCCTGAGTAGCTTAGACTACAGGTGTGGACCACCACACCTGGGTAATTTTTGTATTTTTAGTAGAAACAGGGTTTCACCGTATTGGCCAGACTGGTCTCAAATTCCTGACCTCAAGTGATCCACCTGCCTCGGCCTCCCAAAGTGCTGAGATTATAGGCGTGAGCCATCATCCCTGGCCAATAATATCTTAATTATATATTTTAAAATAAGGAATGTCACTGGACTATTTGTAACTCAAGAGATAAATGCTTGAGGGGATGGATGCCCCATTCTCCATGATGTGCTTATTTCACATTGCATGCCTGTATCAAAACACCTCATATATCCAATAAATATATACACTATTATGTAACCACAAAAATTTTAAAAGAAATTTAAAAATATATTTAAAAACTATTAAAAACATTTTAAATAATATTAAACTATTTATGAAAAGGGATAAATAATGGCACAAACAATAAGATCAAGGATAGCTCAAAGGACAGAAAGATTAGGGTGGTGATCAGAGAGGTTTTCATATAGCAAATGGGATTTGAACTAGACCTTAAAAGATAGAAGGACTTAAGAGATGGAAAAGCCTGAAATAAGACAGAGGACTCGCATCAAAACACAGAGTAAGACTCTCAAGCTCAGAAGGAAAGTAAAGTCTCAAGGATTCTAGGAGTGAGGTTAGAGACACATGCCAAGTTTTGGAGAGTTCGAAGATTGTGCTGAAAACCTCTTTGTCCCACCTTCATTAAAATTTTTTATTATAGCAATTCTAATGCATATAAAGTGGAACCCCATTGTGGTTCTTTTTATTTTACATTTTTATTTAGTAAAATATATGTAACATAAAATTTGCCATTTTAACTATTAAGTGTAAAGTTCAGCGGCTTTAAGTACATTCACATTATTGTGCAGCCATCACTACTATGCAGCTGTCGAACTTTTCCATCATCCCATACTGAACTTTATACACATTAAAAAACTCCCTACTCCTCCCTTCCCCCAACTCCTAGGAATCACTGTTCTACCTTCTGTCTTGGTGTATTTGACTATTCCAGGTACCTGTCTTAGTCCATTTTCTGTTGCTTATAACAGAATACCTGAAGCTGGGTAATTTTTAAAGAAAAGGGGCCGGGCGTGGTGGCCCACGCCTGTAATCCCAGCACTTTGGGAGGCCGAGGCGGGTGGATCACGAGGTCAGGAGATGGAGACCATCCTGGCTAACATGGTGAAACCCCGTCTCTACTAAAAATACAAAAAAAATTAGCCGGGCGTGGTGGCGGGCACCTGTAGTCCCAGCTACTCAGGAGGCTGTGGCAGGAGAATTGCGTGAACCTGGGAGGCGGAGCTTGCAGTGAGCGGAGATGGCGCCACCGCACTCCAGCCTGTGCGACAGAGTGAGACTCTGTCTCAGAAAAAAAAAAAAAAAAAAAAAAAAAAAGGAATTTATTTCTACAGTTATGGAGGCTGAGAAATCCAAGGTTGAGGGACTACATCTAGTAAGGGCCTTCTTACTGGTGGGGACTCTCTGCTAAGTCCTGAGGTGGAGTAGTACATTACATGGTAAGTGGATTGAGTGTGCCAGCTCAGGTCTCTCTTCCTCTTCTTATAAAGCCACCAGTCTCACTGCCATTATAACTCATTAATTCCTTAATCCATGAATGGACTAATCTCTTTATGAGGGCAGAGTCCTCATGATCCAATCACCTCTTAAAAGACTCCACCTCTCAATACCACCTATTGGGGATTAAATTTCAACATGAGTTTTGGAGGGGACAAACATTCAAACCATAGCAGTACTTCATATAAGTGAAATCATACAATATGTGGTCTTTTGTGTCTGGCTTGTTTCACTTAGCACAATGTTTTCGAGGTTCATCCATGTTGCAGCATTATAGGAATTTCATTCCTGTTAAGGTTAAATATATTCCACTGTATATCCAGTCCTTTCTTCTTGTTCTTTCTTGATCATTGGAGCTAAGAGATTAAAAATACAAGCATCCTTTTGAAGACCTTAGAGCACTATAACCATGAGAAGGCTGGATGACCCAAGGTTGAGAGATAGCCACTGAAAAGACCCTCCAAATAAGCGTAGATAAAAATCCCCTCCAGGACAGGATGGGTAGAGAGTGGTACAGAAAGCATGCCAGACCAGCAATCTGCATCCTGGGCCTCAGTTGGGAAGGTGTTCCCAGGAGAGCTTCAGGGTGGCAGCTACTGCAGTGACTGAGGAAGATCAAATACTGGGGGTTATAGCAAAAGGAAGGAACTGTATTCCAGGAAATAAAATCAGTGAGTGACTTGGTGTCAAGTACTATTGTTATTTTGACCCTCAGGGCTTAAGGGAAAAGAAAGAAGCATGCAGAAGGCTTGGTCTACCTCAGGGCTGCAAGGTGGTTTGGAGAGGAAAAAGCCTGAAAGGTAAGAAGATAAAGTGGTTATTGTGACATATGACAGAAAGAGAAGAGGCAATAGGATATATTATTACTTCTGTAGGTTTATCAGTTAGCTCTTGGTGCATAACAAACCACCCCAAAATGTAGTGGCTTAAATGAAAATTTAGTGGCTTAATGAATCTGTGAGTTGGCTGGAAGATTCTGTTCATCTGGGACAGGCTTGGCTGATCTAAGCTGGGCTCACCCATGAGCCATCTGTTAGGTCAGCTGGAGGCTGGCTGGTCTAGGATGACCTCATTTGAGATGGCCTGAGTCCTCCTCATAAGGTCTCTCTTCTGCAGCATGCTGGCCAGAGCTGGCTCTCATGCTGACAGTAGAAGTCCAGGAAAGCAATGAAAGACCTCCTGAGGCATGGGCTTCAAACCAGTGCATCATGATTTCTGCTGTGTTCTTTTGGCCAAAGAAAGTCACAAGTCCTGTCTGGATTCAAAAAGTAGACTCAACTTTTTCATGGGAGGAGCTGCAACTTTATGATACAAAGTCGATACAGAGAGCAATGGAGAATTTGGGCCATTTTTTGCAAGCTCTCTTACCACCAAAGGAGAAATGTAAGAGGGCTTCAAATGTACAAATTATGCATATAAGGAAAAAAATCCTGTTTCTTTATTTTCATAACCAATCATCTTCCTCATGAGACCCCATTACCCTAAGTATGAATCTGGGGTCAAGAAAGCTTAAACATTTAAGTGTCTTAGTCTTTCTGTTATAAAATCACTTAGCAATAACTCTATCTCTTTTGAAAACTGCTTCCTTCAGATTCTCTCTCTCTTCCACTGCTCCTCTCCATGGTGGCCTCTCATTGTCAGAGAGGTTCAGGTTCATGTGATATCATGGCAATGATGGAGTTGGAGCTGTGAATAGTCATCTAAGTCCTAGCTGCTCTCTGCTGAGGTGTGGCTGGGCAGGTCCCTGATCCTTTTGCACTCAGGTCTGCTGAGGGATGCCTGAGGAACTTGCAGGTTATTCTCTTTACTGATTCACACGCAGTGGTCTTCTCTTGCTGACTCTGTTCCATCATGACTATAGCCATTGCTGTAATCCTCTATTAAGTGTCTGTTATTTTTTTCCTGCCCTTGAAAAAAATGAGTTCTGTGAGTAGTTTCACGTGAGTATTGTCACCTAACCCTTCCCTACAACAGTCCCTAAACAAGACTACCAGCTCCCCAATCAGCTATTCTTCACATTGTCCCATGAAGCATGCAGAAATTTCTGAGTGCCTGCACATCACATGGGAACTGAGGAAGAGTAACAATAGCCCTCTCCTTAACCATTCTTACCAACATCTCTACCTTTCTGGACCCTCCAGGTTCGAAAGAGGCTACTTTGCATGGCCTCCGCATTCCAATTAGAATCACAGCAAAAGCCTCTTTCTTCTCAACCCAGCCCACATCCCTATATCTGCAAATTTCAGCCCAGAGTTGGAAGCTATGACCTATGCCTCTCCTACTTTGCTTCTTCCTCTACATCACTTTCCTTCTTTTCTCTACTTTTCCCATGTGGAAGGTGGGGGGCACAAAAGCCAGGCTTTCTCTCATTTTTAAGTGGCAGAAGTTTTCCCTACATCATATCCGGCTCCTTTAGTGTCTCCTGTTGATCAAAATTTCACAGTTAAGTTCCACCCCACCCCACTGAAGAGTCAGAAAGGTTAAATTTGCCTGGTGACATTATTTCATTCTCTTCAGCTTTAAATAGTTCCCCCTTTTAAGTAATTCGGTCTATTTCAGGTTTATGGCTCAAACTCTGAGATTCTCCCCCTTCATCCTGCTGCACCCCAGGATAACATCTGCGAATACGAGGCAAGGCTGGGGAGGATTTATGTGATCCAAAGGCAATAAAGGAGATGGGGTCTCAGATTCACATACTAGTCTAAGCCGCAAAGGTGGCTGGGCAAGTCCTGTGACCTTTGTTAACTGAAAGATGTCTGCTAAGCCTGCAACTTTGTCATTGAAATAAATCACAGATTTTTTTTCACACTTCAGGTATCAAGGCTATCTCTTTATATCATCAGCATGTTGGAAACATGGTAGTTATTATACTTGCCACTAGATCTTGTAATTTAATGCATTAATAAAGAAGAACACACATTACCGTATCACAGATTTGCATTTTAAGATACTTTGTTAACTGTGTTTCAAAATAATCTGTTTTAATTGTAATCTTTTGGCTTTTATTTCATACATTTAAAAACACTGTTCTAAAAAGAGTTCATAGGCTCCACCGGACTGCTGCAAGGATCCATAATGATTCAAAAAGGTGAAGAGCCCTTGCCGGAGGACCTGAGGGTTTTCCATTGGCTTGGAAAGATTCAGGAGGATCACACAGAGGGTTTTAATGACCCAGATGAAAGTAATGAGTCCATCAGTTTTGCCACATTCTATTGGCTGGAACTTAGTCATGTGGCTGCCAACTGACTGCAAGAGAATCTAAGAAATGTAGTCTGGGTGTCTTTCAGGAAAAAGCAAGTTTGGTGAGCTTCTAGCCAGCTCTGACTCAAGGGCAAAACACTCTGTTTGTAGTTTCCCCCTTGTTCCTAATTTCACTCCAGAACGTTAGTGCAAAGGAGAATCTGACCACTTGCCTTCCTGCTACTGATTTGCTCCTTCTCTTCCTCATACTCCCAGAATGAATTGCATCTTCCTTTGACCTTTGTCTCAACTTGAAGTCTGCCACGTCTTATCTCTCTTCTACTCTAGGGCAGATTTCCACAGCCTCCCCATCAGAGGCAGAAGGTAAATCTTTCTTGTTCTATGGCGAAAACTCTATGACAGAAGTTGACCCTACTTGGCTCTGGATATGAGAGCTGTGGGACAACTAGTAATTAGGTATTACCAAAGATAAATATATAAGTTTAATACCCCCCTCCCCCAAATAGCATCCCTGTTACAAAAATAAGACGAAGGGGCAGTTAAGACTCATTGAAAAGTTTTCTACCTTTGTGACTAGGAGAATTTTTGAGCTTCTTAAAGAAAGAAGAAAGTCTGAAGCATAATGATAAGTTCCATCCTAACTGAGTTGGAGGTGATTATGGAGTAAATTTAAATGTCCACCTGAAGGTGTATAAGTGGAATTCAGGAGAGAGGTCTGAAAAAGAGAAGTAGAATCTGAGATATGTGTATAAATAGATTCATATGCAGGCAATCTTAGCACTAAATGAGTTATTCAGGATAGGACACTGACAGGCTCCATGTGACAGATTCCAAATTCTGCCTTGGGGTAGAAGAAAGATATTACACAAAAAAGAAGCAATCAGAAGAGTAAGAGAAGAGCAACCAGACAGTAACTTGAGTAACAAAGATGACAAAGGGGTCATGCTGTTGTCATCTTTGTATTCATCACACTTATGTAAGTACTTATCATTATAGTAGATGCTCAATCGTGTGTTAAGAAGGATAAAAGGAAAGAAGGAAGGAAGGCAATAAATAAAGAGGGAAACTGGATCAAGATGTGATTATGCTATGGAAGCCAGGTGTGGTAGGCAGAATACGGCCTCCCAAAGGTGTCAATGTCCTAGTTCTGTAAATAAAGTTAGCAAATATGGCAAAAGGGACTGTGCAGATGTGAATAAGTAAGGTTACAACCTGGAGGTGAGATGATTATCCTGAATTATTTGAGTTGGATTAATCTCATCATATGAGCCCTTAAAAGGAGAAGAGTAGCTCAGAGAACTGTGATGTGAGAAGGTCTCCATTCACCATTGCAGACTTTAAAGGTGGAGGAAGCGAACCATGAGCTAGGGAACATAGCAGCTTGTAGAACCTGGGATCAGCATTCAGCTGACAGACAGCAAGAAAACCAGGACCTCAGCTCTACAACTACAAGGAATCAAATTTTTCAACAACCCCACAAGCAGGAAATAATTCCCCCTTAAAGCCTCCAGAAGGAGCACAGCCTGCCAGCACCTTGATTTTGGGCTGGTGAGGCCCACACCAGACTTGTGACCTACAGAACTGTAAGATAATAAATTGTGTTATTTTATGGCACTAAGTTGGTGGCAATTTTTTATCAGGAGAAGTCAGTAAGATATAGATTATGGCAAGGCAAAGGTACACAAAACTCTTGTTACTTCATCAGTTTTAGGTTAGTAGCTCATAAAGGTGATGAGTGCCCTGATGAATAGAAAATATGTAAATGAAAAAGCTCTAGGTATAAGACAGTTCTCCAGGGATAAAGAGCCTGTGGGAAACCTTAAATATTCATAAAAGTCTTAGGAACCTACAGGAAGGAAAAAAGACATACTTAAAGACAGAAGTCAATTTAGATAAATTTCACCTATTTTGCAATTTTTCTCAAGGTTGAACATGGTAATAAACAGTATTCTACAACCTGTACTCTTATGCTAGGTATTTTTTTGTTTTGTTTTGTTGCCATTTGTGATTATTTCCTGGTAGAAACGAAGATAATGAAAAGGAGAAAAACTCAGTTACTAAATTTGTATTTTATAGACTGTGATGAATTATCAATAATAAAGAAGCACAAAAGATGAGAGAAGTAGATTCATTAGTAATTCCATCTTGAAGTGTAATATGCTGTTATCAGATAACAAAATATATCTGTGTAAACTCAGAAAGTTACTTAATTTCTCTGGCCCTCAGTTTATTCATTTTTAAACTCAGATATAAAAGCTTTCCTGCCTACAGACAAAGAGCTGTACCAAGGTATTTCTTGAAGCCATTTCCAGATCTAAAATCTATGATTCAGGACTATTTACTTCCCGCCCCCTGCAACACACAAATCCACCAGTATCCTTATTTCAGACCATCATGCTTTGAGGTTAGGGAACGATCAAGTCAGAATTGCTATCTAATATATTTAATCAAAAGCTGTCTAGATGCCTGAATAATAGACTTCAGGGCTTGCAAACAGGGCTTATCTGAAGCATCATCTCCCATCAGTTGATTAAGGCTGACTTGAGTATTGTGGTAAGAAGGATTCTGAGGCCAATTCCAGGCTGAGTAAATCTTGTGCTTTAATCTTGAAATTCAAGTGGGATGACCACTAGAGGTGTAGGAAGGCAGGGTATGGCTAAGTAAACTGCATATTGACCATCTCTGCAATGTGGGTTAAGGGTGATTAGGAAGCATAAAGATCTACCATTGACATTGCTTGCTGTTTCCTGGAGGATACAATATTTGAACTGATCCTTGAAATGGATATACAAGATTTTGGTAACAGAGGGGAAGGAAGAAGTCTCTCTTAATGTTCATCCACCTCACTTCTAGTTGCCTTCATGTACACCAAGACTTCTTTGCAACTAGGATTTTGCAGTGCAGAGTAAATGGCTTTGTATCCCATGTAGAAAACAGAAGTGAGAGGCCATTTTCACACACCTTTTTGCTTTTATTGATAGTGACAGGGTATGGAAATATAAATTTTTGTGTTTTCTCCCCAATCACATTCCAGTGTTTTTTTGTTTTTCGTTTTCCCCCAGCTCCTTTCGTTGGGAGGCAATTATAGCAGCAGTAATGGCAGCAGCTTCTGATCCTGGGGTTATTGCTACAGCAGTGGGTTCTGAATTCAGTCTTTCTGGTAGCACCCTTCCTGGTGCTCCAGGAGTTGTCATTAGAGGCCCAGCTTAGACCCTTCCTCCAACCCTTCTGACACTTTGTAAGCACCCAGTCCCTGGCATTCAATTCCTTGCTGCCTAAAACATTTAGAATGACTTCTGTTTTCGACACTGAACGCAGAGATAGGTAAGAGAATGAACAGTCAACGAGGTAGACCTGGAAAAGTGTTCGATATGATCAGGCAACAGGGAGAAAATCAACTTGGCTGAAGAAATGAGATGGATTTGGAAGCTAAAAAAGATGGAGATATACTAGATTGTTAGGGTTGGAGCAGATTCTGGAAGACTTTTGTGCCACGATGTGAAGTTTAGACTTGACCTATAGGGAATAGCGATCATTGTGATAGGTGACTGGAGTGGAGCTTGGAGAGCCTGAAGGTGCAAAGACCAGTTGGAGGCTATTGCAATATGGGGGATGAGATGAACTGAGTGGTAGTCAGGCTGGGAGTGAAGAGAAAAGAGTAAATTCCAAGGTCTAAGGAAAGACTGAAAATTGTGCTTAAAATATAAATGATGCAATATTCCTGACCTCAAAAGCCCATTTCTTAAACACACTAGTTTGCCACAAAATATATATGGCTGTAAATAGGCCAATCAAGATAGACATATGCGTAATTCCAGGTGTTATGATTTGATTCAATTACAGTGAAAATTTGTATTCCTCTCATTTGGTTTCTTCCTTTTGCAGGTGGGTGGGGGAAAATTCGATAAAACAATATTAGTTAAAGTCAGATAAGCTGATTCTGATCCATCTACCAGCTCCATCCACTGATACTGCTGTTTTACTGCTGAGTCATGGCAGAAAACATTCAAGGAAAATCATGATCCCTGTGACTTCTCCAGGCAGTGTAAACGTAGCAGAAGAAGGGCCAAGAGTGAAGAAATGTCCCCTAAGAACTACCACTTTCAAGCCGCCAAAGTTTCTGCTCTAGTTCCCAGACCAGTCAAGGTCTCCTGAATTATAGGAACTGCTCCACTTTATTGAGTGTCTACTGTGCCCAAGCATTAAGCTGAGAGTTTTATATCTGTTATCTCATTTTACCCTCATGATAATCTTTATGATACATATTCACTTCATACAAATGAGAAGAAATGAGAAAACAAAGTGAAGCTCAAAAAGTTTGCAAAATTTTAACTAATTCATACAATTAATTTATTTAGTCACCTTAAAATTGGAACTCAGGATGAATTATATGATTTAGAAAAAGGAGTCAGTTCATCCTCTCCTCAAAGACAACACTGAGTCTCTCAAGTCTAGGATGTCATTGGTAAGGCATTATCAATATTTTAGAAAAATATACGAAGAAAGTATAGAGGCTTTTCAATAATCAAGATTTCTATAGTTCTAAAGTTGTTTCTGTATCAACCTTTGATCACAACATTTCCTGATTAATGATTAACTTTTAAAAGTTATGTGATTTTTCTCAGACCAAATCAATTCCATTTAAGGTGGACACTTTAAATAATTCCAGATTACTTGTCTCCCAAAACTCTCACAAAACCTAGAAGAATTGATTCTCAATAATTGCCATGATAGTCCTGAAATGGAAACTAGAAAAAGTGGTATTCTTGTGGAATTTTCTCACTTGTCTGCCCTTTCAAGACAGTGATTAGTTACTATAAATCTTCACACCCAACTTTCTTAGGCTTAAAAACATCAAGGAAGTTAAGAAAAGTTCAGCCACTGCCTAGTTCTGTAATATTGTCTAAGTCACTCCCTTTCATTATCCAACTTGGTAAAAAAAAAAAAAAAAAAAAAAAAAAAAAAGGAAGTTTCACTGGATCCCAGGAGTGTTGGGCAGACCAATTAATAGCTATAATATGCTTTCAATTACAGAATGCTATATCTGTATGTGCTAACGTTTTTTCAGTAATCATGTTAATACCCTATTCATTTCACTGGTAATTGTATAGCACCATCATAATGTAATGATGTGCACCATGCAAAAGTCAGGTGAGATGATCTAATGATGTCAAGATGAAATGCTGTCAGTGTAAATCTAAAAAGATAGTATAACACTGTCAAAAATGAAAGGAAATTATGGTATTGTAAGTTCTACTACCATTAAAAGATGTAAGAAGGAAAGGGTTCCACAATCTGGGGCAATGTCTGTTATGACAGATCTGCTCAAGCAACTTAAAAGACAAACTGGCATTCCTCATCTAATTTTCTTTATCCAAAGAGTCTTTATTAAAATTTTCTGTTAATTTCCTACATGAATGTCTTCAAGCCCAGAATAGGACTATGATTCTCAAAAGCAATTTGTGTTTGAAATATTCACTGTTCTTTGGGTCTATGGTCCAACGTTAATTGTACCAGATAGTCATTTCTCTTGCAAGGGCAGGAGTACGTTTAAAAAGTTTTGTGAAAAATAATAGTCCTCAAAGTTTCACTCTTTGAGGAAACCTAGGCAGTAAGGGAAATCTTTGTTATACATGGCACACCTCATGTAAGAAAAGAAATACAGTGCGTTAATGCATGGTCACTGTAGGCAGAAGCATTTATCTTCTCTATATACAAGATTTCGAAAAACCTTAGGAAGTTCTGAGATGAAAAGGAAACAGATCAGGCACAGTGGCTCACACCTGTAATCCAACATTTTGGGAGGCCGAGGCAGGTGGACCCTTTGAGCCCCAGGAATTCCAGACCAGCCTGGGCAACATGGCAGAACTCTGTCTCAAAAAAAAGAAAAGAAAAGAAAAGAAAAAAATCTTTTAGTATACTTATACTTTTGTGCATTTGGAAGCCTCAGGTTTCAATTCTCTAAAGTTTTCTATTATGTGAGGCATTCAGATTAAGTGTTTTAAAAAATATAGAGGCACAATTTCTGCCAAAACTATTAAAAAGATAATAATCAAAATGAAGTAAAGGATATAGAGTGAACAATTAGGAAAATGTTAGATAAGGAAGTGAACTTTGTTGTACTCAGAGAGTCTACCATTCCCTGGGGAACTTTTGTGTGAGTGGGAAATAGATGCTCCTTTCTCAGTGCAGATGCAGTCCCTCACTTGGGTATTTGGCTGGGCAAGTATAGTGTGGGCTGGATTCCACCTCCCACTCCCCTTCACCATTGCACACTCATGTATTGCACAACCTGCATATGTACAGGTGGTGGTCCGGACCATCCCTAACCTACTGAGGATAGGCTATGTAAGTCAACCCCAAGGCAACTAAAAAAAACCTAAGCTTTGCTAACCAGGCAAGTTTCCATGATGCCAGGCTACTGGACAGGACTTTCCAAGATGGCCTCCCGAAGGACTTTGGAGTGTATGAGAAATATGCCACAAAATCAAGGTTTAGCCAGGACTATTCCAATTTACTCCTATTGTCCCAGTAATTATCAACCCCTTTTCACTTTCAAAAATGTCCCAGTTTGGGCCAGGTGCGGTGGCTCATGCCTGTAATCCCAGCACTTGGGGGGCCGAGGCGGTCGGATCACCTGCGGTCGGGAGTTTGAGATCAGCCTGACCAACATGGAGAAACCCCGTCTCTACTAAAACTACAAAATTAGCCAGGTGTGGTGGCGCATGCGTGTAATCCCAGCTACTCGGGAGGCTGAGGCAGAAGAATCACTTGAACTGAGGAGGCAGAAGTTGCAGGGAGCCGAGATCCTGCCATTGTACTCCAGCCTGGGCAACAAGAGCAAAACCCCGTCTCCAAAAAAACAAAAAAGTCTCAGTTTGGATAAGTTATATGGTCATTCTATACGTAACTTTGTTAAAGAAACAGTGTGAACATTTTGCCAGAATAGTCTGTAGATAGATGTGTGAGACACGTATGTGAAAAACAAGAGAAAATAAAGAATGGGGGCAAACGGTGGGACAAGATCTGCTGCTTAGTTTTATGTGTGTTTGTCATCAGTTGTTTCCAGGGACCAATTGCTCATCGACATTTAACATCAGTTATAAAACAGCTATTAAGAGAAACTTTTCCCTGAATTTTCCTTGTTCCAACACTAAAAAACGCCCTACCTCAGATTTACAGTATATTTCCATTCAATTTCCTCAGATGTGGATACTAATACCCAACAATTGGATTCTAAAGAAAAGTGAAACTGATTAAAGGGAAACGAAACTGTTGATATAAACAAACTATCATTGCCGGGCATGGTGGCTCAAGCCTGTAATCCCAGCACTTTGGGAGGCCAAGGCAAGCGGATCACGAGGTCAGGAGATACAGACCATCCTGACTAACACGGTGAAACCCTGTCTCTACTAAACATACAAAAACAAAATTAGCTGGGCGTAGTGGCTGGCACCTGTAGTCCCAGCTACTCCGGAGGCTGAGGTGGGAGAATGACATGAACCCGGTAGGCAGAGGTTGCAGTCAACTGAGATCGTGCCACTGCACTGCAGCCTGGGTGACAGAGTGAGACTCCACCTCAAAAACAAAAAAAAAACAAAAAAAAAAACGCAAACACACACACACACACACACACACACACACACACACGCAGTGTCCAGAATTGGGTTATTGGTCTCACTGACTTCAAGAATGAAGCCGCTGACCCCCATGGTGAGTGTTACAGTTCTTAAAGGCAGCGTGTCCGGAGTTTGTTCCTTCTGACGTTCACATGTGTTTGGAGTTTTTTCCTTCTGGTGGGTTCGTGGTCTCGCCGGCTCAGGAATGAAGCTGCAGACCTTCGTGGTCAGTGTTAAAGCTCAGAAAGGCAGTGTGGACCCAAAGAGTGAGCAGCAGCAAGATTTATTGCAAAGGGTGAAGAACATAGCTTCCCAATGTGGAAAGAGACCCCAGCCGGCTGTCACTGTTGGCTCAGGCAGCCTGCTTTTATTCTCTTATCTGGCCCCACCCACATCCTGCTGATTGGTCCACTTTACAGAGAGCCAATTGGTCTGTTTTACAGAGAGTTGATTCGTCTATTTTGACAGGGTGCTGATTGGTGCGTTTACAATCCCTGAGCTAGACACAAAAGTTCTCCACCCCCACTAGATTAGCTAGATACAGTGTGTCAATTGGTGTATTTACAAAGCCTGAGCTAGACACAGAGTGCTGACTGGTGCCTTTACAAACCTTGAGCTAGATACAGAGTGCTGATTGGTGCATTCACAATCCCTTAGCTAGACATAAAGATTCTCCAGGTCCCCACCAGATTAGCTAGACACAGAGCGCTGATTGGTGCATTTACAAACCTTGAGCTAGACACAGAGTGCTGATTGGTGCATTCACAATCCCTTAGCTAGACATAAAGATTCTCCAAGTCCCCACCAGATTAGCTAGATACAGAGTGCTGATTGGTGCATCCACAAACCCCGAGCTAGACACAGGGTGCTGATTGGTGTGTTTACAAACCATGAGCTAGATACAGAGTGCTGATTGATGTATTCACAATCCCTTAGCTAGACATAAAGATTCTCCAAGTCCCCACCAGATTAGCTAGATACAGAGTGCTGATTGGTGCATCCACAAACCCTGAGCTAGACACAGGGTGCTGATTGGTGTGTTCACAAAACTTGAGACAGACACAGAGTGCCAATTGGTGCACTCACAATCCCTTAGCTAGACACAAAGGTTCTCCAAGTCCCCACTAGACTCAGGAGCCCAGCTGGCCTCACCCAGTGGATCTCTCACTGGGGCCGCAGATGGAGCTGCCCACCAGTCCTGTGTGGTGTGCCCGCACTCCTCAGCCCTTGGGCAGTCTATGGGACCTGGCTCCGTGGAGCAGGGGGCTGCGCTCATTGGGGAGGCTCAGGCCATGCAGGACCCCAGGGTC
The DNA here is from genome assembly GCF_000001405.40 of Homo sapiens. Classification (NCBI taxonomy): domain Eukaryota; kingdom Metazoa; phylum Chordata; class Mammalia; order Primates; family Hominidae; genus Homo; species Homo sapiens. Next base: position 97,034,633 of record NC_000007.14, on the reverse strand, counting down.
CCGGGGCGGGGGGGGAGAATCAGGCATGGCGGGCTGCAGGTCCCGAGCCCTGCCCTGTGGGGAGGCAGCTAAGGCCCGGTGAGAAATCCAGCGCAGTGCTGGTGGGCCAGCACTGCTGGAGGACCAAGCGCACCCTCCACAGCTGCTGGCCTGGGTGCTAAGCCCCGCACTGCCGTGGGCCAGCAGGACCCCCCAACCGCTCCGAGTGCGGGACCGCCGAGCCCAGGCCCACCTGGAACTCTAGCTGGCCTGCAAGCCCCGCGCACAGCCCCGGTTCCCACCCGTGCCTCTCCCTCCACACCTCCCCACAAGCCGAGGGAGCCGGCTCCAGCCTCGGCCAGCCCAGAGAAGGGCTCCCACGGTGCAGCAGCGGGCTGAAGGGCTCCTCAAGCGCGGCCAGAATGGGCACCAAGGCCGAGGAGGCACCGAGAGCAAGCGATGGCTGCAAGGGCTGCCAGCACGCTGTCACCTCTCAAAACAAAACCAAACAACTACAACTAAAACAGCCACAGCTTATTGTATGTGTCTTTAGGTCTAAGAACACACAAAAAAAGGAGAGTAGCAACAGAAACGTTATTCTGGTATTTAAAGCCTCAATTCTATGCTTTTGTTTTCCACAGGGTATAGGATTTCTGGTTTTTAGAGAACTCCTATGCAATAAACTTATTAGCCACAGGATAATAGTTAAATTTCTTTTTTTTTTCTTTTCTTTCTTTCTTTTTTTTTTTAGAGACGGAGTCTTGCTCTGTCGCCCAGGCTGGAGTGCAGTGGTGCGATCTTGGCTAACTGCAACCTCTGCCTCCCGGGTTTACGCCAGTCTCCTGACTCAGCCTCCCAAGTAGCTGGGACTACAGGCGCCCACCACCATGCCCGGCTAATTTTTTTATTTTTATTTTTATTTTTGTATTTTTAGTAGAGACGGGGTTTCACCGTGTTAGCTAGGATGGTCTCGATCTCCTGACTTTGTGATTTTCCCGCCTCAGCCTCCCAAAGTGTTGGGATTACAGGCATGAGCCACCGTGCCTGGCCTTAAATTTCTTTCTTAATCTGTCTGCCTCACATTCATCTATATAAAATGGATAATAATGGCACCTCCTTACAGGCTGCTGTAAAGATTAAATGAAATAATACGCACAAAGCATTTAGCATACAGTAAATGCCTATCATTGGTTTTGAGATTTTTTTTTGTTTTTTTTGAGACAGGGTCTCACTTTGTCACCCAGGCTGGAGTGCAGTGGCATGATCATGGCTCACTGCAGCCTCAACCTCCTGGGCTCAAGTGAACTTCCCACCTCAGCCTCCCAAGTAGCTGGGACCACAGGTACATGTCACCATGTTTGGGTAATTTTTAAATTTTTTGTAGAGGTGTCACTACATTGCCCAGGCTGGTCTCAAACTCTTGAGCTCAAGTGATCTTCCCACTTTGGCCTTCCAAAGTGCTATGATTACAGGCATGCCCCACCTCGCCTGGCCTGAATTGTTGTTGTTGTTATTGTTGTTTAATATTAAAACAGTAATAAGTTTACTTCAGTCCATGACCAACTCTTTTTGTATGTGCATACAGAGAGCATTTTGACCATGGGAAATTTTAACTACTCTTAGGTAACAACACAATTTACATAGTGTATGTCAAATAGAAAGTTGGGAAATCAGGTTTCTTCCTGCCTTACTTGCCTCTCAAGAATATTGTGAGAGTAAACAATCAATTATACGAGAACTTTCTGGAATTAAAAAAAAGTTTAAAACTCTAAGCAAATGCAAGGAATTATTATTATAAAAGTGGATTATTTGGGCCTCAGTAAATTAATCTGTCAATTAGGTATTCAAGGAATACCTTTCATTCAAAACAAATGTATTTGAAAGTGGATATCCATTATCAAAGCGCTAACCAAATATAAAATTCCTAATTGCAAGTTTTATCAGTGTTATCTCCTCTGGCCCAATCCCTGGAGAGCAGATGAGGTGGCCATTTGTCTTTCATAGACATGGGAGCACTGAGCCAGGCATCTCTCATTTTCAGGAGCACGCTGATCTGCAGGGACTGGAGCAGGAGGCTAGGCAAGCCCAGTGGTTAGCCTCCATGCCCATGGAGAAAGTGACAATTGCAAGGATGGTGATGGGAGGGATTAGGCAAGAGAGGGGGAGATGGCAGCCCTGCATTGAGCTGGAAATTCCATGCCCAGATATTCCTAGGCATAGTGTGAGACAGAGGGAATACAAACTTGGCACTGTTCAAAGGCCAGGCAGGCACTTTACTCCCAACAGCAGTAGCTGGCAGGCAGTGCCACCACATCACCACTCAAACCCACCAATAAAGGGTGAGGTAGGAATGCCAATATGGAATATGAGCAAGTTCAAGTTAAATGAAAGGCAAATATATAAAAGTTGAGGACCACCCAAAACAGGCAGACATAGCTGCTTCTCAAGGCACTGTGAAAGTATAAGTGAATTATATGTGAAATCCCTTTGGGAAAAACCATTTAAAGGTCTATAAAATTTGCAAGACATGCCAAATACTCGCCATAAGACTCTGAAGAGGAATGGAGCCCAATAACGTACTCGAAACATTTACAGAACATTTTTCCTAAACTGTGATTTTTAAGGCCATGTTGAATTTTAATGACCCTAGTAAAAGGGAGTCACAAAGAAGTGACTTTCATTCCAACTTCTCTGAGAAGTGTTCCCTAAAAGACAGTCCTCGGGTGGACAAGTACTTTTTCCTGAATGTTCCCCAGTGATTATTTTAATTCAGAGTGCAAAGTAGATCTATTTCTATCATTTTGCTTTCTGTTCTTTGGCCTATTTCTCTTCTAATCTCTTCCATTATTCTTATAAGTTAGGAAGACTTACCAGGCAATTTTAATTATTAGATACTTTCCGCCCTATTTTTGTGCCAAATTAACAGGCTTCAGGAATAATTCCATTAAAAGTATTATCACTTTAGCAAATATGATATCCTCTTTGGTTCATCTATTTATCCTGATGCTAAAACATTCTTCCTATCCTCTCCAAGTTTGCTATGCAGGTTAACTGCTAGCAACCTAGCACAGTTACTCTATAACATAACCCTAAATGTGTCTGAATCTCTTGAATGGCATGTGTAAAAAGGCTGTAACAGTGTACCCATGAAGCAGCTAGAGACTCAAATAACAAAGAAGGCAACAGAGAACTGTAGGGAATAATGGTACATTCTGAATTTTTTCATGTATGAAGACAGTTTTTCTTGCCTATAGTTTTTGTTTATCTGATTTGTTGATTTCCAATTTTGCTTTTTTTATTCTAAGAAATTATTTAATGCAATGCTGGTATATACCTTGCTAACATCCCGAGTGTCATAAGTATCTTTTCCTTCTCTAACTCCAAGGATTCCTGGAACTTGTAAGAAAAATTCCAGACATCCCTAAACCTCATTTTAGACTAATAGTGGTGCATGCAGACGCATAGTAGGTTGTCTGCAAAGTGAGGTCTGTCCAAAAGTTGGAGCAACAACTACAGTGTTCCTTGATTCGCTAAGTAACCAACTGAAACGCATGCATCAACAGGGGAATGCACACAAACTACTGGACACATGCAGTTATATGCCCAAAATTATAAATCAGGATGCAGCAATAAATTATACTAAGGTATATGTTTATTATACTTTGCTACATGTACCATCCAAGAGCCTGCTATGTTGAAACAGTAAAATAAAATAAAACTGAAGACTTAATGTTGAAAAAGTAAAATTTTGCTTAACTGCCCATGGGCTATATACATTGAGTATTACTAAGCTTCTTGCTGCAAATAACGTATCTTTTCTGCCCACAATTTTTAAAAGTGACTCCATTGCTGTCAGCTACACTTCACTTGGAAAGCTATTGACTTTTCCTTTCTGTTGCCTTAATTTTATTCTGCAGGAGCACAGAGGGATGCAAGTCCAGGTGGGCACTGCAGCTTCGACTGATTGTGCTGTGTAACACAGCAGGGAAACCTCTTATCTCAGGCTGGGGTTGCCTGTTTAAGAATTTTTTTCTTTATAAAAGGTAAAGGTAGTAAACACAGCTGTAGAGAAAGGTTTTGTATTTTCTTTCTGTTTGTTTTAATCTATTAAAATGATATAATTAGGGCAGATGGTAAAAATGCCTATAAAATTATACCATCTGCCCTTGTGCATGTACGTTGTGGGCCAAGTTTTACGCAGCTCACAGTGTTTGAATAATCTGGCTTTGGCTTCAGAATTGGTTTTCTGCATCTCTGCATACAATATTGTCAGATCATAAAATACAGTGGCTTAGGATCAATGAACTTTAAAATTCTAAATAGATCTTGGAATTAGGATGTTATTAAAGATGACTGAAGCTTCACTCTTGCTATTTCCTTGCAAGAGGTGGATCATTGCTCTGAATTCCTGTCTGTCAATTACTTTTCTTTTAACTCCACAAGGGGTATTTTTAGAATTTGGAATATTTGTATATCTTTAAGAAGAATAAAGGTTTTGTAAATAGTACCACAGCCAAACCTTCCTTTCAAGAAGATGAAATCCGAATTTAGGATGAAGAATATGCCTCAATTTCAGTTTGCAAAGACATATAATAATATAATCCCATTTACTTCCTAGTTAGATGAACTTGAAGTGTTTTCAGCTGTGGTATATTAAATTTGTCTCATAGAGAATAGATTTGAGTGGATACTTAAGGCGTTTTCCTAGCTAGTTATGTTTAAGTTAAATGAATAAACATATTTTAATGTCTTAATTATAAAAACAAAACGTGTAGAAGTCTATGATCTGCCCTATCATTTGGAAATAAACCAAAAATCTTATTAGGTTGGAATTAAGTGGAAAATAGTTTTTCCCTCTGGGGATTTTTAATTTATTCAGAATATTTATATAATTGCCTACTAGTGAATCCTTTGAGATTTACTTTGTTGGGGATGCTCTTTAACTCCAAACACATTTTTCTTGAGGGCAAGGGGATATTATAATTAATTTCAGCATGGGAGGAAACCTTTTTTCTATTTATCCTGTTACCCTTCACACCCACTTTCCCTCTTCTCTCTCCCTAGATAAGCTCACTGTTGATTTAAATGGGCTCCTAAACATTTTAGCTTGGGCCTAGTTAGTTCAGCCTCATAAACACATGGGAAGAAGTTTGAACCTACATGGGGAATTAAATAGTTTTCCTAACTCAGATGAACCACCTCTGAATGCTAGATCCAAGTCAGTGTGCCTAGCCCTCTATTGGGAGACAAAGGCCATTCAGTTGCATTGCCAAAACCAGTGACCAACAACTTGTGCTATTTTTGAAAGCCTTTGCTACTTTTGCAATCATAACTCCTATCTTTTCATCCCACCCTAGTTCCAAGAAATGTGCTTTTTCTATACAAATATCAAATTGAATATTTCAGAGCTGTTACCTTAAGTTATTAAACGGCCTTAGTGCCCCAGCTCAAAGATAACTGCAGCTCCATTGTAATAAAATGATTACTCAGGTCTACCTCCACAAAATGTTTGACTTAACCAGTTTTGTTGTGTTTGAGATTTCTGGGATGAAAAGTACTCTAAATGGATCATGATAAGAGTGAATTGCTCAGAGCATTTTTCACTGGACAGATAAAAAAAGATAATGGATAAAGCAGTGCAAATAAAAAGAAAAATAAACCTCACCCCCAAAACTGGACTTTTAAAGAATGAGTATTCTACTGATAAAGTCAAAGTGCTTTTTATACCAAGTATGCCTATACAATGCTAGCATCATATTAAGGGGTCCTTTATTTACCTGAATTATGCACATCCAATTGATGTGTACAATGTTTTATATAAATGAAAGTTTCCATATTAAAAATATCTTAAGTTCGTAAATTAAATATTTTCAACTGCACTGAATTTTCTGAGTTTCAAGCCCAAAAGAAAAGGTGTTCTACTGTTGGCACTTCTATGAGTAAACAGATCTCCAGATAGGCTACATGGAGAAAGTTGAGTAAATGCTGTTATTAAGATTTTCTGCTACCCCACCCCCTTCTGCGGCTCTCTCCCTGCACACTCAGTGGCACTCTTTTCAGCCCATAGTAGTGAATGACCGAAAGCTTCCCAAGCACCTCATCTAACTAAAGGAGGGCCTGCTTCTTCACAAATGTCTAGGAAAGGCGGCCGGGGGCGGTGGCTCACATCTGTAATGCTAGCCCTCTGGGAGGCCAAGTTGTGTGGATTCCTTGAGGTCAGGAGTTCGAGACCAGCCTGACCAACATGGCGAAACCCTGCCTCTACTAAAAGTACAAAAATTAGCCGGGCGTGGTGGCAGATGCCTGTAATCCCAGCTACTCAGGAGGCTGAGGCAAGAGAATCGCTTGAACCCAGGAGGCAGAGGTTGCAGTGAGCCAAGATCATGCCACTGCACTCCAGCCTGAGCAACAAAGCAAGACTCTGTCCAAATAATAATAATAATAATAATGATAATAATAATAATAATAATAATAATAAAAGGCTAGGAAAGGAGAGTCATCCTTGATGCCTTCCAGTCACCCCAGGTGGGGACACTGAAGGAGCGCCTTACACCTAAGAATTGAGGGATAGGACAGGGGGCACCAAGAAAAAGGTGACCCAGAAAAAGGTGAGCCGGTGGGAGGAGGAAGGAAAAGTATGAATGTACAAGAAGGAAAGGAAAGGGCATGGGAATTGAGAGAAAGATGTATTGGAAGTACAGAGAAAGAAAGCCACCTGGAAGTGAACTCTAACACTAAGGACCAGTTGGTGTCTGGCCAGTGACTGAGCTTGGGGTTTGCCATTTGCGCAATGTTGCTCGAGGACACTGGGTGGCGCTCGTGGTAAAGACTTGCACTTATCTTAGGGCTTCCCTCCCGCTACTTCCCCTTCCCTCCCTTTGCAGATTTCAGCTACTAAAAGATGAAATTACTTACATTCTTCCTACGTGTCTCAGCGGGAAGCGCACTGCTGGAAGAGTTTGATGCCGTGGGGCTGTTTCTCCACGGCTGGATTTGTCGGTGGATTTTGAGAGGCAATAGCGTCCAGCCCGCTGGCCTTAGGACAAAGCTGGAGGCCCTAGTGTGAGAACTCCCTCACAACACCAGCAAAAGTTTGCTGCTCCGAGAGCCGGGATACTGGCCGGTGTATGTCCTGAGCGTGGGTCCGAAGCCGCAGACAGGCCCGCAGAGCAGCCGGCAGTGCACAGAGCTACAATGCCTATATTGTGAAATTAAATAAAACTGTACTGTGAACAGACTCTCCGCTGCTTTTAACTTAGTGCTTCCTCTCCCTCCCGGCTGCCTTTAAGGAAGGGGTGGAGTGGGGAGTGGGGTCAACCTTGAAAAGAGGAACAAAATCAAGAAAGTTGAGGCTCTGGACCTGTAGAGACACATCCAGATTTGGTCTCACCCAGCAGCAGAATGGCTCAAGTCTGCGTGAGGGCCAACGTTCTAACGCTTTAGGAACCGAAACAAAGAAGTTAAATTCTTCCCTCCCGGCCCACTCCTTTTTGTCTTTTATGAAATGTGGGAAAGAATGTCCATTTTGACTGCGGGGTTTTGGGGGGGTGAAATTTAGCAAGGTCTAGAACTAATTTGACATTGTAACATTATTTTCAATCGGATCCCGAACTTCTAAATTTTGCCCCAATTCTGCAGCTTCCAATCCCATCCTGGTTAGAATCTGCCATCTCAGCAAGGTGTAAGGGCATTGCTAGGAACACCCTGTTCAGTATAACCATGTGGTAACTCAAATCTCTATTTAACCAAAAGTGTCGAAGATAGGGGACCAGAGGAAGGGAGGCCTGGCTCCCTGCCCACTTGTCTTTGCCGGGAGGTGCTTTGAACTGTCCTTGGCATTGATCTGAGGAAGCGATTTCTGTAATTAAATGGCAGTGTGTATCAGGTGACTCGATGGGCGCCGATAACTTCTCCAGAGCAGAGCCCAGGACCGCAGACCCATGTTTCCCTCCTGTTCTTTAGCTCCTCACAGCCTACATCTAGACGGTTAACAGCCTGTCGGTAATCGACAGCGTCAAGTCAGGGCTGGCTGGCAGCTGCAGCTCTGTTTACCCCGAAGTCTATCTCAGAGAAGCCCGCGGCAGCCCAGGCCCAAAGCTCGTGACTCGGGCCAGTGGGAGAAGGAGAATGCTGCTGGGCGCCAGTCTCCCGGTGCTGAAGTTTCCCCCGAAAGGAAGTGCGACAATAGCTGTGTTTTTCTGGTGCAGTCCAGACCGCAAAGGCAGGGAGTTGGTGCACGCACGGCAGCTCTGCTTTGGAGTTCCTGAGCGGGGCTGTATCTTGCTCTGAGTTCCAGACACCCTACCTCTACCCGTCGGCCTGTTTTAGGCCGAGTGGCTCCACACTCCAAGTAAGGCTAAACTAATACTAGACACAACTAACACAGACGCTTTCTTCTTCGGTAGGAGGGAAAACGGAGGGGAGGCCAGATAACCCTAGATAGCCTGTGGAACTCCCAGATTGCCGGTCTTGGACCCCGTAAAGGAAGATGTAGGAAGGCCCCAAATCAGGATCTAGTCCGCGGAGTTGCCTATTTGAGGGGAGTAACAATGGGGATTGGGAGAGACTTTTATGCTGAATTTCTAAACTCCCAGCTGAATCACGACTAGAACAAGGATAGCACCTCCTGAAGAGCAAAGTTTAGATCTCGTGTATCAACTGAATGATTCTTGAATCCTTTCTTCCCTTGCATACGAGCTAAGTAGGATGTCTTTGCAGCAGGAAATAAAGGGGAGAGGGTACAGAAACCCGGGTCTGGGAAATGGAGAGACTGGGCCACATTCATGGAGCCAGGAGGGGGAAATCAATGAGCATCATCTGACTTTGCAAAGGCTTTGATCCTTGTCTCCTTCCCCACTTCCGAGACTTTCCCATTCTTTCCTGGAGGTATGGCAGGTTATACATGGATCCATTCACCTTTGCGGGAGTCTTTGGCCACTGAACATAGTTAAAGAGCCTTTATTCCAATGTCTTGAAAATAGATGAAAATATTAAACAGAAGTGGAGCTGTTTGGCTCTTTTTGCAAGCCAGCAACGAGGATTTGGGCTTCCTTAAGTTATATGTGTTTAAGACAGTAATTTTTAAAAGTCATTATAAGGACTTTGGGCTGCAGGAACTCTCCCTGCCATTCACCGGCTTAATGGACATTGTGCCTTCTTGGGCATTCCTGTCCAGCCCGCGTCCGGGAGATACTCATCTCCTGCAAAGGAAGTTGCCTCTTTCCCCAAAGAGCAAATTTTCAAAACATGTAAGTTACAACTTGCTTCCCAACACTCCACTAAAAAAAAAAAAAATGCTGTTTCCCTTCCTTCTTGCCTCCATCCTACATCCCCCCGCTCCCCACTCCCTGCACCTTGACTCCCTATTTCAGTATCAGTGTTTAATTCTACACTCGCCTTTGGTGCAGCCCACGGGGGCGGGGTAGTGGGAAGCAAGGAAAGATGGTCGCCCACCTCATTCCCAAAACATGTGCACTTTTGAGGCTTCTGATTGGAACACATTGTCCCCAGACATCACAGAGCCTTGTGCTGTGGCTTCTGCGATGTCTTTGGAATTTACTAAAAACAGATAGACTAAGACCCCTCCCCACTCCACAACAAGCAAAAACACACACAAGCGCGCGGGCGCGCACACACACAAACACACACACCCCCTCAGTACCCCCCACCCCCTTTTTAAGCAATGCTTTGTTGTGCTAAAACTAGTTGGACGAGTTAGGGTGTTACTGTTGCTCCCGAGGCCCTGGCCAATAGAACCAGATCCACCCCGCTGTGCGTAAGCGCGCAATTAAGGATTTAACCAAGGCTGTGCTGCGCCTCAGCCAGCAGTCAGCCGGCCGGAGACAGAGACTTCACGACTCCCAGTCTCCTCCTCGCCGCGGCCGCCGCCTCCTCCTTCTCTCCTCCTCCTCTTCCTCCTCCTCCCTCGCTCCCACAGCCATGTCTGCTTAGACCAGAGCAGCCCCACAGCCAACTAGGGCAGCTGCCGCCGCCACAACAGCAAGGACAGCCGCTGCCGCCGCCCGTGAGCGATGACAGGAGTGTTTGACAGAAGGGTCCCCAGCATCCGATCCGGCGACTTCCAAGCTCCGTTCCAGACGTCCGCAGCTATGCACCATCCGTCTCAGGAATCGCCAACTTTGCCCGAGTCTTCAGCTACCGATTCTGACTACTACAGCCCTACGGGGGGAGCCCCGCACGGCTACTGCTCTCCTACCTCGGCTTCCTATGGCAAAGCTCTCAACCCCTACCAGTATCAGTATCACGGCGTGAACGGCTCCGCCGGGAGCTACCCAGCCAAAGCTTATGCCGACTATAGCTACGCTAGCTCCTACCACCAGTACGGCGGCGCCTACAACCGCGTCCCAAGCGCCACCAACCAGCCAGGTACATGGACAGGGGGAAGGCTGGGCAGATACAGGGCGACTAGGACGCTGGGGGCGCGAGATGGGGTGGTAGATTGGGGGTCACAGCGGTTCACGGCAGTGGGGGCGCACGCGGCAGAAGGGAGTAGGACTCAGACCCTCCAACAAAGAGAGTTTCTCGGGCCAGCATTTTAGGGATTTTTAGTAGGAGAGCCCTGTGGAGGTTCGAACTAGCGTCTCTCCCCTCCGGCACCTTCCAAGGCCCTTCAGTCGCTGAATTCCCAGCTTGCCCGGCCAGGAAGCCGGCTAGGCTGGAAAGGGGATAGGGGTGGAGAGAAGAAAGAATCAAGCAGCTCCTGGCGTTTGCGTAACAAAGAGAAGGTTACTTGGGAATTTTGGTAAGCGTGCTGGGTTGGTGCGAGTGGGAATAGAAGGCTGCCTCAAAAACTCAGTCAGGATTAGTTTGAGAGCCGCCACAAGCTAGCACGGTGCGGGTGCCCTGAGCACGCTGGGTGGGGGTGGGGGGGTTAAGGAGTTGTAGCCAGCCAGAGAAGAGCGCGCCGAGAGTTTTGCGGTTTATCCAGGCATTTCCAAAAACAAAAAGCCATTTAAAGGTGGAGGAGGGTTGCTGAGGGGTCACGTTGTAGGATAGATTTTTTTTTCTGTCTCCATAGGCGCCCACAATTTGTCTTTCCGTCCTCCTTTTTCGTCCGCTTTGAAACTTACTTAGAGAGTTTAAGAGGGTTAGTGAGCTTGGGCGGTAAGAGAAAGGCATGAGGCTCGGCGGAGAGGTTTTATTGGTAAGGTTTGATCTCTTCCCACCAGCACATTAATAATCCTGCTAATATTAGCATCCCCTACTCTGGCAGAATTGAGACCACAGCCCTCATCCTCCACACTTCTCCCTGGAACTTGACACACACACACACACACACACACACACACACACACACCCTGGAGAGGTTCTCCGTCAGTTCCAGAGGGGTGGTAGTTTTGAGGAAGGGGAGTTGTAGCCCCAGGGCAGGTTTGTACAACACGCGTTTGGCAATCCCTCCCCCTCCCGCCCAAACCCATACTCATGACAGTGAGAATCTCATCCTGACCTGCCGCCCCTTTCCTACGAAAACACCCCACCACCGGTTCCTTCTCAGTGTGTGACTCTTGCTGAACTTTAAAAGAGAGCCCCGGGTTGAGGTGTCTACGTTTCTTTCACTCTCTCTGTATTCCGTGCATAAGTGGAAGATTTCTTTTTTTTTTTTTTTTTTTTGCCAAGAACATATTAAGTCTATTTGTAAAAGAAACCAGACACATCTGTGCCCTCGCAGATCTGCAGCGAGATTATGGGGGTTGCATAATCGACCCTCTGTCTGCGGCGGCCCCGACCGCTTGCTGCTGAAGTGAAGGAGCAGTTTGCTTGTGGGTCTTTGAACTTTGGAGACCTCGGTTAGCGTCTTCCCTGCCCAAGAGTCTGGCTTCTGCGGGCGCCCGAACAGACGCCGACAGAAGTAGGGTCACGGCCCAGGGCCACCTCCTTGAAGCCTGGGGAGGGGCTGGTGTTCTTGAAGCCTGGGGAGGGGCGGAAACGCGGAGGAGCACAGGGTGGGCGTAAAAACAAGTCCGGGAGAAGAAGCAACGACCGCAAGAGCTGAATCCCAGATGCCAAGGAGAAAGCAGTGTTGTAGGAAGCGCTTTGCACAAACTATCTGAATGAACAGAGTAGGAATTAATCAGAGGCTATCCCGCTTTTCCATATTTGGGGTAGGTGCATATTTATCGCGGTCCTGAAAAGCAAAGGTGGTGGTGATATGGGCAAAGAATGAAGACTGAGTGGTAAGAAACTCTAGGACTCTATTTGAGGCCCTTCCGCAAAAGGGGCATTGTCTGGTGACAAGCTTTAACTGAGTCTGTTTTGATTATTTAGAGAAAGAAGTGACCGAGCCCGAGGTGAGAATGGTGAATGGCAAACCAAAGAAAGTTCGTAAACCCAGGACTATTTATTCCAGCTTTCAGCTGGCCGCATTACAGAGAAGGTTTCAGAAGACTCAGTACCTCGCCTTGCCGGAACGCGCCGAGCTGGCCGCCTCGCTGGGATTGACACAAACACAGGTAAATACGGCGCTGCCATGCACTAGACCTGCCTGAGCTGCACGTCTGGTTGGGTCGCGCGGTTCAGTCTCGATGGGACTGGAGCTGTTTTGACAGTACCCGTGAGAAACTAACAGACCCAAAGACATCAGCCCCTATGCTTTAACTCGGTGAGTCAGGCCTTGAGACGGTGGGGATGGTATTCATCAGCGGTCTGGAGATACCTCCCACTAACCGCGCCCCCCGCCCCCACCCCGTAGCGGGCCTCCGGAGCTGTGGGGCCAATTTCGCGGGTTGAAAGCAAGCGGAGGGTTATTTCTAGGGCGGCCTAGGCAGCCCAGAGCAGCTATCTGGTTTTCTTAACAATGTAGAGCCTCCTCGGGGGTGAGCAAGGCCTGGTGTTCTCGCGGTGGTCTCAGGCTAAGAAAAGGCTGAGAACGTCGCCTGGAGCGGAGAAACTGAAGGGTCGTGCCCTGAGCCTACGGGAGCTTCAGGCCACGGCCACCGAAGGGTCGCGAGGTGGGGGGCGCTATTGTACGTGAGAAGTCTTCCTGGATTGTCCCATTCCTTTTACTCCTCCAACCCAGCTGGGGCCTACGGAAGCATAAAGAATGTTCGAGTCGCCGCCAAGAGCTGCAGTCAGATTCTGGCCTCTCTGAGCTGCAGAGGGAGTGAAGGGAGTAGGACGGGAGGTTGGGAGCTCGCTCCTTTTTCTGACCACAGGCGCGCGTAGCCCGCCCCACGCCCCTTCCCCGCCGGGCTCGCGCGATTGTTTTGGAGACCTTCGCCGCGTTCCGCGCGTCCTGCGCAGGCTTACACGAGGCGCGCCGCCGCCGAGGACACTCGGGCGCACACCCGCCGCGCTGGCGTCCCCCACCCCCAGCCCAAACAAAAGACAAGCCTTGGGGTCGTGGCCTCGCTGGGCCGGGGCGCCCCGAGCCGGCCAGGGCGCCCTCTGGGGCCAGAGCTCCATGGTTTGCCTAAGGCATAGCTTCTTGGCGGTAGGCCGCAAGCGGCGGGGAGACGCCAGGCAGGGCTGGGCCGCCCAGAGGTCCGAAGATGCCTCCAGTCGCCGCCCCGGGGAAGGCGCGGGCGACCTCTGAGTGTCCCGGTAACGTGTGCCTTTGTTCCCCAACTCAGGTGAAAATCTGGTTTCAGAACAAAAGATCCAAGATCAAGAAGATCATGAAAAACGGGGAGATGCCCCCGGAGCACAGTCCCAGCTCCAGCGACCCAATGGCGTGTAACTCGCCGCAGTCTCCAGCGGTGTGGGAGCCCCAGGGCTCGTCCCGCTCGCTCAGCCACCACCCTCATGCCCACCCTCCGACCTCCAACCAGTCCCCAGCGTCCAGCTACCTGGAGAACTCTGCATCCTGGTACACAAGTGCAGCCAGCTCAATCAATTCCCACCTGCCGCCGCCGGGCTCCTTACAGCACCCGCTGGCGCTGGCCTCCGGGACACTCTATTAGATGGGCTGCTCTCTCTTACTCTCTTTTTTGGGACTACTGTGTTTTGCTGTTCTAGAAAATCATAAAGAAAGGAATTCATATGGGGAAGTTCGGAAAACTGAAAAAGATTCATGTGTAAAGCTTTTTTTTGCATGTAAGTTATTGCATTTCAAAAGACCCCCCCTTTTTTTACAGAGGACTTTTTTTGCGCAACTGTGGACACTTTCAATGGTGCCTTGAAATCTATGACCTCAACTTTTCAAAAGACTTTTTTCAATGTTATTTTAGCCATGTAAATAAGTGTAGATAGAGGAATTAAACTGTATATTCTGGATAAATAAAATTATTTCGACCATGAAAAGCGGAATGTTTCTGAAAAATACTTCATTCTGCCCCTCTGATAACTGGCTAGTGAAGTTTTATTGAAGGCAACTAAAGAAGGACAAGCTCTGCAGAGATCCAACAAGGCAAAAAAGAAAACAGAAGTCGGGGCTCTATGCATGCAGACTGTATATGTATATATGTTCAATGCTATACTTTGTGTGTGTGTGTGCATATATATATATAATATATATGGCATGTTTATAGTACTGCCATATCTCATAATTGTTTCAGGTAGAAAGTAATGCTGAAATAAAAATACATCCCTCTCACCCTGTATGTGAGTTAGAAGGCAACAGAAATCCCTCAATAACCCCTCTGAATTCTAAGCTCAAAGCAATTATCTTGGAGAAGCGCCCCCACCCATCAGCCTCTGTGTAGTGCCAGAGCAATTAGACAAATTACCCTTCAAAGGGAGTTTCCAGAGATGAGAAAATGAAAAAGAAATCTAGCCTCACACCTATTACATTTTTTAAAAATCTAAAATGTTTGGAGCATGGCAAATGATAGAACCTTGGACTCTTTGGAGTATGATTATAAATGTATCGGCTCTTTTCGAGAGATGAAAACATTGCAGATATTGTGAAGAGGGAACTTCAGGGTTGGGGAAAGGAAGGAATGAAAGCATTGTGGCGCCGTGTTGATTTCATTTTGTGTGAGATAATACTCTTAATATTTCCCTTCCCGCCTTCCTTTTTTCAGGAAGGAGCTTCCTCTGTTTTGCTTTTACATAAAACAGTGGCAAACAGGTTCTAAATGATGCAAAATAGAATCTGTTTACTAGGATTTCTCCTTTGGGAAGCCTTCTTTGGGACAGAGAGGAAGGACTTGCTGCAGCTGTGCCCTGTGTCCCTTCCTTCTTCTTGCACTCCTGCATGTAGATACCAACAGCATGACCAGAGCTATGCACTGCACCTAAAGACCCAGGCCTGAATTGTAGGTGTCTTTCTGTCTGGCCGTCCTTCAGTGGGCCAGACTCTCTTTCCTTAGGATACGAAGGAAAATGTTGGGTTGGAAATTACAAGATGCATGTGAAATATTTTACAGCTAGGAAGTCAGCAGCAATAAATGTGACAAAAGAGCCTTCTTAAAGTGGGGGTAGATTAGAGCATAAAAAATTATATCCTGTCACTGAGGATTTCTCAGAAGGCTCTTCCAGGGTTGGGAGACTAGACCTGAAAAGGCACGCTATGTGCCTTGAGGGGAATTTACCTTACCTACATGTTTCTCTCTCTGTCTCGTCTCTCTCTCCTCTCTCTCTCTCTTTCTCTCTCATTTTCTCTGTCTCTCTGCCTGCCTCCTCCTCCTCTTCTCTCCCTACCTCCCTTCCACCTCCTTTATTTTTTTCGTTCTCTTCTCCTTTACTTTTTTTCTAGAAGAGTTACCAGGCCCGCCAGTGTGGAACAGCTTGCTTCTTGGAGGAATCAGTATTTTGACCGCTCTTTAGACATATCCCGCAGCCTGGCTCCGAGGCAGAACTACGCCCGGCAGCCTGGCCTGTGCACCCCTCCTCCGGCACCCCCAGCGGCCGCGACTCAATATTTCCGTCTCCCCAGTCCGCTCCAGCCGTACTTTCTCGGAAGGAGCACTGGGTGCGGGGAAGAGGGGGCAATAGGAAGGTTTGCGGGGGGCGGGGGGGGGGGCGGGAAGCCAAAGGGTGCCCCATTTTGTTTTCTGCGCTCACAGAGAATAGGGGGATTGGGGAAGAGATGAAGATATCCACTTCCTGCTTTTCTTTCTTTGCTTGTAAGGATTTCGGGAGTTTCCATTACACCGAGAGCTAGCGCTTTATTTCTGGCGACTCCGACTGGGAGAAACCCGCGCCCGCGGTGTGCCAGCGCCTGGCTTTCCCCTGCGCGGACGCCTCTCCCTGCCAAGGGGTGCGTGTTTGGGAAGGTTGGGGGTGAGGGCGCACCCACTGCACACCTCCAATATTTCTCACCTACTGGCTGCCTGTGAGTGGCAAGAATGTGCTTGGAACATACTGTTTTCCTTTGTGCACACAAAGAGGGCAGATATTTTTCCAGCTGTCCCTATCAACTCCCCAGCCCCATTACTGGTGGAAAAGAAGGGGGATCCCTTCCTCATCCCTATTCACCGGGCGCGGCCGAGCTGAGGGAAGGGAGGGTTCGGATTCTTCTAGAGAAAGAGGGAAGCTCTTTCTAAATGACCACTCCTCCACCCTAGCTTTGAGGCTGCTTGTCGTTAAGATCACTAAAGCCTCATTGCGAGGTGGCCCAGACCAACGCCGCGCGGACACAGACTTGGTTTCAGGATTCCTTCCCTTGTGCCAACCTCACTTCTTCCACTCGCAAAGGCCTTTTCTCTCGTGCGGTTTTTATTTTTTAGCTTGGTCTGGGAGCCGTGGACAAAAATATTCTGGTAAACCAGTCTGCAGCGGGCTTTCCCTGGCCCCATGGGGATTCTCTCAGGGGAATTTAACTCCCTGCCGTCCCGAGCCCAAGGATGTAAAAATAACAGATCTTCAGCAAAGTCTAAAAATATCTATGTGATGTTTCTCTCCCTTGCCCTCCCTTCCACCTTCTCTTCCTCTCCATTGTTTTTCCTACGTCGAATATAAACGTGCTCCACTCCCCAGCATATTCCCGGACCAGCCGGCCCCACTCTTGACATCGCACTGGGTGACCCCTCTGCCTGCCCCTTCCGGTTTCCACTTGCCTAGCTCTCAGTATAGTGCTCCCAAGACGAATCAAGTCCTTTCTAAGATTAATGTTCTTTTCAGTGGGCGTCTTCATACTCCCCACCCCTTACTTACAACACCTCACCCCCACCTTCAGAGCTCCTCACAAACCCCAGGAAGGCTGGGGCATGCGGTCAGGGCCAGCGCGATTCTTCGGTGCCCAGACCACCTCCTGGGCCATCCTGTAAGAGATCAGATAAATTGGCCTTTGTTTGAGGCTCGGGTTGAGCTAGGCGGATTTCTGCCCCTTTTCCCCCCTTTTTCCTGGCGGCCACCTCCTTGTGGGACAAGGGGCGGCCTGGGGATCCGAGAGAAGCCGCATTCCTGTGGGTGCCAGGCGGCTCCAGTGCTGAGCCACAGGGCCTGAGACACACACACAGAGGAACCCGCAGACCTCGCTGCCCTTGATCTCGCTCGCTCGCTCTCCCTCCCGTCTGGGCACCCACCCGGGAGCCTGTCCACTCACACTCGGATCCACCCAGGGCACGGCCTCAGGCCCGAGAGCGTTGATCCGCACAAAGACACAAACGCACACAACCCCCTCCGGTGACACAGGCCAGGCCAGGATCTCCCCGCCCATGTCAATCTCCTCTCTCCCGCCCCTTATCCCACAATCCCAGACGCGTCGGCTGGCCTCCTCTGGTTCCTTTGATCCCACCGGACGCCCCACGGCTCGCGGCGTCCTGGCCGCGCCGTCCTGGGAGTCACCCACAGCGCGCCAAAGCCAGGCTGCGCTCACCTCCTCCCAGCGCACCCTATAGCTCACTCCAGCCTTGACACCGCTCAGTCTCCTGAGCTCTCCAGCCGGAAGAGCCTGGGATGCCTGCTGGAACACTGCCCCCACATCCTCCTTCTTAGCGCTTCCTTGTATTCTGGGAGAGGGACCTTTAGGCTACCCAACCGCCCCTCCTCTCCGCCCCATCCCTGCAACCCCTTGGATCGCGCGCCTCCCAATGGTCACTGGGATCTTGCCAACCTAGAGCTCTCTAGCCCTCCCGGAGGCACACCCAGAGGGCAGACGCCCTCGGGCACCTCTGGGAAGCTCGCCACGCCGGCGGATCCGCCTGCGGTCACCCAGCTCCTCCACCCTTAAGCACCCCCTCCCACAGTAGCCGGTGGAGGCTCCCGCCGCTCCAGAGCTTGGGGAGGGGGCGCTGCGGCTTGCTCTCGGCCTCGGCTCGCGCTCCCAGGTTGCCCGCGGTCTTTGCACACAGTGCTTGGTTTTTTTCAACCTCAGCCCAGTCGCAGCGAACTCTGGGCCTTAAAAATAGCCCAAATAGCGGTGGCACATGTGGGATTGGTTAAATATTTTCTACGCAGCCCTGTCTCTTCCCCCCCGCGCCAACCCCCAGCGTTTTCTGTTGCATCTGACAGGCTTTAGATTCCTCAGGGCAGAAAGTATACATTGTATCTATTGCGTGTGTGTGTGTGTGTGTGTGTGTGTGTGTGTTTGGGGTGGGGAGCCTTTCCTTTCAATCATCCAAGGCTGCCGGCTGTAATGTAATAACCTGTTTTATAGGTCGGGCTCTAACCGTGAAGATAGGAACTGAGGGAATTTACATGAACCTCTCTTTAAAGCAGATGAGAGTCCTGCTTTGCATCAATTAAATGTTCCTGCTCTTTTGTTCACTTGGACTTCTTATTTACTTCTGATTTATGGGATCCGAAGGAGTCTCTTTGCCAAAAGCACATGTATTATTGAGTCTGTTCCACATCCTAAACCAAGATTTATATAAAACCGTGAAATACCACACATTACGACCTTTCACCACAGGAAGGGAAAAAAATGGCTTTATAACATCATTCTACACACATACCCTCCCTCTCTCCTAGCTTCGGTAAGGATTCTCTGTGGGATCTTCACCATGCAGTCTAGTGTTTTTTTTTTTTTTAAGAAGTGGGTGAGGGTGAAGGGTGGTAAACAGTTCCCAAGCTATGATTTATTTTAAAGGCTTTTTTTTTCTCTCGCTAACCAAGAAGACAGAAACCTGCCAATGGAAGCTTATTGTTATCCAGGACTATTTCTGCCACTTGCCATTTGCAAGGTCAGGGAAGAGGGGCGGAGGAAGAGCAGGATATGGACTCAACTTTCATCTATAAACAGGGGTCACTAAACAGGGGACATTTCATTATTGCCCTTAAATTCACAAGAGCTAGGAAACCTGCTTGCCATCCTGCAGGGTGGCCCTGGTTGGGCAGCTCCCGGGTCTGTGAAGTGGTGGGAGGAGGGAGAGTCGACACACATTGGCCCAGAGGCTAGAAAAGATGCCTAGGAAATTCTCTGTATTCATGGTGGGAAAATTGAGCTCCTGGGGATAAATGGGCTTTAGGTATCTTTGACTAGGAGGTCCCCACCAGGAACCAGAACTAGACTCCAGAACCCTCCACCAGGGCAGGGTTCATCCTCCTGGAAGAAACAGCTTGAACCCCTAGAGCTCTTTGACTCTGGGACCAGCATAGTCCCCCAGCCTGTCTCCAGCCTCTCTTGCTCTAACTCTCCCTCTCTTGCTCTAACTCCCTCCTTCTTTGGTCCTCCTATATTTTAATAAGATTGACCTTGCTCATTTTAGCACATTGGTGACAGGTAGCAAAAGCAGCAGCTGGACTGGTTTATATGGGGGGGGGGGAATGTTAATTAATAAAAGTTAATGATAGGATTAAAACCAATAGCCAGCCAAGCCAACTGGAGAAGACAGCTTCCCAGCCGGCTATATTTAATTAGCAGCAATTAATACGTTTTCTGCTAATATCCTTTAGGATTCTATGACTTAGTTCCTGCTGAAAGAGAATGAAGACAGAGGGCAGAAACACAAGTGCCCAAGGGCATTTTGCTTGGATAACAAGAGAGACAGCAAATTCATTTAAGAAAATGTTCATAAACAAGTGACAGGCACACTCTCAGGCGATTTTGTGGAAACAATGGTGAAACTGACAAATGTTCTTTGCTTTGGGGGAGGGACACATTTTTAAAACAGGAAAATGTTTCTGGAGAGAGAAGGGGGAAAAAAAGACAGGGGGTTGGAAAAAAGAAAGAAAAAGAAAAATTATTTTAGACTCCAGACAAGCAGCAGATGCAGCAGCCCTTGCAAACACATCAGCCCTGCACTATTGAAGATTTGGACATGAAATGCTTCAGACCACTGATTTGCTATTTTCTTAATTCTCGCTCTTCTTTTTCCATATGAATCAAACAGTCTTTTGTCCTTCAGGGTTTGATTTGATCGCTACTGTTCACATTTCACTTTTGTATTTTCCTCTTCCTATACCATTACTCATTGAGTGCCCTGTGAAATTACAATCGTACATTTTCAGCTCAGCAACCCATTTGCAGTGCAAAAATAGGGTCTAAATAATGGCTGAATTAGCCCTACTGGACAGTTTCAGATGTAACACTCTGTAATAATTATATTGCAGGCTGGATTAGGATGCTATTATCATAATCTGGACGTTTACAATTATCTGTAATTTGCAAAGATGCGCCAGGTCTTGATTACAGCAGTTTTTTTTTTTTTTTTTTTTTTTTTTGTACCACGCTAACCATCACTAAACAGTGACAGTAATAACAGCTAATTTTGCTGGCAATATAAGAGGTGCTGGGGTGTGCAAACAATTTCACACCTGGATGTGCTCACTCAACCAAGAATATAGAGAAAGAGCTTCTGCCCTGAGACTCAGAAAAATATTCTCCTGTGCTTTGGTTCAGTATAGATTTCTAAACCCTGATCATTGCTTAAGAGATATTCACTGAGGGTAAGTTTTTATTTCTTGCATACTTCAAGGAACAGTTCTTATTTCTCTTCTCACACTTTCCAAGATACATGTTGCCGTTGTAATTTATCATGGGCTACAACTTTGCTTTATAGATTTCTCTATGCTGACCTTTTATCCCCTCTAACAGTAAAAAGGGTTGTTGTTCTGTTGAGTGAAAGGATTCGAGTGAGAATGGGATCCTTAAGTATTCGATTTGTCTTTCTTGTTTTCTATGTTGTTGATGTATTTGGTGCAGCTTGTGACTGGAGCCTGCGAAAAGTACCATGTTTCTATAAGGTGTGGAGAGACTCTGCTGGAGATTCCAAGCTAAAATCTATTTGAAAATTATTATTCACAGCTAATCCTAGGTAAATCCAGAGAGGTCTTTACACGTGGCCATGATTTTAGATTTTGAGGCGACAAGATATCAAACGGAGCTCGCGACGGGGCTCCTTTAGAACCACAGGTATGCGGACATTTGCAAAGGCAGGTGTAGTCTGATGAATCTCTGGACGGTGAAGCCCCTTCGACATCTTTCCTCCACTTGGGGGAAGGTTTCCGGAATAACTGGCCTCTGAACCCCTTCAAGGCTGCTTTTCAGGGTCTTTGCCTCAAGCTGGTGTGTTGGGGCGGGGGGGAGGGGGAGGCTATGCGGATCTTGGAGTTACTGCCCTCCGAGAACAAACGCTGCGACCTTGGGGTTGGAGGGGCATGATTGGCTGAGACGCAGAACCAAGCTAGGGAGCTAGAAAACCCAGATTTAGGGACGCACCAAGGAAGTCTCCAGCAAGAAGCGGTGCTGTTCTATCTATAGATGACTCTGTTTCCTGACCGTGTAGACATTGTAAGCAACTAGAGATGTTAAGTGCCTGAGAAATCTTTGGTTTTCCATTCCAGTGCAAAAAGGCCTTTCTCCGGCGGCAGAAACCTTTTGACTAAGTTGTGTCAAAAGATAATGAGATGTTTATTGGTGCCAAAGAGAAATCGTTCTCTTCATCCCCTCCCTCCTCTACCCCACCCCCAGCTATTGTTCTCTCTCTCCCCCACTTTATCTCTTTTTAAATAGGAAATACGGTCAGAACTAGGCTCCACAGCTCGAACTCTGCAACCTCTGGAGAAGTCCGAACGTGGGGAGGCGTCGTAGGCACCACCACTGGGCGATGCCTTTCGCCCACGCCCCTCCTACCAATCCCTCCCTCGGGAATCCGCTTACCATAGGGTCAATACATTCTAAAGAGTAAAAATATTAACCCTTAAGGTTCAGAGGATCCAGAGAAAGCCCAGTTCCAAGGGCAGTCTGGGGTGGGGGGGACTACTTGGCAGAATTTCTTGTTTAATTAAACTCCTGTTAAGAGATAAAGAGATAGATACAAATGCATCATGACAACACCTCGAATATGTCAACATGCATTTGCCGGGTTTCAGAATGTTATGCACTCACAGTGGTTTGGCATGCATCTGGTGAATTTTTTTTAACGAAAAATTAGTGTTGGTTTCGATGTATGGTAGCATTCTCCCTAACGTAATTTGAATAATTCAGCAAAGCCCCACTACCAGCTGTACTTCTGCAGCCTCTTCCATTCTTTTCAGCATTATAATTTTGGTTAATTTTCAATTTTAGGTCCTACGTCTCTGCAATTTGTGTATGAATAACAGAATAATTTCCCTCTTTTGTTTCGCCTTTCCTGTTCCTGAATCTAAATAAAGATGGCTTTTTAGTATTAAAAGTGGAAGAAAATTACAGGTAATTATCTTTGACGGTAAAAACGCTGTAATCAGCGGGCTACATGAAAAATTACTCTAATTATGGCTGCATTTAAGAGAATGGAAAAAAACCTTCTTGTGGATAAAAACCTTAAATTGTCCCCAATGTCTGCTTCAAATTGGATGGCACTGCAGCTGGAGGCTTTGTTCAGAATTGATCCTGGGGAGCTACGAACCCAAAGTTTCACAGTAGGAAGGGGGAAAAAAGAAAAGAAAACATTTTTCCTAATGTAACAATGCGAATGCTAGAAAATGACAAGACTGATCGGTTTTAAACCATTCTGAAGACTGACTGAGCGTGGAAGTTGCTCAACAAAAAAAGGAACGGGTATATTGGTAAGTAGTCTTTGCTTTGTGTCTAATTATAGTGACTGTCCTTTTGCACGACTGTATGTCGCTGTCATTATATGGAGCACTCTGAGTATCTCTATTGACTTCTGATAAATGGCTCAGTGGTTTCAAGGTTCATAATTTGAAGGATGCCCAGGTCTGTAGCCATTAATTCTCGCAGTATGGGGCTTCCTGCTTGTATGACGAAAGGACTTTTCATTTTCATTATTTCTGTGCTTTCCCCAAGATCGGAAGGATGTATTTCATCCAGCATAGTGCATTTTCCTACCTAGCTAGCTGGCAATGGGTTTTAAACATTAAGTAGGCATAATTGTGCACTCTACTCTCTATTTTTTTCTTTCCTATATTTTAAAAAACTGCATCCAAACAAAGACAAATATGGCTGTATTATTTTGGCTGGGAAAAGGGAAAGGAGAATACTCAGTTTCAGCACTAGAAACTACTGTGATGTCTAGAAGTTAACTTGAGGATAGGTCATTCTAATGTTTAAAACATAGGTAAATGTGTAGAAATTACAATAAAAACGTAATATGTAAAGAAAGTTGAAAGAACATCCATGGTTAATGTTAAACTACCTAAGACAAAGGCTAGTGTGCAAACTGACATCTTTGCAGGCACTTGATGTTCATATATATACATATGACTTCCCATATTAGGAAATAGGAATTTTTTTAAGGGTGATAGAAAATTTAATGGGGGGAAGGGAAGTGAGGGAGGAGGGAGGAAAGAGAGGGACAGAGACACACAGAGAGAGAAATATACAAGACACTCAGCGTTTTGTGGCTTTTACTCCATATATGAAAGAAGACAAAAACATACAAAGTATATGTACAACTAAAATTCAACAATATATACAGAAATGTTTCTTGATATAAACGTCCCTATTAGCTTTGTGAATGCCACCAATTCACCTAGTAAAGGTGTCAAAGCAATAGAATGGTGATTTTGATTGTTTCCTCCGTCTTTCCTGATTCCAGTTCAGGGTTTGGGGGGGTGGGGTGGGGAAAGAGTGGTTTTTGTTTTGTTTTTTTTTAATCAACCATCATTCCTGGTCATTGCATTTTGATAAAACATGCAGCATTCCCTTTGTAGCAATGTTCTAATCTTACAGCCACTTTTTCCTTTTTCTTTAGAGAAGGGCTGTTATGTGAGGAATTTTCTTTTTCTCGTCAGTCTGGGAATGGTAAATAAAAATGCAGGAGTCCAAAATGCTTCTCTTTCACCATGTAATGTCTTAAACTCATTAAACAAGTAAAAACGCTGCCAAGTTTGTGCAGATTCTTCTGGTTGGGGGAAAATCTGTTTTTAAAAAAAGTCATTTTGATGGATACTCCCAAAGAGAAGAGACTCAGAGCCTGGATCCCAAGGGGTAAGAGAAAATATCCTTACAGTAAGGGGTTTCAGGAGTGCTGGCATAGAAACCAGTTTCTCTCTCACACATGCTCTTTCTCTCTCTCTGAGATGCAAGATCAATTACTGACGTTGCTCAAGAGAGAAGGTAAATGAGAAAAAAGGTGAAAGGCAAAAAGAAAAGAAAGGTAGAAAGGAAAAGGAAAGAAAGAAGGAATGGAGGAAAGGAAGAAGTAAAAAGAAAGGAGAGGGAGAGAGAGAGAGAGGGAGAGAGAATGAGCCTAGTCGGCTTCTTGCCACACTTATGAGCTCTCCTAAGCCTGCTCCTTTGGCTCCTTTTCGCAGATACAAGCAGGTCCCGGATCCTCTTTTCCTTGTTCAGACGTTTCCCTAGGGTGTTCCCTTGGGCAACTCACATCATCTGTGGTCTCTGCATCGTGTCCTGGTGTGGAGAGGAGTACCAGTGAGAATAGCCAGGCATGTAGCTGTTGGGGGGCATACTGACACCCTTGGCCGAGGCAGAAACGTCCCAGACTGGAGGCAGCGCTGGCGAGCGTGGCGACAGGGCCGCCGAGCCCTGGAGGGGGTCGCTCTCATGAGGATTACTGCCCTGCTTCAGCAGTTTCTTAAACTTAGAGCGTTTGTTCTGAAACCATATCTTCACCTGCAAGAAATGCAGCAATCATTAGGCCCATAAACATCAAACCAGTGCCTCTAACGTCACTCAGGGATTTAGAAGCAATATTAAAAAAGCAAAAAAACAAAAAACAAAAAACAACCACCGCCAACGCCTACAAGCCAAGTCCCCGCCTCCTTCCACCTCTTTCTAGCCTCTTACAGTCCCACTTCCTACAACATACTAGGTATCTTGCCTGGATACCTAAAGTTATTGTAATTCTAGAATTGCGTGCTAGCGTAGGTTTAAAACAACAGTATAAATAAGAAAAAGCTGAATGAGATGACCAGGTCCAAAGCCTAAAGGATTTTTAAAAGCAGCCCTTTCAAATCAAAGCCATTCAATTGAATGCACCTCCTCTGAAAGTCTTGTCATTTTACATAAAATTTAGTAATGTAAATTTAGTCTATGTAAAATAACTATTTTACACAGTCATTTTCTCCGTGTACATGCATAGAGATACCCAAAAGCTGTTATCTCTATAAAGGTACAAGGAGCAAATGACTGAAGGAATTAAAGCCTGTACATTTATAACTAAATGCCTTGAATATATCTATGCATATATTGCATATGCCATAGATTATACATGAAGCATCTTTCTCCAGACATAAATATATCCCCATAACCTTGCAGGGATTAAGGACTGCAGCTCCTTCATTCCCTATTTTGTATGTTGCCTAGTCAAACTGTGGTCAAGGATCATCACATGATTGTTAGTATAGTAATTAAAAGTCAAAGGGCTTCTGAAAATTAAACGTGAATCGGGAATCTGGGATGGGAGCATATCTAGGCCAACATTTCAGATCTACTTTATTTGAAGAAGGAAATTTTATGGTGCAGCTTCCTTTACCTTTAAAATTCCCTAGCCATAAGAATCTACTTTTTCAAGACGCATACAAGTCACTGAATAGCCGGAATCCCTTCATATCAAACCCCAAATATTATGAATAGCAATATGGAAAGAGAAAACAGGCTAAATTGAAAAAGAGCTTAAGGAACAACTGTCTTAAGTCAACACACAATCAGTCTGCAGCAACAGTCTCATAAAACCTGAGGTCCCCTTGCTGAAGATTACCTACATCAGATGAGGCCTACTTACTCCATGTAGGTAAATTAATCAACAAAAACTGCAGGTGATTGCAGCCTGGCTTTTTGACCAGGGTCCTAATATACTCACCTAAGCTCCTTCTTGTGAAATCTGAAATGCCTTCTATGGCTTTCAAATTAGTAGGATGGGAGAACTTCAGTAACTGTACTTAACTGTGGCTTCACCTGTTACAATTTTGGTAACATTTCTCTTTGATCTCCAACTCTGCCACTGCACCCAAGTCCTGTGCTCCAGGGAGGCAGCTCAGACCACATCAGTCTGTCACCCAGATGACTTAACCACCGTGCTTAGGGAAATCTTCAGAAAAACCCACCTTGACACTCCTAGGATAAATAGATTGCACTTTGGAGCCTTTACTAAACCTCATTGGAACCTATGCCTACTTTGTTTTTTCTTAGTTCATTTCACAAGTTTTCTTTCTGTGTCAATGGGTTGAAAACCTTATTAGTTCCCAGGGCCTACAAAAGGATCCTTAAAAAAGTTGAACCTTATTCTGCCTCCTGGCTTGTACACCTTTTTCTCCTAAATGTTTGTTCTCTTTCATGTTGTTCTGCTCTGGAATAACACTCAATTGAATTATGAGTTTGGTCACAAAAGGATTCTAGGCTGGGGTGGGGTCGCCGAGGGTTGGGAGGATGTGCAAATCCAATCCAGTATTCAATACCAGGTCATTCATTCCAAACTGTGTTGTCCCAGGAAAGTGCATAACTGGAGCAAAAGGCATTTGTCATTAAGCTCCTTCCATCCTTGGTTGACTAGGCCAACAATTCCTCCTGATGTGCTCCCTGCCCGATCTGCAAGCGGTACCAGCATTTCAGGGATACTTGGGCTTCTCGGGAATTACCTGTGTTTGTGTCAGTCCTAAGGAAGCTGCCAGTTCGGCTCTCTCTGGAAGGGCCAGATACTGTGTCTGCTGAAAGCGATGGTTTAAAGCCTGGAGCTGCAGGCTGGAATAAATGGTCCGAGGCTTCCGAATCTTTTTCCCTTTTCCATTGAACCTGATTTCCCCGTTTTCAATCACTGTAGTTTTTTGTTGATCTGTAAGCAAATAATACAGAGGAGCGGTCACCCGGGAGGCTACTGCTGCCATCTCCCTGCTCCTGGCGTGGCATGCAACGAGTCTCCCCAAAGCCCAATAAGGGTTACCTCGAAAAATCCCTATGATGCCCCGACCTCTCTTGGTCCACTCTGCCCGTGTGCTCCCAGCGTCTGCGTAATCTCCTTGACCCAGTCCCTGGCCCGAACAATGTGCAGCGTCTGGGCCAAGGGAGCGCCAGAGGCCCTCAGACAAACAGCCCGCTTTGCCGCAGCGGAGGCGGTGCCGGAGGCTCTCTGGGGTGCGCAGCGCAGCAAGGCGGCAGCTGTCCGGGCGGAGCGGGGCCCCTGTGCCCGGCTTAACAGTACCTGAAGCTGTGCTTGAGCCACCCAGGTGTTTACGCGGCCAGTTGACTTGATGTCACCAGCTCCAAGCTCAGTGCATCAAGCATCCTCGGCATGTTTTGAAATGACTCTCCTGAGGAGGACCAAATCCTCAAACAAAACACAACCAACAGCTCAGACCAGCCCACGAGCAGGCTGCGCCTCTCACGGCAACTTTGTCCCCCTCGGGTGCTGAGAACCATCAGCCCGAGGTTCTTTGCTTCCCCTCCACGAACAAAGGAGCAGCCAACACTGTAGCGAAAAGCTAGATAGGGGGCCCGGTCAGGGATGAAGGTGAGGGACACTTTAAAGCCCACTGGAAAGAGCCTGACTGTTACTAGTTTAACCAGAGCGAAAGCCAGGCCAGCTTCCCTCCGAGTCACTGAGGAGCACGGGGCGCCCCACGCAAAGTAGGCCACTGCCTGCCCAGCGTGGGCTGGGAAGCAAAACACGCTCCCCAGTTCCGGCCCAGAAATGTCCCCAGCCGGGTCAAACGTGGGTTACAGCCTGGAGGGAAGGAGCAAGGAAAAGGGCGCACAGACCCAGGAGGCTGGAGAGCGCAGTGTGGACTAACTCGTCGAACGAAGCCTGCGCCGGGCCCGGGACTCAGCCCGAACTGCGCGTCGGAAGCTGAGGGTCCGCGGCGGCGGGAAGGGGCCCGGCTGGGAGAGGCCGGCAGGCAGGCGCCAGGCGAGCGGGCGCGCACGGGGCCCGGCCAAGGGCGCGCGGGGCCGCCTGGGGGAGGGGGCCGGCGGAGGCCCGGGCGTCGAGGAAGTGAGCGGGCGGGCGGGGTAGGGGGCAGTCGGGAGGCGGGAGAAGCGAGCTGCCCCAGCGGCCTCTCACCTGTGTCGTCCCCTCGCGTCTGGGCGGCTGCGCTGCTGTTGTGGTAGGACTGGAGGTAAGGGCTGTGCTGCGAGTGGCTCATGTAGGGGTAGGCGGCGAGCGAGCGGTGGTTGTAGGAGTTCCCTCCGCCCGACGCGTAGGGCGAGCCGTGGTGGTGGTGCTGGTGGTGGTGGTGGTGGTGCGAGCCGGCCGCTGCCGCCGCCGCCGCCGAGTGCAGGCAGTGCAGAGGGTAGTGCGCGCCTGCCATGGCCGGGGAGCTCTGCTGCGAGTGCGGCTGCGGCGGCGGCGGCGGCGGCGGCGGCGGCTGTTGCTGTTGCTGCTGCTGCTGCTGCTGCTGTTGCTGCTGCTGCTGCTGCTGCTGCCCGAACTCCATGAAGGCGGATTTGGACGAGTCCTGGCCTTCCAAGCCGTCAGCCATCGTAGTCATGGTCATCATCAAAAACTTTGGGGGCTGGAGAAAGCCTTCTCCCGGGTTTCCTCCACCCTCCCCCACTTGGCTCGCGCCGCTCTCCCCTCTGCAGCCACCTTAGCTCTTTGGATCCTTGCAAAAAAAAAAAAAAAAAAAAAAAAGAATTTAAAGAGGGGGGTGGAGGTGGTTCTCCCTCTCCCTCGCTCTTCTCTAATATATATATATATTTAATATAAAGAGATATAGTGAGCGGGGCCTTGTTAACTCAAAGGGAGGAGGAAGGAGGAGGGATGGGAGAGGAGAGGGGGAGGGGGGAATCTGCTCTCCCCCCGCCTGCTTTCCCCCCTTGGATTTTTTGGGGGCTGGTGCAGTTTAAGGCAGAGATTTTAAGGTGGATTCTGCGAAAGTTGCGCGTCTGCTTTCAGACTTGATGCAGACGCCACGAGTCGAATGGTTTGTCTCCAAAGGGCAGTGCCTCCCCATTGGTCAGTCGCCCCCTGACGTCACAGGCGCACGGCTTCTACTGGCGTGTGCGCGACTTGCAGAGTTCTTCGCCTACCTTCCGCAGTTCCAATCCCAGCCGGAGCTGCAGCCGGGGGCCGCGCTGTGTGGCGCCCGGGGCCGTTGGGGAGGGAGGCGCCTCTGCCCGGCCGGCCGCCGATGCTTCCCGCCGCAGCTCGTGCCCCAAATCCCGGAGCCCCAGTTGCCAATATCTCAGCCTTGAAACAGCCAACTGGGGGCTGCTCTCTTTCAATCCCTTTGCACCCTTGTAGGTTGCCTGTGCTTAGAAGCAGTGACCCCACCCCCGCATTAAATCCAGGCCCCCCTTTCTTGACGTCCCTGCCACTCTGGTCCTACTACACTCTTGTGGGAGCTCCTTGTCACCGTGGATTTTTCTAGACGTATTTTATTGAAACCACAGAAGGAAGACGAACCCTCACACCTGGGCTCCACCCCACTGGGGGGTGGTACAGAAAAAGAAAAATCAGACCCTGTTCTGGCTCGGTCCCTGCCGTTTCAGGCCGTATTTCTTATATATTGTACAAAAGGTTGTGGGGGGGGGGGGCGTCTTTTTTTTCTTTTCAGAACGCAGCAGCGTGTTCTGAAAACGAATCGTTGGAGGACTGACAGTAATGCATTTTTTCCTATTGAAAACAGAAGCTACTGTAATGCTTTCAAATATATGCAAATGATACATGCGGTTAGTGGTTTGGCAAATCTTGATTACAATATAAACTACCCAAGTAAAAGTGCCTTCGTCCTAAATTTGTCTCTCGATTACAATTCCAATTGATTTTATTTTATTGTCAACATTGTTAATGATAAAAATAGAGTCGTTTTACAGTTATTTTTACTTTCTGGAAGGAGGCAATTAGAGTTCTAATCAGGAATACACAAAAATCTCCCATGATTAACTGCAGTACTTTGTTCAAATTGCTGCTATAAAATTCAGAACAATTTGCCTGTAATGATTATGGACTGGGTTTATTTTGGGAGGTGGAATAAAAGTGGATATAGCATAAATTATCCTCTAATTATACACCAGTGTCGCCTCAATTATCCTCTTATCAAAATGGTTGTCTAACTGCCGCATTTAGTTTCAATTCTCTCCTTTTTTTCTATAAAAAGAACTTCATACCTTGTTATTATTAATCCATTTATTATTTGCAAGGGGATTTATATCCGCACATCCAGGTGGTAGAACCACTTCTCTTTCAAAGATGGACTGGGGAAAGACATTAAGTTCGGAGCAGCCCAAGGCTGCGGATCTAGCCTTTCTCCCTCCGGTCTCCAGACCCACGCAGGTTAAGGCAGCCAAGCAGAGACAGCGGAGCCCCGGTGCGTGGTTCAGGCCTGGTCAACAGGTAGGAGGGCCAGACTGGGGGCCAGGCACAGAGGAGGGCAGGCCCGCCCGCACCGGCGTCCAGGGTCCCGGGTTCCGGGTCCCGGGACTGGAGGAGGTCGCCGGCAGCCCGCCCTTCCAGAGGCTTGAGATTGGGTGGACGAGACCTGAAGATCCTCTCGGTCTGGACCCCGACTTTCGATCTGCTTAGAGACCTAAGCCGCGAGCCTTTGCCCACACGGAGAAACGTACTATCTAATATCTAACAACCCTGTACTGCAGTGTCTGGAGGTTGCGGGAAGGAGACAGTGTCTCCCTTTGGGAAAACTACTGAGGACTTCTGTATATCCTACTTCTTCTGGACTCCATAAGTTACAGGACCGAAGGAAACTGAGAAATAGAGAAAAGGTGCCGCTTGCCCCTTTAACTCCAGAAAAGGGTGGCTGCAGATGGAGCAGCTTGGACTTTATTTTTTACGTTGCGCGAAGCCCGCCGGCAGCGGCTTATGCCAATTGATTTTCCCAGCTCCCAGCCCTGGATGTCTAGCTATCTCCAGGACAGTTTGTTTTTTTCTTTTTCTGTCTTTCTTTCTTTCCTTCAATGTATCAGAAGACCTGAAGCTCGCTGCCCGCGAGTTTCCTCCGAGTTCCCAGGTCAGCGGCGTTTGCGCTCCTCTCCCCCTCCTTTTCCCAGCCCGTTGCGCTTAAGTTCTTGAGTCTGGGGAGCCGGTTCAGTAACTCTGAATTCATTTTTAAGTGGCGTGCCCTGTTCCCCACCTTTTAACAAGAGGTGCACTTTAACACGCGAACCAGTAACACGATCTACACGTTTACAAATCGGCAATGAATTAAAACAACAACAGAAAAGCTTCATGGAAAAAGAAAGGTGGGCTAAGTAAGGGGGAGATGTGGGGGGTGGGGGACAGAAGGGAATGTCAGGAAAAGAGAAGATTTCCCACCCCACCTTCCCACTCCCAACCCTAGTGCGCTCTCGGTACACGCGGGCTGCGCGCCGAGACTGTTTGTAATGTCCTCAATACCAGCAGGTAGACGTGGCAGTTTTATTGCTTTATACCCTGCAGCTTGTTGTTAACACCGTGAAGGCGTTTCACCCCCTACACCCTCACCCTGTGCTTGTCTATGTTTTTCGCTTTATGCTCACAGGTGCACCGCTTTCCTCGCCAGCTTCCTGCAACTCTGGCTGCACCCCAATTAGAGTATGTCGTGGCAGGGCCTCGGAAGGTCCCTGCAATTGAGCACTGTATCCAGAGTGCAGCTGCCTCTACTTGCAAGGGGATTTTTTTTTCTCATTTGTTTGATTGCTGAGGAAGCCGGGAAGGCTGGGATTGTCCGGGTTGTAGCTTCAGGGCTCTCAACCTTCCCCTAATAGTTAGTGGCTAAAATCCTTGCACTCTGTTCCAGTGAAGCAGCTGCACTGAGGTGGTAGTTGTGGTGCATGGTAAAGGTCCTGCTGAAACCTGCTGGGCGACCCAGTCTGAGCTCAGAGACAGTCAGGGGCTGGGAAGTGGAACGAGCGAGAGGTCCCACTTGGTGTGATATCTCTGCGCTTGCGGGATGGAATCTAAACTTCAGGCCTGACTATCAGACTTTCCTGCCAGTATCGAGAATGGAAAACTGGAGATAGTGTGACCCGCACACAACATGCCAAGGTGGCGCGCCACGAGTGGCTGCCAGGTGTGGCCTCTGCCACCGGCCACGGCGCATAGAGTTCGCGGCTCAGAGGCTATTTACCGCAGGGCCTCTTCCGACAGTCATTTCTCTCCAATTGAACGCGGCAGATTGGCTTCCCAGTCCTTCATTCCGTTTTCATGGGTGACGGTAATGAGCTGAAGTAAGGCGGTTGGAGTCACTCTTGTTTGCACTAGTCCAGCCCGCACTTCCAACCCTTCAGCAAGGGGCAAAAACTCGGGTTCTTTGGGGCCTTGCAGGAAGGCGCACACCTCAGGGGCTCAAGGCCCCGGCGCCGGGTTAGGCGCCAGCCGGGTCCTGGCTCCTGCTTCTTTGTCTCGCCCGCAGGGGAACGCGGGCCAACCCTTGCGGGTGGGAGGAGGAGGGCGGGCAAGGCCCTCGAAGTCTTTATCATTCAAAATAAAAGTAAACCCTGCAATCTGGAGTAGGAGCCCTAAGGCTCTTTTAGGGCTTGTAGTAAGTGAGGGTCATATTCACTAGGCAGGATTTGAGGCCTAAGCTGCTTTTTGCTTTTTAAGGTGTTGAGATGTTGGAATTTGTATTGCGAGTGTCAATGTTATTTAGAGAGAAATGCTTGTGTATTGCCAACACAAGACCTCCCGGGTCTGCCGGAGGCCACTGTTGGAGGAATGGGCTCTTGGGTCAAAGAATCTCCTGCTGTTCCTGGTCTGGACCGGTGTTTGCTCACGCATGTAGGCCTGGAAATGCTTTGGGGTGCCCGAAGTGGTTTTGCAGCCTCACGGGCTGTAGAAGTACATTCAAACCAGGCAGGACCTGGATGGGTTTGGTTGCTAAGTTGAGCTCAGTTATCACTTTAATTCTAAAGAAATTAGACCTGGATAAATAGCCTTTGAATTCAAAGAAATTACTCAGTATTGACTTACATAGCCCCTTCTCAACGGGAGACATTGGTGAAGAAAAAAAAAACTTGCTAGTCTTTTCCTCATTCAATATACTGTAAAACTCTGTTTGTGTATGTATGTAAGGAAAGGGTGCCTGATATCCTGGTAACCCGCACGACTTTCTCCCCTCCCCCAACACACAGACAACAGTGAAAGCTCTGGGGCACATGGGAGCTGCCTCTTGCCAGTGATGGCATCTTCAGGAGTTGCAAAAGTATCAGTCTATACAAGGAAACATTGGTGTTCTTGTCTGTGGTGATAAGCTGTATTGTCCATATTAACACCCTTCTCTCTTAGATGCCCCCAAATCCAGTTAAAAAGTGGCCTCAGTTTACCCCATGTTTAGAAAGAGTCTCACTTAAGTTTGGGGATAACATTTTCCTCATCTCTCTAGTCATAGGTCCCAAGAATAGCCAGTTAGAAAACTCTGACATGACACTGGCTCCCACAGGGGGCTTCACAGAGTTTTTCAAGACTGTCCAATTTGGAGAATGTTAACTATGCATGTCCCAACCTACAGGCTCCTGCTCCAGGCATTTTCAAACTTGGAGTCCAGTGGAATTATGAAAACAAAGCTAACCAGCTTCTCAAACTAAACATCATTTGCCTTCTCCATGACTCCATTCCCAAGTGTGTGAGCACCCAAGGCTTTCTTAATAGAGGGAGCTGATGTGCTGTGCCCAGAATTGATTTAGGGGAAAAGCAGCGCATGTTTCTACCTTCCCTAATTTTAGGATTGTATACAGAGGTCGGTCTGCTTGTCTGCCCTCTCCCCTCAAATCCTCTCTCTTTTTTCTCTTTTAACAAGCATAGGACCCCACTCCTAATACAAAAACACTCCTCTTTCTCTAAGCCCAGGAAAAAAAGGACTCAACAATGTTTAAACACTTAGAATAAAACAAGTTAAATGCTGATGTCTGTCTTTTCAATCTGTAGGCTATGCTAAGGTTGAGCTCTCCATATTTGCCCTGATGGGAAATATATCAGAGCAAAGGGAGAAGGGAGGGGGTGTTAGAAGTCAGCTTTAAGCAAGCCAGTCTTTGGAAAGCAGGGACCCCTGACCATTGGAGGATAAATACAGCCTTATAGTGGTAGGGAACAAGTATCAACAGGAAACAGTAGACTATTTTTAGGCATAATAAGGAGTTAATATAGCTGTCTTCCTAAATGCCTCCAAGCATCTTCTGTTTAATTCCTTCATCGCTTCATCAGCAGTAACAATAGCAAGGTCACAGAAAATGCCTAACATTAAAGGACAGCCCTGCTTGGGACAACTCTTCAGGAAAACCTGGGATGAAAACATCCCCTTGCTATCATGTTGGTCCTCTTGTTATAACAGAAAAATAAATGAAAACCGTTTTTCATGAGAAAGAGAGAGGGTGAGTTTGTTCTGTATCTGTCTACTCTTGTGATATATATGAACTGGTGACTTTTATACTCATACCTGTTCATAAATACTCCTTATCTCCTTTATTTGGGAATATCCCAATAAATGGAAATGTAATTTATTAGCTTTTTAGTAAAACTTTTTTAGAGGGCAACAAATTTGAATGCCCTTAGAAGCTAAGGTTGTTTTTGTTTTTTCACATTCCATTCTCCCAACTGTGCCCATTCATTCTCTCTCTCTTTCTTTCTCTCTTTTTTCTTGTTCAGAAAAGAGACTCCTTTAAAGCGCGCGCGCGCGCGCGCACACACACACACACGCATCTAGGAGAAAGAGAGCCCCCTTCCCACTACCCTGGGAATGGAATAATTACTGGTTTTTTTTTTTCCTGGCAGGTTTTACAAATTTTGTGCAGAGAGCCAAAATGCTCCTCATCCCTTGCACTCTGCTGAGTGGGGCCCTTCCCCGACAGAGCTCAAAGCCTCCAATTCTTTAAATACACATTGAGAGGTTGCGTCCATTTTGCTGGTTCATATTTGGATTCACTGTCTTTACTCGCACATACTTTGTGCGGAGGGAAGGAGAGAATGGGACAAAAGCAGGGGACATAGAAAGAGAGTTAGAAAAAGAATATAAGAGAGTGGACAAAAGAGTTTGAGTATGAGTCGGCTTCCTTTTGTGTTTAAGTTTTCTACCTGGTCCTGTTTGCTAGGTACCATTGCCCTACAATGCTAATTGCACAACAAATGAACAAAATGAGAGCTGATAAAAGCAGCCCTGTTACCTGCAGATCTACGCCATGTATATTTCCTCTAGGGCCAGGAGGTGGAGATGGGGGTGGGGGTAGGGCTGGAGGTGGGGGGCCTAGACTCCCCCAAACCAAGCTCTTCACTAGTCTTCTACCCCTTTCTCCTCCCCATTTCCTAACCTGCTTTCCCCTCAGACAGACTGGGCATCACGCTGCCCACTCTAACAGCTGCTAAGTCGAAGCAGGAGAACCCTTCAAAAAACACTACACAAGAGGTCACCCTCCCAGACAAAACGAGCCACTTTAAGAACGATGCTCAGGGGGCTCAAAAGTCTGGGGCCCAAGAGTTTAAAAAGCAAGGGTAGCGTTTCAGGATATCAGTTCAGCAGTCTCAAATGACAGGCAGGAATCCTGGGCTCTCCATGGGGCTGGGATGAAGGAAGGGAGGAGGGACAGGAGCCAGGAGGCCCGGCAGAAGCAGAGGGCGACTGAACGCTCGCACCGCAGCTGGCTCCCACGAGCTGCCGTCTGCAGGGAACCAGGGGCCCGATAATGGAATTCAGGAGGCAGAGATCCTCCAAGAACCAGCCACTGTCTTGTACAGATTTGTAGAGAAACCCTCACTGTAATTAAAACCGTACAGTCAGATTAATTCAATGTGTTGCTCGGCAGCGTTTTTAATAGTAAAAATCCACTTTAAAATTGAATTAAGTTCGAAGAAAATTTCTGCGAGATTCGCCGGATTTGCCAGCTTTCATTGAAGCCAGCCTGGGCTGGACTTAGGTGGTGGATGCATATGGTAGTGTCGCCCCCCTCCCCCAAACCTCACCACCCCCGACTGGGGAGGTAGATATGGGGATGCAGATATGGGGATGCGGGGGCTGATCAGCACGGGGTGCCAGTTTGGCCGCTGGGCTGGGTCTAGGGCCTGGGGTTAACTCTTCTGATCTCAGGCTATGCACAGATTTTTGACACCCAGGATAACCCTCCCTTACCACCCTCTCTGTGAAGTTCACTGCTCGGGAAAGGCGGGGCAGGGGTAGAGAAAGAATAGAGCCCCACTGTATCTTGAAGCAATTTCCCACTGTGTGTTGCCGCGGGAGCTGGAGGTTGGAGCCCTCTCTGGCCGCTTGAGTGACAGACAGGAGAAAGTTGTGGTTCTCCCACGTGCCCCCCACCCCCTTCTTGAAAACCTTCCAAAAATTAAGAGCATTATTTCAAGCGCACTGTCAAAATGTCTCCCAAGCTTTGATTTGGCTGGCCGCCCCTTTTTTTTTCCTCCCCTCCCCACTCCACATCCTTTGCGTTTCGCGTGGTCGTGAAAGAAAGGTTAGTATTATTATGCTTTTCCTTTTAAAGGTTGGACACCTGGGAGCTGAAAACTTGCTCCAAAGTTCCTGCGAGACGTGGCAACTGAGTACTAACTGAGAGGCTCTCACTTGAGAGGGGCTTAGGGGTTAGGGTAGAGAGCTGCACCGGGGTCTTTCTGGAGGCCAAAGGAGTTTTTAGGGTTCTAGGCTCTCTCCTCCCCCACGGATC
The DNA here is from genome assembly GCF_000001405.40 of Homo sapiens. NCBI lineage: Eukaryota > Metazoa > Chordata > Mammalia > Primates > Hominidae > Homo > Homo sapiens. The sequence goes on along the minus strand of NC_000007.14, from coordinate 96,997,879 downwards.
CGGCCATTGCTGTGGGCTCCTGGGTTGCTGAATGCTCACGCGCGTGTACACACACACACGCAAGTACACACACACACACAACCTAGGACGCAAATTCTCTAACGAGTTAGTCACATCATCAAGCCTGGGAAAACAAAAACCGCTGTGGGTCCCTGTTCCTCCGGCAACAGCGCGCAGACGCTTTAATTGCCGCAAATTGTCACTCTGTCCCCTTTTCATTTTCTCGCTCCTTCGTTTATTTTTAGTACACTTCAAATGCCTACACATTTCCCTAGTAAGGAGAGCGCGGAGCAATTATTGCCTTTGCCTTCAGGGCCTGCTTTGCCAATCACTGAATGGGGATGGAGTAAACAGGGCGAAAAGCGAGGTGCGTTATTGGTTTTGCCTATTTCAGTTGATGACCGCAAATAACTCTCCCTACCGCTCCACCCCTCCTTCTTTGCTGGGTCCCAATTATCTGGAAGAAAGGAGATGCGCCCCCCTCCCTCCTGCTCCCCATCACACCCCACCCCATGTGCGCCAAGTTTTGCTCGAATCCAGCAAATCCCGTCAGAATTGGCTGGTTCCTCAGAGAGTAGTTAGGAAGAGAATTCCACAGGGACCCAACTCTTAATTCTGTATTGAATAGAAAGACCCATCATAGCAGGCACTTTTCCTACCCCTACGCGGGAGCATAGGGTCTTTTTTCTTTGAGGGCTACTTGGGAAATAGAGGCCCCCAGGCAGGTGATAGAGAGGCCCCAGAGGCCCCTTCTCCATCAAGGCAAGCTTTTAGAGTGGTTTGGAGCAGTTCGGACTGTCTGTTAGAACGGCTATCAATTGACATGGCTGTTGTTCTCAATATTAGGCAGGAATTCTTAAAGGAGAACTTTACATTTCACGGTGAAGTGTTGTCTTGAATACTACTGAGGTCCGTTCCGCACCCTATGGTTTCTTTTCTCTGCTTTCATGGGACAAGCAGAGCAGTCTGGGATGGGGAGGGAGGCAGGTGTCCGCTGCAGCAGCCAAGGGGGAGGCATCAGGCGTCCTGCAGATGGATCCGAAACAAATCAGTGCGGGATTAACTTGTGTGTCCGCTCAATTGTCCCCAACTGCAAAAGCAGCTTGGGCCACGCTTGCCGGGTCGGGTTTGAGTTACTTACTTGTCCTGGGCACGCGGTCTTGGCCCTGCCCCGGCCGGGGCTGCCTGGGACCTGGGACCCGGGACCTGTCAGGCTCCAAGTCCAGCTGGTAGGACGTTTTAAAGGAAGGCAGTGAATATAAACTACTTCATACCCCCCTTCTCTTCTCTCTCTCTGACACACACACACACACACACACACACACACACACCTCGTATTTCTTTTTTATGAAAACATTTACCAAAAAACTAATTTCAGATCGTGGAAGTAAATTTCATGCTAGAATATATTTTACAAAACATGTAATCTTTCGAGGCCGGAAGATGTTTAATTAAAACCATACTTGACAAGTTGAGTTTCAAAGCGAATTCACACCAGTGCGGAAGGCTAATTCATATTCAAGATGTAGCCTGTAATTCAAGTTGTTTGAAAACGCCGGCCGGGGCAACGTGCAGCTAGCTCTGCTTGCTACCTGCCCAAGCGCCGGTGGACTCCAGAATCCTGCGCTTGGAACAGCCGCCACCTCCCCACCCCCAACCCCGCCCCCGCCACGCTCAGCTGTCAGCTGCCCTCCGGTGCACAGGCTTGGGTTAGCTCCCAGGAGAGAGAGGGAGAGAGTAGGAGAGGAAGAGAGACAGAGAGAGAGAGAGAGAGAGATCCCAGGAGAGAGAGGGAGAGAGTAGGAGAGGAAGAGAGACAGAGAGAGAGAGAGAGAGAGAGAGAGGGAGGGAGGGAGGGGGAGAGGGAGAGAGAGGGAGAGAGGGGAAAGCTTCCTGGAGCACATTTAGTGTCATTAAAATAACTCCCGCAAGGCGGGGGTGTGGGGGCTAGGCACGCGGGACCCACTGGGGGAGCAAGTAGGGGCAGATGGAAAAGATACCTTCTGGAGGCTTAGTGGGACTGATGAGGGTCCCCAGCCTCCTAGCCTCCTTCTTGCCTCCTGGCTGACCCATGCTAGAGGAAAGGGAATCCCCTGAAGCTACCTCTAATTCTAATGACCCCAAACATGGGGGGTGGGATGGGGGATTGTTCCGCCCATCTGATTTGTGGGCACAGCTCTGAATCCTCAGGAAAAGGCAGACTCTGCACTGTAGACTGCATGTCTGCAGTCATTGTCCTCAATAATTTCCCTCTTTAACCTCCTTTGCTGTTTCCTATTAATTTGACCAGTCTTAAATCAGAGGGGCTTTGCTACATGGGAAGGAAATGCTCCCAGCTCAGTGTGTGAATATATGTATATAGTTTTTTAATCAACTAGCCTTGCTGGCATAGGGTGCTGAGGGCCAGCCGTGACAGTGGGGAATGAGAAGGAGCCAATGGGAAGTCAGCACAAATGTGAGACAAAGAGACTTTGCAGGGCAGTCTAGGTGGGAGTTGAAGATGCCTGTGAACAGCAGCTCCAGAGCCTGAAGTTGTGGCCAATGATGGGTTCCTGGTCACTGTCCAGAGCCCACACTGCAGTGTCCCTCTCTAGACCCCCCAGCCTGCTGATCTTTCCTTCTTCAGAGATGACAGAGAGTTGTCATCAAAGTTAGCCTTATGGATGATCTGAAACCTGCCTTAGGAAGAGACCAGGACATGAATTTGAGACTTATGTTCGTTCAATTTTACCTAAAATGGTCAAGAAGAAAAATTTCTTTGTTTATTCCAGCCACTTATAGGACAAGGAAAGATAATTTTGCTTTAATTGAGGATTGTGACAATTATTGATTGGCTAATGGACTTTTTTATGGTCTATATTTCCTTTCAAACACACCATTATCCTATTCCTTAAAGCACAAAGAGAAGTCTATTATAAGAAAAAGTGTTCTGAAATCCAAAGTGTTCAAGAAGTATTTTAGACAACATGGCTATCTCATTTTGCAGCCTTATATAATTGAAGCCAACACTCTTTTGATTTTATTGGGCCAGTTTAGAGAAAGCTTACCTTTTTCAAAGACAATCCGAAAACACTATTGTGAGAAAGTTTGTTGTTCTATACAGAAACTACCAGCTGGCATTTCTGAAGGTTCGGTAGGTATCTCCTTATTTGAAAATAGACGTGGCTATTGGAAGCTATATGCTTACACGATATGTGACATAATACTCATTGGTCAAATAATATTGATTTTAGATGAGCAGGTAAGACCTTGAGGTCACTTTTTAGTGTCTTGCATTTTGGAGGGCTGGGGTGGGGCTCTGGTTCACATTCTCAAAAAAGAAACAAAAAGCCATGTTATAATCATAGGCCTGGAGGGTGACAAAGACCTAGAGACAAACAGAGGCATTGCTGAGGTGCTTTTAAGCATGACATTGTTTAAGCTGAGTACTAAAATGTATGTACTTGACCAAATGCATTTGAAGCCTAATCCTACATCAGAGACTTGTGAATTACACAAAAGGGGAGAGGAACTGCAAATGACAATCCCCACATGTTTTATTTCAGTAAGAACAAATGGTTTTCTTGTCACAGGGTATGAGCACTCTTAGGGACGCTGGAGGCCCATGTGTAGGCAGCAATTCTGGCAGGAATATATAGTGAGAAGAATACAAGGTGGTTGGTTGGTAACAGTCAGAATGGTGCTTCAGGAAGGGCAGGGAGCAGCCTTGGTGTGCAGAAGGGGCAGGATGGGTAATAGTTCCCAGCTGGCCCACCCTTTCTATAGCCCCAGAGAATCTCATCTTTCCAGCCTCAGAGCATGGGTGGAGACAAGAGGCCTAGCCATGGTGGTGATTCATGCCACTTCTCTACCTTTCTCTTTTCTGCCCTTCTAAAATTAGCAGCATTTCACAGAGGAGGGAGCTAACACATGGCCCTCACCCCACAGACCACTTTGGTGTCTGGGAAAGGGAGAGAGATGGAATACAGGTGTTCTAGTTTCCATCTCCCTGGCCACCAGGTGTGGCTGGGGATGAGGTGGAGAAAGGGTGGGTTTGGGTTGCTTTCTCAGTTTGGGTTGCTTTCTCAAGCCAGGCCTGCACAGGTAATGTTTCTGCTTTTGAGGCTCCTCTGGTTAATGAAGTAGGTGTGATTTTCATGTGACAGGTAAGGCTCAGAGAGATTCAGCTTTGGCCCTAGCCTCAGGGCTCCGAAGGCAGCAGTCCCAGGATTCCTTGACTTCCCGCCAGAGCTCTTTAAACAGCCCCCTCTCTCCGGCCTTCTAACTTTTTCTTAAATTCTGAATACTTTAACCCTTGCTTGTAGTAATGTAGTTGTAGTTCTAAACCGTGTCAGTTTCCTACAGACATCTTCCGTGTCTAGGCGAGAATCAATACTAAAACACTTTTTTATTTTTAAAGTGGGTTTTAAAGGCCTATTGTGGGGAAACCGAGATGTCAATGTGACCTGGAGGCGCAGTAGGAGCAAGATTCCATTGGCGGCCGGCCGCGGCACAGCCTGGGCTGCGCCGGAGTTGGCTCACGTGCGAGCCTTATCATGCAAATCCGACGGCTCGGGCATGCGCACTGCATCCCTCAGGTACCCGCCTTCGTCTGGTAGTAGGGACTAAGACTTCCAGATGCGCAATAATTAGGTTTCCTCATTAAACAAAGGTTTCCCCATCATTCCCTCCTCCCACCGTTCTCAGCGTGGGAGCTCCTCACCAAAGCAAGCTGCTTACCCGTCTCCCCCAGCCCCACCTTCCAGTCCCAGCTCTCCAGCCACCACCCGTACTTCATCTTAGGGTCCATTTAGGGCCCTCTGCATTCCTCGCCATCATTTTTTTTCTTTTGACCTCCTATACAGGATATTAAATTCGAATTTTCCCCTCGTTTTAGGTCCGCTTCCTCACCTCTCCTTCCCAAAGATAAAAAATTCCCTACCGATCGATCGATCCTGGGTGGGAAGAGGGCGTCAACACCGCCGCTCCCTCAGCCTCGGCCCACTCCGCCCCTCCCTGGCCGTTTCGGTTTCATGCAGAAGTGCTGAACTTGGGTGTCCCAGGAACTCGATGGGCATTAAAGCTAGTCGCCAGCCAAACCCAATCCCCCCTACCTCCAGGCATCAGCCTAGGCCGCTAAGAAGCCCAATGCGGGCATCTGTAGCCCCTCGACCACCCCCAATCCCAGTGTGGGGGGCGCTGCTCTTCGATTCTCAGCCCCCACCTCGGGAATAAGCGTACTACACAGGGAAGGGCCCCAGGAGTGTCCTCTAAACTCCTCCAGGACACCCTGTGCGGGCATGGGGACCTCAGGGATCCATCTCCTCGGAGCAGGAGAATGTCCTTTTCTGGAAAGAAATCTCAGTAGGCGAGAAATAGGCAAGGTTATATTCGAAGCCTCCCGCGGGAAAGCTCGGTGGCAAGGTTCGCAGTTGAGCCTGACCCGCGCGCGGCGTCGCGGCGAGGACCGCGCCCACACGCGCTCCTGGAATCACAGTTAGCTCTTTCTTCCTGGTAGAAACAGGCATCGCTGCTCCGGCTTTCAGTTACTCTCAGCTTACCTGCAGGGCGAACCGATTTGTATTTTTCCACCAGAAACCTCCTGTCCCGAATACCCCCAAACTCCCCCTTCCCCCTCATCCAGCCTTAACCAGGAGAAGGGAGAGATAGGGGTTTGATTCTCTGATATGACACGAATAATTGTCGCATCATGTAGCTTCCTACATCTTGGTTTTAATTTTCAGTGAACCAAACAAAGATATTTGCAATTTTAAAATAAGCACTCGATTTAATAAATGGGAACATTGTGCAGGGAAGACTGTGCTCCCCCCGCCCCCCAGCCCCTTCAGAAGACGTTATTAGCTCTGACAGCATGCCGCTCAGGTTTGCGGAGAGGATTTTGTAAAGGGATGACAGACAGGAAGGCCAGCAATCATGGGCTCCTTGGGCTGAAGCTTTTTTTCTTTCTTTCTTTCTTTTTCTTTCTTTTTTTTTTTTTTTATCAGAATGTTCTGTTCGATGCCATTTATCCTTGATGATAGAAAATTGCGCTGTTGCCAGGACGCTGCTGCTGCCGCTGAAATAGAGGGCAGGAGCCACATTTCCATTTTCCGGCTTGAAAGCTATTCAAATGAATTTGCAGGGGGGTGGGGGGAAATCTGGCGATAAACAAATGAGAATAAATCGAGTTCCCCTTTCCATTCTTTTCTTTAAATGGGTAGCTCTTCATTTCCTATATAAAGATTTTTGTTCATCAGTGTTTGTGAATATCTGGGAGATAGTGTAAGCCAACGCACAATTTATTTTGATGCTCTTAAAGTGACTAACCACATAAACATTTAAAAAGAAGTGCATGTCTAAATATATATAAAGTATAAGAATTATATATACATAGATCATGTACATAACATACCTTCACACAATTCCAAACTACAATGAAAGATAAACTCTTTCAGTAGCGTTTCAATTCAATATAATTTGCAAGCACTGCTGGCTATTGATAGTTATGGACTTCTTACTAGTTGTGTATATACAAGTATTGCTAGATGGAATAATTTTTAAGGCCCTCCTCCCATGTTATGTATTTCAGGATACTATATAATTTAATTACCCTTAGATCTTTACTAATTTAAAAACATTTATTTCTGTAAAGATATATAGATATACAGATAGATATAGATAAGTTATCCTCTATTATGTGTCTCTTTTAAGTTAATTTTCCAAATTTACCTTTTAAGTTTTGTTTCTAAGTTAGGAAATATAAGAGTTGGTGTGCTGTGACTTTAAAAATATGAAATAGAGGCTGAAGCCTGTGCTTCCCTTCCTCAAAACTTAGATTCTTTGCAAGTTGAAAAAGATCATGTATTGAACTCAAGGGATCACATCCAAAACAGGACATTTAAAAATGAGATCTTAAAAAAAACAGCCTATAACACACATACTCTATTTCTCTCTCTCTCTCTCTCTCTATATATATGTATATGTATATTCTGTCTGTCTGTCTCTCTTTTCTCTCCCTGTCTCTCTCTCTCTCCCTCCCTCTCTTTCTTTTTAAAATAAGCTCAGGTAGATCTAATCTAATCCATTTCCAAGGCCTGAATTCTTAACTTTAGAAATCCCAGATTTGATCTCCATACAGAATCCTGTACAGAACTGGTGAGTTGATTTCTGGACTTGGATACCTCATAGATATTACATATTAAATAAAGATCCAACCCTAAAATCTGGGTTTGCTTCTTCCTTGACATATATATGTATATGTATATATATGTGTGTGTGTGTGTGTGTGTACATATATATGTGTGTACATATATATGTACACACGCACATACACACATTAGCAATGTCTTGACAGAAGCTATAAAACTTACGAGGCCCTCACTGTGTTTTAATAATTAAATAACTTTTATTGAATTATAACACTAACGTTTTGTTTCAAAGTTATACAGGCTGTTAGGAAATTTTCAATGATATAAAGGCCTTTAAGACGCAACGACTAATTGTATTCGAGATTTCAGATAGTAGTTCAAGCTTCAAAAAAATCCAACATTTTAAAACTTCACATTTTTTAAACGAATCATGGGTCCCTCACTACTATGATTTTAGCTACATGACTGTTTCCCCGTGATAGGACACCGCTGGGCAAACCAGGGCTGCACAGACAATAATAGTATAAAATTAGAAAGAGAAAGGCAGAGGGTGAGTTGTTATTGATGTTCCGAACTTCTCCAATAGAATGTTCAGGCGACTTCTTCCAGACAGCCACAATTCCTAGTTACAGATTCCGAACAATCCTTGTTATGGATTCCAAACAATCTTAGTTCAGCTGAAAATTTCCTTGTTAAGAAATTCAGCATAATAATGAGAAAACAGTTGACACCGTCAGATGAAGCTAAATAATGCAAGGAAACGGCCCAAGAAAGTCCAATTTGCTTGTTTGTTGTGGTGAAAACAGTTAGGGGGCGAGCATAGAGTATTTAGGTACTGAGATTCTGTCTCCCCTATTCTTGGCCCTGAGAATTGTGTTCTGGACCCAACTCCTTTTCCAGTTGAGGCAACTCACAAGGTTCTTCGGGTGAATTTCCCCTTCAGGTAGGAGCTTGGGGTGGGCAGTGGGAGGCCGGCGCCGCCAGGACCGCAGAGGCGAAGGTGTAGGTGCTGGGTTGCGGCTGCCGGCGCTCCAGCACGTGGGACCCCCTTCCCAACTCCCTAGAAAGAGCCTGACTCCAAGCTCCCCGCATCTTCTGGCTCCACGCGGGACTGGTATAAGGGACGTTAAGAAAAAGTAGGTGGAATTTCTTTGGGTGCCAAGGCAGGGGTTACGCAGCAAGGACCCCCGGTCCCCTGGTGTGCGGTCGTGTAGAGAACTCTCTCCCTGTTCTACCCTGCACTACCTTCATCTCAGGTCACCTCCTGGGCTTTGGCCGAGTAGCGAGGACAGGTTTAGAGTGTGGCCTCCAGCCAGGGCAGGAGAGGAAGGGGGAGGAAATGGTGAGAGAAAAGACAGGGCGAGTGCTAACCTAAAAGAACTTGGAAGAGGGAACATGAAGAAGTTGTCCGAGAAATTCTGTACCCTGTGAAAAAGCAGGGCTCAGCTGGTTGAATGGGCTGCAGGTGTTGGGACTTCTTGTTGTATGGATGTCTTTGTGTGGCTAGGCTTGCAGAGTTGTGGAAAAGTTGAGCTTTGGGTGGAATTGTATAAGCCGAGAGTGGAAACCGTGGTGTCACATTCCAGGCTGAGAAAACCTTCACCCCCAGCCCCGCGATCCTGTTCTCCCATAGAGTACTGAGTCCAAATAAAATTGCAAATTGGGCTACACTGTGGCGTGCCCTCTTCTAGGTAATGCAGGTAAAATCACAGTCACGTTTTTGGAGGAGGTGAGCTTCTCCCTTCCCAAGTAGTGTGTACACTAAGCATTAAGAATAAAAGCGATTTTCTTTTCGCCTTCTGAGATCCCAGGAATATGGGACTTGCCTTTTCTTCAACAAAAGAGCAAGCAATTCTGAAAGGCTGCCGAAACACTCACCCTTTAGGAGTTCCAGTATCCAGTAATGTAACATGCAGTGGAAACACAAAAGCTCAACATTTTGATATTTTAAAAGATTTTCCCGTCTTTTAAATCCTCCTTATAAATGCCTGGTTGTAGCAATGTGAAAGTGCTTTCTTGTGAAAACATGCAGCAGGCTTCCCTTCCCTTTTCATGCATACTAGCAGCTGCAAAACATTCCAAATGAGCTAAAAGGTCATTATGGAGACTATTAATAAGATGACATTCAGTGCTGGCCTCATCAACCAACCGAAAGACTGCCCCAGAAAATGAGAAAAGAGAAAGCAACAGTGCTTACAAAATACTCTAAATTCTGTATTGCCTTCCAAATCCCAAATAACTTTTCATAGTTAGCTGTCCCTCGTGCTATTTCGTGCTATTAACCCACCCCACTCAAGTTCAGTTTCCCCTCTGTTCAAGGGCTGCATTTGTACTTATTTCTTAAGTCTCCAGAGCTTTGAGATGTGCAATGCAAACAGTAAAGAATCACATTAATCCTGCTTTGATCTCAGAAAGGAGATCATAGCAGAAATCAGGTCACCACAGAGATAGGCGCTGCTGTGAAAATGAGCTTTCTTTTTTTCTTTTTATTTATTTTTTTCCTTCAAGATATCTCCCTTGGCTTCAGGACATTCATTGCTTGCAAACTGGAGAATTGCCAATATGAACTAAGAATAACTTGTAATTTAAAAGTGGGACAATTAAGCTTCTTAGAGCTGTCTTATAAATCTAGATACTGGAATTAATGTACTCACCATGTCTATTTGGTTATTTACATAAACACATTGGACCATATTCCAAATACATGCCCCAAACACAACCTCCACAGGGACTTAATTGCCTAAAAAAAAAAAAAAAAGTTGTATTTTCTCTGCTGTCTTTTACCCTGGAGTCCTGTAAGCATAGAATAATGGTAGTTAATCTGCTTAGATAATTTAAGACTTAAAGATTAGAAAGCCTTTATTGACAATTTCAAAAATTCAAGTCTGAGTGCTTTGGCTAAGCAAAGCTTAGGAGATGACAGGTGTGATAAAAGAACTGCCAAAAACTAGACTTTATTAAAACTAAAAAGTGTGATGTTTTTGTGCCTCTGAAAGAGATGATTGTTATAATGCTCACTCAATCCAAATGTGTCCCTAAACAAACAACTGCAGGGGTATTTTATTTTATGCTACCTGATATTTATACAGATAATACAGCATTTCTCTCTGCTTGCATATACACATGCAGATAAATTTTATAGTGCTTTTCAGCCCATATCCCATATATATAAATATAGTTAATCAGTTAGTCTAGTTAATATAGCTGAGCTACATTCTCAACACAAGTGATGTGCACATGATCATAAGCATTTGTGCTAAACACACATCCTTCCCCTCATTTCCCAATTTGCTGTGGTAACATCAACATATCACAGGAGGCTACTTACGAAGTTGTAGCTGCCACCCAGCTTTCTTCAAAATTTGTAGATTGGGAGGAACACATGAAGATATCTGAATTTGTTAAAAATGCTATTCTCTTTCACATTATTCCTATTGAAGTTGATTTTCATTTAACCTCAGTGGGCCAGTCTTGATGACAGCCGAAATCACACTGACACCAAGGCTACCCAAATGCTTTTACATGTAGGACAAAGTACATTAAACTTCTTTGCTTCAAATATGTCCTTTTGAAGTGATTTTAGAACTGGTTTGGTAGGAGAACTCAAGTGGGAAAAGAAAGTTTAGGGAGAAAGAGGGCAAGGAGAGAAAGCAGGTGAAAGAGAGCCACATGAATAGAAAGTAGGGGAAGAGAAACCTTTTGTGGCCATAGATTATGTACTGTGAATTGTGGAGGATATTTTCATATTCAGTGTGTGCTCTCACCTTAGTGGCCTTCTTTTTTTTTTTTTTTTATCTGTTCTTCTAAATCTGCTACCATTAAAGTCAGGTTCTAGAGAATATGTAGTGGAAGCTACCAAAATATCCCTTTAGGAGATGTTGAGAACATGTTATTGGATACAGATGCACAAAGCATCGCATTAAGTGTCCCAGGAATGCTTATTTTGGTGATATTTAGCTGAAAAATGTATTGTGCTCATATGAGCTGATTTTTGTTTTGTCTTACTTGTGACTTAATTTCTTTCTACAGATTACTTTATAAGCTGACTTTACCCATATTTTGAAGTGAAAGATATTTTCTTTCCAGAGGAGCAACAAATGTTGGTTACTTTTTGGTCCTTAAAGATGGCAGTAAACATTCCATCTTAATTATATTTAGAGTTTTGTTAAAAATTTTAATCTTTTCAGTCCACTGTCTTCCTTTTATCAGTATCCCAAGAGCCTGGTATGTGGTATGTGTGTAAGAAGAGAGAATAGACCTCCTTGTCTTCTTAATTAAAGTTTATACAGCTTGGAGAAAGTAGTAATTTTCTAGAAAATTAGATCATTTTAGATCACTATAGTTCCACTCTTCTCTCTTAAACATGGTTCTAAGCAAATCTTGCCCTTTAAAGACCATCAATTAAAAAGCAAAGATTGCTGGAGAAGTATTCTGAATTTAAAGTATTTAGATTTAGAAATCTGACCCTGCCTCCATAAGAGTAGGTATAAATGATAAGTCCTACCCTGTATGCATGGTGTGACAACTCATGTTGATTTCTGTATCGCATATCAGAGTGACACATGACACTTCCCATCCCTACTTATTGGAAACAGCATCATTTTCACCTCTCTCTTCATTATGGGGGTTGTGATTCACATGCACAATAGGTCCTTCTTAAGTCATGATTCCTTTTCTGAACAAGATAGAAATCAAATTTAACAAGGACATAATCAAGGTATTGAACCAAAGGATTTTTTAAATGACCAAAAAAAGGGAGTCATTTTCACATTAAAAAAATGTTGTGCTTACTTTTAGGAGATTCACCTAAAATTTTTTGTGTGGCTTTTCATTGCCTACAGAGGACAGACAAGCACCACTGTGGCATAGCTGGGGAGGCAGTTAGAGTCTAGTGGCGGTGGGGGGCTTTAGAGTCAGACTGTTGAAAAATCTTCAATAAGTTATTTTACTTCTCTAAACCTGTTTCTTTCAGTACAATTGGAATAATAATAGAACTGGTTTAAATGGTAATGGTAGAATTAAATGAGACAAATGCCTGTAAAATGCTTACCAAGTTGCTTTGTGAAAAGTAAATGATCAAAGAATACTAGTTAATGCTTAATATTAGCGTTAATGTAATGTTTAACAAGTCCTTTTAGTTTCTACTTCTGCATATGCTATCCCCTTATTCTGGAAAGCCCTCCTTTGGTCATTGCCCACCTGGCTGACTTCTCACCTCTCCAGCTCAGCTCAAGTGACATTAGCCTTGGGGAAATCTCCAATGCTTGGAATTAGGTGCCTGTTTTTATGCCTCCGTAGTATCCTCTGCTTATTTCTTTTACAGCATTTTGCAAGTTTTATGGTAATTGTTGCTTTATTTATCTGTCTCCTTTTTTAAACTATAAGTTGTAGCAAGCACAACATAATATTTATATTTCTCAACTCACAACTGAGCCTGATGGATAGTAAATACTCAGTATATGTACACTGAAAAAATACGTATTCAATTTTTTCTTTCTGTTTGGTTTACATTTATAAATAAGTTGTAATTGGATGGATTCTTCTGTCCTTAGTTTTCTCTAGTTAGTATTTCTCAAGAAGAGTGCTAAACTTTAGGAGGTTAAGGTGGGAGGGTTGCTTGAAGCCAGGAGTTTGAGTCCAGCCCAGACAACAAAGTAAAACTCCTGTCTCTACAAAAAAAAAAAATAAAATAAAATAAGAATTATCCAAGCATAGAGGTGTGCATCTGTAGTCCTAGCTACTTGAGAGGATCTCTTGAGCTAGAAGTTTGAGACTGTAGTGCACTCCAGCCTGGGTGACAGAGCAAGATCCCCACCTCAAAAAAAGAAGGAAAAAAAAAAAAAAAGGAAGGAGTGCTAAAAGGAACCTGTTATTCTCCCTGAGTAACTTTATGAAGAGGTTTGATTGTGGGCTCTGTAATGAATTCTTGACATTTTCAGGACAAACTATTTTTGGTGAGTTTCTATCTTAATTGAAGAACTTATAAACATGTTGGGTTACCTGTCCAATCCTTAGACATTCGATTGTACTATTCAATATATGGTTTATGCATATTCGTTGGATGGTGATTTGGATTATTTACTTGAGTGCTAATAGGTTTCAACTACCACAATGTCCTAGCCAAGTGGGCTTCCAATGAATCCAATTATGTCATCACATATTATAGTTAACAGGGACTGGAGGGATCATAAACATTTCAAAAAGCTATTTAGATGTATTTTGCTGGCATCTTGGGCGCCTACAACTGTTGAACAGAAATACAATGAAGCCCTCACTGTCTTAGGCTAATTTTAGGGAAGACCAGTATAAACTATGATATGTCAGAATTATAAAATATTGTAATCTATTATATATAACATATTTACATAAGCCAGGGATTAATATTCTGTGGCCAAGACTCATAATTGGATCTGCTTTAATTAGTAGGCCAGAATTCTTTGTATTTATTTCATTAATCATTAGAAACAGTTGTTACTGGAGTGTTTGAAAGCAGTCTATTTCCTTAAGGAGATTAATCACCCCCTGCAAAGCTAATTTAATTAGATCTGTAAACTCTCTTCTACCAAAGGAAAAGTTAAGCCAATTCCCCAACTTGGAGTTATCAAATGTTTCAAAGGCACAAGATGTAAATTAACTAGGTTTTCCTGGAATAACTTAATAAATATATGAGGTAAGTGATAATAATAATGATTCCTGCTGTTCTGCTCATGTAAACCGTAATTTATGTTTATAACCTTTTCCCTTGCCCCCTTGAAAATTAAATTTAGCACTACAAAATTACAAAAGAAAAAATGAAATTTTACACCATTGTGAGAACATTAGAATTTCTATTAATGATGAAGGGATATTCAGGTTTTCAAACTAAAGAACATAGTAAATATTTTGATTTGGTTGCAGATTCAGAGAATGAACCTCACAGAAAGTTATAAAAAGAACTTGCGGAGGGTCATCCAAGTCTGTTTTCTTGTACCCATCCAAGGCACTCTGAAGCCATTATAGAACCTGTACTGCTTGACATCCAAGACAGTGCTAACCTCACACTCAAATGTTTTCATGAAGATTTTAGTTGCCTGCTCAGACAAAGGAGATCAAAGAAAGGGAAGGAGTGGAGGGGCAGAAATTGTATCTTGCACTGGGCAAAATACAATTTGGGATTTGGAATCCTAAGATTAGGAAATGGTAAATTACTAGCATGGGCTATGGTAAAGTTTGCCATGTGAATGTCTTTTTCCATCTCTGCACTTCTTTTGTGGCACTTCTCATTTATTTATGCCGCATATATTTCCATGAAGGATTTGAAGTGGCTTTAATAACTGACATACAAGACAAAACAAATATTTTCCTCAGCCCACTCTCACTTTAGATTCAAGCTATGGAGTTGCTCACAGCAGGCTAACCAAGAAATTTCTGCCAATGGACCTAATCATTAACTGGTTTTATTATTAACACAAAGAGCATGCATAAAAAAGTCTTGCTGTCTTTTTCCTATGTAGGTAATGTTGGTCCAGGAAAAGACGACCTCTTTCCTCTTTCCAAACATCAAAATCAGTTTTTGTCACATAAACATGGCCTAACTAGTCCATCTATCAACCATAGTTAAAAGATATTCAAACAAGAGTCTACAACTTCTTTTGGAAGCCTATTCCTTGTGGTTGCTGAAAGGATAGTGTGAAAACTTTATTGTTTCAGATTGGACCTCCCAAGCTTGACTGTGAATTTTTATGCCTGAGTATGTAAAAAACTCCAAGAAAAACACAGCCCAAACCACCACATTTTGCTTGCTTTCAGGTTCAAACCCTATAAAACCACCACATTTTGTATGGTTTCCACCCCAAACCATAAGTTGGCATGAGATCTCACTAGATGTTCTGCTCAGGTCTAATTGAAATGTTTACCAACCTTGACAACATTTTTTGTGAACTTGTCACCTATTTGGAATGCAGGTGAAACAAGCTGAGTTTCTCAGCAATAGTTGCCTCATTTTGATTTCTTTACCCTAGCCCTACCACCCAACTATGGACATGGGGCCATTTTGTTGTCCTCGGTCAATCATTGTTACTCCTTCTGTGACATTCTGCTGATGCTTGCCTTGGACCTTTCTAATTCTTTTCTTTCCCTCAAAACTTATGTCTTCTGTGTATCATTCTCCCAGGTTATGGACTTTTTTTCTTTTCTCTTCTTTTTTTTTTTTTTTCTGAGACGGAGTCTCACTCTGTCACCCAGGCTGGAGTGCAGTGGTGCGATCTCGGCTCACTGCAACCTCTGCCTCCCGGGTTCAAGCGATTCTCCTGCCTCAGCCTCCCAAGTAGCTGGGACTGCAGGTGCATGCTACCACGCCTGGCTGGTTTTTGTATTTCTTGTAGAGACGGGGTTTCACCATGTTAGCCAGGCTGGTCTCCATCTCCTGACCTCGTGATCCACCCTCCTCTGCCTCCCAAAGTGCTGGGATTATAGGCGTGAGCCACAGAGCCCAGCCTCAGGTTATGGACTTTGAAGCTAATCAGATAAATCAGTTTTGCTAAGGTGTTAATGAGATTTCAAAATTTTAGGGAATGCACAGGGCACTAGATTGTGAGTTCCTTGTGGTAGGCATGGTCTCTTGCTGACAATTTAGAATTGCCAGATAAAATATGGGATTTTTATTTGTTAAATCTGACAACCCCATGACCATTTTATCTTCATCTTCTAGTAACTCCCACACAGAAAGTGCTCAATAAATACTGATTGAAAATGAATACATAAAAGTAATGGAATATATATATATATATATATATCCTTTGATTCTCCCTAAATCATATTACTTAGGAAGCTGAGTCATCTCATAGGCCTATTTATATGATTGCAGGCTTCTGAGTCTTGTTTTTGATGGAGATTTGGGTAGGTATAATCTTTGACTTTTCTTGCTTCTGTTGTTTTCTTGTGGTCATTGTTCTAGAGGAGCATCCATCTTCCTTGGAGGAGTCTGTAGAATAGAAAGGGGTGAAGCGGGGAACACCTGCTATTGTCTCATAGTACACGAAAGGAAGAGCAATCCTGAAAATTCGGTTGGGGGACTTTGAGAGAATGGGGAAGCTAAGTGATAACATCCTACTGTCATTCTCTCTCCATGGGAAGTGGGAGTTCCCTTGATAACTACAAATAGGGGACTCTTCAGAGTCCACAGGGGCTGGGGCGGGGGGCGGGGAAATCATAATTGCAGATTGGGCTGACAAGAATCGCTTATAAATAGTCCTAATGCCCCCAAAGTCATAATCATGAGGATTCTTAAGGCCTCTGTGGAAGGGGAAAAACTGTGCAGAATGTTTATTTTATAAATATGTTAAATTATCAATTCCATTTATCATTGCAACTGCTGTAAAATCATAAGGGTATGCTTATTTTAAGAGCTAGGGGCCATTGAACATAAAGACAGTATTGACTTTGTCTTCATTTGTTGCATCTATTGTTTTTTTCAGTAAGTTCCCAGAACGTTTCCAATACTTTATTATACCTCTCCTTTGGGGCAGTCAGTATCTTTTGGGAAAATGAGACTTGGAAAATAAAGAACTTAGTGGACAAAGTGCTTATGCTTTAGGGACCTCTTGAACACATGTTTATATGTTATCTGTTTATTTACAGCTGTGACTAAAGTTCATGGTTGATATATTTTCATGTATTGGTTCCCCCCAAAAGGCAAGGGAAATACTTTAACCTTGAGACAAATCAGCTCTGAGCTAGACTGAGCCCAGAACATACGCTCCCACACACTAACTCCCTCAAATTCTGTTTTGTAAATGGATTCTCTCTGCCACTTGTTTTTTTTTTTTTTTTTTTTTTTTTTTTTGAGATAGAGTTTCACTCTTGTTGTTCAGGAGTGCAATGGTGCAATCTTGGCTCACTGCAACCTCTGCCTCCTGGGTTCAAGTGATTCTTCTGCCTCAGCCTCCTGAGTAGCTGGGTTCACAGGCATGCACCACCACACCCAGCTAATTTTTTGTATTTCATAGAGATGGGGTTTCACCATATTGGTCAGGCTGGTCTCGAACTCACGACCTCAGGTGATCCACCCGCCTCAGCCTCCCAAAGTGCTGGGATTACAGGCGTGAGCCACCGCACCTGGCTATCTCTGCCACTTGTTTATCTGATTTCTAGAATCTACTTCTGGCCTCAGGCACATTGACAAATAGAGGAAAACTATTTGCCATCTTGCTATTGAATTCTGTTCCTGTAACAAAACAAGGTCAAAGTGCTCTGAAGGCCCATCCAGGAGGAGTACTTTGAAAAGTGTAGAAGGTTGGTTTTCTACATATGATGGTTAAAAATGTGGGTTTTGTAGTCAGTTTTATCTGGAATGGAATTCTGAATCTGTCCTTTATTAGTTGGAATTGACTTTCTTTTGTCCTTCTAGGCTCCAGTTTTCTAGTATCTAAAGGGGAGGTAATTACTGTATCTACTGTATAGGGTTGTTGTTAGAATTAAATGACCTATTTCGTGGTGAGTCCAGGCCATATATAGTAAGCGGCCAGCAAATGGCAGTCATGATTGTTTAATATCTGGAATAGAAGACTTTTTAAATAGAATCTCAGAATGTTTCTGTCCAACAAGTACACCTGTGTGGCCTGGATCTCACTTGTGGGCCATGATGGGAAGTGTGGCAGTAATGTCCCTGTACCTGGCTGGCCACATTCCTGGCCCCTCCCTTGAATGTCCAGCTTCTGGTTTAACTGGAAGTTGGAAGACAGAGTTAGAAGACTCTTGCACCATCTGAGATAGCCAGGGTTGGAGCCTGGTGGAAGGTGAGTGAGGCCTCGTTGGTGCCAACCCAAGTTGCCTTTGACCTTCCCCACTGCTCCTCCTACCCAACTTTCTGAGGGTTGTTTGGGGGGCAAATGTAGTCCCAGCCCTGCAGAGGTGATGGCTGGGCCCACTGCCTGGGGCTCTGCTGGGCTTCTGGCCCTGCCCTCAGACTTCTAGTGCTCTTCTGGCTCAACCAGAAGTTCAGGTGTGAGGTGGCCTAGTGTTGTGTGTTGGCCTGGGAGAGGGGTGGAGAACAACACTTGAGCAATTTATCTAGAGGCACCCTGGGGAATTTTTTTGTGTGTGTGTGAGTGGAATTTTACTTCATGCCATTTGTCCCTTTTACCTACTCTGAACTCTTCTTTTTCTTTTTCTTTTCTTTCAGACAGAGTCTTGCTCTATTGCCCAGGCTGCAACTGGTGTGATCTCGGCTCACTACAACCTCTGCCTCCTGGGTTCAAGCGATTCTCCTGCCTCAAGCTCCCAAGTAGCTGGGATTACAAGCATGCACCACCATGCCTGGCTAATTTTTGTATTTTTAGTGGAGACGGGGTTTCGCCACATTGGCCAGGGTGGTCTTGAACTCCTGACCTCAAGTGATCCACCTGCCTTGGCCTCCCAAAGTGCTGGGATTATAAGCATGAGCCACTGCACCCAGCCTTATACTGAACTTTCAATGGGTTCAATTCCACTAGGAGCATAAAGGCCACTGCATATGAGTTGTGGAAAGAAGAGATTAGAAGAAGGAAGAACTTGAGATGAGTTCCTCCCTTCAACATTCTGTCTCCTCCTACCTAGCATCTTCTTTCTTTTAGTCTTTCTAGAATGTCCATCTGTTTTTGGCCATTGCGGAGAGAGAAGCTGAGCTTTAAAGGAGTAGGAGCTTCAAAGGCGTAGGAGCTTCAAAATTCTTGTTTCTTCATGTTTGATCACCCTTCTAAACCTGTCTTCTGTTCCTTCTGCTATTCTTTTTTCTTAGAGCATAGGAAAGGGGAGCTTTTAAATTAATACTTAAAGCATGGAAAAAAAGAACTTGAGAAGAAAGTAAAACAAGGGAGATGAGGCTAGTAAAGTAAGGAAAATGAAGAGGAAGAGGAGGAAGGGTTAGCTTCTAAATTCCAAGTCAAATTGATATGGAACAGGCAAGCCGCTTGTCTTACTTAAACTTCAGAAAAGGATCTGCTGAAACTTGATAGAAATGGAAAGGGAAATCCTTGGGGTGGGGAACCTCCAAACATTAGTAATGATATTGAACAACTCAAAGTATTGAGGAAATCTGCAGGCTACATGCCTGAAGATTACCCATGCAGATAGACCAAAAGGATTAGAATTATCTGTTGATATTAGTAATATTTATTGACATCTAGCTAGTATTGGTAATTTTAAGTTTTAGATTAATTTCTTTGGTAATAGCTATGATATATTTTATAGACAAGAATTATATCTATAGGCTTGCTATCATAGGCTCTTTTAATCAGCATTAATTTAGTCTACTGATTTTTAGCACATTTGAATCATTCACTTATGCTAGGTAACTCATTGCAAAATAAAAAGATGATTCCTGTATGTATGGCAGCTATACATTAAGGAGGAGTCTACCAGAATATGAAAAAGTCAGCTGACCTAAATAGTAAGTGTTACAGGAGCAAATATCTTCCTTTATAGGATTATATCATTTATGTGAATTTGTATAATAAATTTTCTAAATACTGTTGTGGTGGCAAAAGACTCAGCTTTCAAAGAATTTCAGGTGTTTCATGTCTCCAGCAGAGGGGCAGCCACCCACAGCTGGGGGGTGGCCATAGTCATCTCCATGCCTCCAGTGCTAGCCCAGTGCTGGGCACATACAGGCTCCAGTGTTTCTCAAGTCAAACCAAACTGTGGTGGAAAATAGTGAGGGGGAAATTGTGAGGAAGGATTATTTATTTGTTTGTTTGTTTTAGCATCCTTATTACCTTGGTGGTAATCTGGTTTAGAAACCTACTCTGTTTTTTCTTCTTGAGACTAAGTGCCTAGAATATTTTAGTTAAAAAAATTTTTTTGGCACCATTTTTTGAGCAGTTATTACATGTCAGGCCCCTAAATATACTGGGTGCTCTGGACTCTTCACAGGTGAGATCATTTAATGCTCACACAGCCCAGTGATGTGGGAATCTTGACTCTGTTGTACACAGTGCATCACTCCACTGCCAGGGCTCAATACATCATAAACAATAGCAGCAACAGCTGTGAGAGGAATCCAAGGACAAATTTGTTAGAATAAAGCAAAACAGGGCTTTACCATATGGGAGATATATCTAAGATGGGTTTATTAGATGTAGGATGATTTTTCTTGTAACCTAAGGGCTTTCTGGAGGGAACCTGAAATCTTTTCACTATGCCCACATCATTGCCAGATGTGGATACAGTGAAATTGACCTTATCCTGTGTGTGTATCTCTGTGTGTATGCATGCATATGTGTGTGTGTGTGTGTGTGTGAAAG
The DNA here is from genome assembly GCF_000001405.40 of Homo sapiens. Taxonomy (NCBI): domain Eukaryota; kingdom Metazoa; phylum Chordata; class Mammalia; order Primates; family Hominidae; genus Homo; species Homo sapiens. Next base: position 96,977,493 of record NC_000007.14, on the reverse strand, counting down.
TGGCAAATTCTGGTTCATATACTGAGTTTCAATTTATCTTACATTCACTTTCTTATGCAAAAATTTCTTCATGAACCATGTAAATATGCAGTAGACCCCTGCCCCCCACCACCTTCCATATGTGAATAAATTCACGTTCACCAACATGTAAAACCAATGGCAGTAAAATAATGATAAAACATGGTTATTTCATAAGGGATCTGGTTGGTCTTGTATTCTGATAGTAGGATATAATGGAGTCCTCTACAAAACTTTAAAAATTTATAATGATTATTGACACCATTAATCAGAATTTGCCATGTGAACAATTCAGGGATCTGTTGTATTAAGCTGTCATGTGGTTGCAATCATACCTTTTAACTGCCATCAGAGGTAACTGTCAGCAACACCATATCTTCCCTCCAGTCTATTACAGCTTCAGTTCCCCAGGGCTCCATCCTGAGTCCAGGGCGATTTGTATGGTACACTAATGACCTGCTGATTGTCTGCACAAAAACGAAATCATACACTGTTCAGGCAACACAGTGATTCCACACAAAAGCAAAGGACTGTCTGGTGTCAAAATAATACCATACTCTTACTTTGATAAAGGTTTTTTAAACTGACTACAAGGTACTATTTGGTGGTAAAGTGTAGCAGAAATGTTTATTTAAATAACAAGTTGGCAGCAGGTAAATTTCAGGAGTGTGTGTATGTGTGAAAAGGTTGCTATTTAGGTAGCTATTTTTGTTCTGATATTTGGTTTTAATTTTGAAAGATATAGCAACTATTCAGATATTTCAGTAGGGTATTTATTTGTGTTGGTGATTATTAACATACATTTTAAATACCATGTGAAATTAAGGTTTTCTTAATAAGTTTTGAAAACATGTGATGAGCACTATATTGATGTATCTACCTGTTTTTCCATTGATTTATCGCTATGGTGTGTCTCAATAAGCAGATTTGAGTTTGTAGGGGTCAGATGAAGCCATGTCACTGCTCTATGTGTGTGTGCCTGCCCCATAGTGTCTCCCTTCTGAACCTAAAGTCACAGGAGGAACCTGAGCTGGCACTGGAAAACCATCCAAAATCCTACCCTGGCCCTCTTTTGTCCTGCTCCCGTACTCCTGTGGCTCTGCAGTGTGTGTGTGTGTCTCTGTGTGTGTTTATATCGAATGGGCTGATTTTCCCTAGAGTATTTGTTGCTGAGTCATTTATCTGTTGAATGATGGAGAATAATTCCTGCTGAGACTCTGACCCAGATCCCAAAGCTTTATTCCAAGACTTGGCTTGTTTGCTTGTTCATTTGTCTATTCTTTCATTCATTCAGTTGATTATTTTAAACCTGTTTTTATATACCAGCCACTATGCTGGGCACTGGGATGATAATGATGAAGAAGATTCAGTCTCGAATCTCAAGCCCCTTGTAGTCTTGTTGGAGCTAGTGATCAGTCAGTTGGCAGTTACCCAATGCTTAACAGACTGTCAAGGATCCCTTGTCAACTAAATTCTAAAAAGGTTTAAAGAGAATGTGAATTGTAACACACTGGAATATGAAGGCTACTCCACTAGACTGCAAGCTTGTTTAGGGCAAGAACTGAGTCTTGTCCCTAGAATTACTCATAGCTCTGAGCACAGGAAGTGCATAGAGTATATGCTCTGTTAAATGTAGATTATTATTATTATTATTATTATTATTTTTGAGACAGAGTCTTGCTGTTTCACCTGGCTGGAGTGCAGTGGCATGATCTCTGCTCAGTGCCACCTCTGCCTCCTAGGTTAAAGTGATTCTCATGCCTCAGCCTTCCGAGTAGCTGGGATTACAGGTGTACACCACCATGCCCGGCTAATTTTTGTATGTTTAGTAGATACAAGGTTTTGCTATGTTAGCCAGGCTGGTCTCGAACTCCTGGCTTCAAGTTATCTGCCCGCCTTGGCCTCCCAAAGTGCTGGCATTACAGGTGTGAGCCAGAGGAGGCCCAGCCTAAATGTTGAATTTTTCGAGATGCCTAAGAAAAGAATCTTCAGCTATAGACAGTAAATTGCAGACATTAAAAGTAGAGGCTTTGGTGTTAGTTATGCCCTTTGCCTCTACCCATAGTTTAACTTAGTAACCAGTGACAGCCCCACTGCATCCAATTTATTAATCCATTTCAAAAGATATGTGTTTAACACCTATGATATGTCAGGGCACTACTAGGTGGGTGTGAATGTGAACAAGATAGAAACAGGATCTTTCCTCATGTAGTTCCCAGTTAGGAGGTGTGGGGACCTCAGAACTGGTGGAGAGGATTTCAATAAAGTGTGTTAAATTTTATGAGAGAAGAGAAGCTGTTGCATTGACTGACTGAGGGGAGAGTTTAGGAGGTCAGGAAGAGTGCTTCAGGCAAAAGAGACAAAGTGTGCAAAGACCTGGAGGTGAGAATGAGCAGGGTGCATTCCGGGGACTTTAATATATTAAGAGTCATTGCATTGTCAGCTGCAATGAGAGGAGCTTGTGATAAGGCTGGGAAGGTGAGTAGGGACAGATCCTGAAGGGCCTTGTAGGGAATGCTAAGTGGTTTGGACTCCATCTTAAGATCAAAAGGAATTTTTTGACTGGATTTGAGCAGGGAAGCACCATGATGAAATTCGCATTTTAGAAAGATTACTTGAGTTACATAGTGAAAGGAGAATTGTAAAGGGTGAAATATCAGTTAGGAAGGCTTTTGCAGTAATCTGATTGGAAGATGGTCCATAGTCCAACAGTGTGGTATAGTAGAAAAATGCATAAGTTTGAGACTCCAACAAGCCTTGCCTCTAAAACTTATTATCTAAGTGACTTTTAGCAAATAACCAACTTTACATAGCCTCTACATTTTTTTTTCTGCAAAACAGAGTAACTTTGCATATCTAATGTGAGGCTTAGATGGAATACTGTATGTAAGATACCAGACATAACATGACATACTTCTAAATGACAGCCCTTTCACATTGTTGTCAATGATGTTACCTCCTCCTACCTCCTTATATTTCTTCCCTTTTAGTGTACAACTTAATGCTTTTCAATATGATATTTTGTTGCCATTATTGTTGGTCCTCTATCTCTGCACTGTGTGTGGCAGAGGCTTTTCCTTTTTGCTTCAGTCTTCTTGACTATTGCAGCTCTCCCAGAATGCTCTGAGCCATCACAAGGTTACTTCTGGAAAAGTCCATTCTGTTGAACGCTTTATTCTGATTTGGATGATGTTACAAGCAATGAAACCAAGCCTGGTGAGGGCTAAAATCCTTGCTCCCTTCCCTTCAGGGACTTGCTGGTAACTGCTTTCTCCTCCTCATGCCCTCGGAATGCAGCTTTGGTGTTATCTTTGGCACTCCTCAGGGCTGCTTCTTAAGCACTTGTGGAGAGAGAACTTTGTATATTTTACAGATTAGACCTTATTTTCACTCTGAGAATATTCCAGAATCCTGTCATATTTTCCTTTCTGACATCTCTAAGACTCATCTTTGCCTGTGAGTTTCCAATCACTAAAATCCTTTCCCATATTTTGGTCTTCTTTTCCTTCTACTCCTTATAAATGCCTCCATTGTGGTCTCTATTCTTGAGTTCAGTCTCTGTTAAAGCAATCTTCTTGGTGCCTTCATTACAACATCTTTTTAAAATGCCTTCACTGGTTTCTCTCATCTGCATTAAATCTGGACATTAGGGACCTTCACTGTTCTTCATTGGTTGATTGTTTTTTTCCCTGCCGGCTTTCCATATTTCTTCTTAATTTCTTAATACCTGAACTCTTTATGTGTTTTCTTTATTTCCCTCATTCACTTTTGTTTTCCTAGGCAGTTTTAGAGCTGTCTCTTCTCCAGCCAAGAACATTTTCTTTCCCTTTCATATGCCAAACCCAGCCTCTAACAAGTTGTATCCTGTAACCCTTCTCTATTTCTCTCATAGTGCTCTTCCTCACATTTGCTAATGTCTCCCTCTTCCTTATGATAGTGTTTTTTTTAAAAAAAAAAATCAAGGGACTACCAGTATAGCTATCTAATAGAGTATATGTGTGCCCCCTTTTGATACAATCACATCTATTGTCTATCAGGGAAGATCTTTGCTATTAGTTGTTGACTTGAGTACATGCTCTTGCCTCCATTGCTACTACCTTAGTTTGGGGCTGATAATTACAGTTACCTCCCAGTTGGTCTCACTGCCTTGGCTATCTTTCCTGGTTATTCTACCTTCACATCGTTAGAGGTGTCTTTGTGATCTGGTCCCTTTCCCTTCTTAAAACAGAACAGCAAAGCTCTGGCTTTCCCTAGCCTAGAAAATAAAGTTCTGCTTCCTTAGGTGTGCGTCAAGAGTCTTCAGACCCTGGCTCCTCCTCACTGTTCTTGACTCACCCTGTCACTTTTCACCCCAAATTCTAAATCCCAGTCACATAGAACTGCTTGAGGAGGCAATTTACTATGTGTTGAAGTCAAGAGTGTTCTGCTACAGACCAATGTAGTCTGCAGAATTCTTTACTATCTTTTAAAAATGAAAAAGATTTTCTGTAAAGATCTGTCTTTCTGGCTTTATCTCAGAAAATATGGCAACACTGTACTGCACACCCACCCAGAGGTGGAGGGTTACAGTGGAATGGGGAAGCCCTGTTGGGTGAAGTGGCTCTCTCTCCAATTTGCCATAGTTTCTGCACTCGTGTTTGCATCCTCAACATTGAGGCAAAGCATCATTTGCCATTTATCACTGATCTTGTGCTTTGTTTTTTCCCCTAGTATTAGGAGAAAATTGTACCACATGTCTATAGATGAATCAAAGATGAGTCAATACTGCTTTGTATTTCAAGGTATGCTATATGGGGCCCACTTGACACTATCATTGTCCTGCTCCTGCAGACATCTGAGTTGGATCTCTGACTGAGCAGCTTAGCACTAGGGTCTGTGTTTAAGTTCTGGCTCCATCACTTATTAGCTGTGTGGTTTGGGGCAATTTACTTAAACATTCTCTGCCTTAGTTTTCACATCTATAAATCGAGGATGATTTCTGGAAAGCGCTCAATACATCTCAGCAACATTATTGCCACCATTATTATTATTCTACTTTCCGCAAATCTAATGATAAGAATGACAGATCCATGAGGGACATGGTTTGGGGCAAGGTTTGGGGCAGGGGTCTTTTGGTGCCTATTAAGCCACATCTCCCTAGCTATCAGTTTTGCCACTTACTAGCTGTGGACTGGTCAAGTTATTTAACTTCACTATGGCTTCGTGTTGTCATATTTTAAAATGTTAGTGATAACAATATCATCATAATAATATCCACATCTTTGGTAATGATGTCTTATCTGAGATAACCATGTACTGAGCCAACCATGTACTGTGTGTAATGAATGTCTGTCTGCCACATAATAAGTACAAGTGAATGGTAGTTATTGTCATTGGCTGCCCTGCCTCTTGCCCAGGGGTCATCACCCAGTAGTTGTGAGGGCCCAGGGAGCCAGGTGACCCACCTGTATGTTTTATGTGTTACCTATGCATGGGCTTTTCAAAAATTGAGATATAATTCATATACCATAAAATTCACCCTCTTAAAGCATACAATCCAGTGGTTTTTCAGTATAGTCAGAAAGTTGTGCAGTCATTACCGCTAATTCCAGAATGTCTTCATCACCTCCAAAAGGAAACTCCATACCCATTAGCAGTTGTTCCCCATTCCACTTCCCTCAGCCCTCTACAACCACTAATCTATTTTCTATCTGTATGGATTTGCCTATTCTAGACATTCAATATAAATGGTATAAATTGAATCATATGATACATGGCTGGACATGGGCTTTTTTTTTTCCTGTGTGTTTTCCTGAGGAGTAAAGCTGCACCCTTTTCCAGAAAACAGATTTCTGCTGGGAACATGAAGGAGGCCCTAAGTAGGAAGTTTCAAGTAGGAAGACAGCATAGACCATGACTGACCTAAGAGGAACAAAACCAAACAGACTTAGATTCTAGGGGCCAATGTGAGTAAGTTAAGAATTTTGAGGAGCAGCAAACCATTAATATAAAGAAGGAACCAAGATAGATTCCCTTAAATTCTTTGCAGCCTGACCCTCAACACACTGTGAGAATCTCAAATGTCCACCTATGGACTGCCTACCTTAGATTTACCTCACAGCTGGCAAAAAAGACACATTCTGGGCTCTTCCTCAGGCTTACTGAATCAGAATCCCCAGGGTGGGGGTTGAGGAACCAGGAAAGATGGTTCTGCCAGGAAGTGGATTTGGAAATTGTTGAGTTACATCGAGCAAGCTTATATGACACAGATATGGATCTGTGTTTTGTTTCATCCTCAACAACACTGCTCTGTAACGTGGGTTCTTTTTCAGTGTACGTGTCTGATCTTCTTGGTAGAGTTTTTGCAACTAGGGCTTACTTTTCTTTGCCCATCTTAGCCCCCCTGCACAGTCTTGTACAAAGTAGGGGCTCAGCACATATTGGGAGATTGGTTACACAAGAGGCTTGAAGGCATCACTTGGATATTGCCAGGACCAAAGCCACTAAGGTCAACAGGTCTAAGAGGAGACCTTTCTGTCCCATTCTAAGCATTCTTTGTTTGAGATTTCAAGGCTGGTGTTTGTTTTCAGGGCTCTGACTTGTGACCCAGTGGTCAGGAGCCCTTTGATGTATGGGTTCCAGAGGATGTCCCCATAGCAGTCCCTTCATAGGGACCTCTCAGCCCTCTGTGCAGTGCTGGTAGGTAGAGGGGTGACCAAGTGTAGGGGTGGTTTCTATACCTGGAAGACCCCATGGAGCTTGTTAACATGTAGATAACTGTGCCTCAACCCGGACCCACTGAATCAAATTGCTGTCCAGGAAGGGGAAATTGCTACCCAGATACTACCCAAATACTACTCTAGAGTTTGAGGAATATGATCTTCTGCCTGTGTCTGGAGCACAGTGTGTTATGCTCATGGGGATTTACCTGGATAGGGCTGTGGACTGGGTCTTGGGAGACCTGGGCTCAGTCCTGGTTCTACCCTTTAGTTAGTCTCTACAGGACACTGTGCAAGCCACTCACCTTTCACTTTGCTTCTTTGTAAAGTGAAAGATTTGGACTAGGGTAGACACCAGCAATGCAGACATGATCACTCATATCTGTAGGAGGCTTCTCTATAAATCCAGTCATCGGTTCTAAAGGACCCAGCTCTTCTGTGTGCTCTGAGGACGGATTTGTCTTCTAAGACTGGGGTTAGCAGCTGTTTAGTATCATTGGAGGCCAAGTTGCCTAAGCCCATGTTCGGAGGTTTGATGGTTGGTGTGGGATGGTGGTGACATTAAACAAGAAGCATGGGAAGGCCCTGCTCTTTCCTTATTCACTTGTCCCTTCCTTCTCTCTATTTTTTTTTCATATTACAGTAACTAAGAGTTTTATGTACACAAGCTCCATTTATAAATTGCAGATACCTCGTAGGAGTGTGAAAGTCACCAATTGTTATTTCTTTCTTTCTTTTTTTTTTTTTTTTTTGCACTGTCTTATGGTGCTGATAAAGTCAAATTAACCAGTTATTCATACCCTAGTATGAAATACCCAATTCTAGCCATTGGAAGACTTTCTGTTTAGCTACTATCTGTTGCATTAAAGAAATTAGAGTGGGTGGATGATGGCATATGGATGCTGGGCTCCTGGTTCCTGAGGAAGGGGACAGAGGGGCCCCCCTAAGTAGGGATGGCAGCCGAAGACAGCCATTGATTTGGTGGTTTTGCCAGTACTCTGATAATGGCGCTATCACCATCACTTTTGATGTTTTTGGTAGAAATTCCCTAAACTAGTGATGCTTCATTTAAACCATCTTTGGGTGAGATTATTATCATCCTATCTGATTCTGTTAAAGACTCTGGGTATCAATCATATTGATTGCCCAGGGACTGGCTAAGGCTTTGGTTACTATGCTTCTACCTTTTCATGGGAGCTTAACTCTCAGTTTGCCCCCAGATATTGTTATTTATTGAACTCTCACTTAGGTCGCATAATTGCTGTACCATTCAGGTCAGTGCTGTGCAATATCGTGGGGGAAGAAGCAATTTCTTTGCTCTTGATTCTTTGTGCTCTCTCTCCTTTTCCCCTAGTATATCCCTTCCTAGCCCATGTATTCTACATGCTTTATGCATGCAGATTTACTTGCATTTACTTGTATTTAGTTGCAATTATAGTTTTTCCTTTTTCTTTGGTACAACAAAATTAACGAAGGAACAGAGAATCCTTAGGCATAATTTGTGTGTTTCTGTAGTCTCTGCCCCATTGTCTGGAAAACCACAGACTTCATTTAGATGCCAATGAATCCGTCATCAGGCTTTGAGTAAACCATGCATTTACCAAGATCCTTACTTGAGCAGTGATTTAGCTTTTTAATCTTTTGTTTATAATTTTACAGTTGCTGAGACAAAGGAAAACCCACTCCCTTGGAGGAGCATGACCTTTTCCTGTAATTCTTCCCACTGCTGTTGTTGAGCTCCTTGGATCCTGGCTCCTGGACACCATCATCAAGAAGACTTTATGGATGGGCTGTCCACCCACTGAGAGAAGAGGAGCATCAGCTACAGTTTCTCTCTAGATTGCCTTCTTCATTTTGAGTAATGACTGTCAGCAGGGTCAGATTAAACACAAAACAACTGGACAATTGCTTGGAGGACTAAACTATAAGGGCACTAACATGTCAATAGTAGGCTAACACATCCATGGAAAATATATTTACCAGCTCTTCTCTCAGGGAGGATTCTGTGTGGGGTTGGAAGTAATGATTTGTTAAATTCCTTAGGGGTAGAAAGTAGGGCATAATCAGAATATAGAGGAATATGCTGTTTGACTTCAGGGTTTCTGTTTTTCTTACTAGGATATATAAAACAGGGACTCTAGCTAGATTGTTTATGACCACAGAGGGTAGGCTGAGTGCTCCCATGATCTTCCTGCTTGGTTCTTGCCCATACAGAGGTCAGCCTTTCCTCTAATAAAGATTGAACAAGTAGTGGTCTGAGGGAGACACCAATTCATTACCCTACATGTCTCTTCTCTGCACTCCAGGGCTTTGATAATAAAGACACTGGCAGACTATCTATCTTCCATTTCTATAATGTGAGCCCTTAGGGAGTCTTCGTTCACTTGGGGGTGAGGGTCATTGCTCACAGAGTAGTTCAAGTCAAATGGAACTTGAACTCTTTGCCTATGGGCCTGGTGGTCAGACTCTGTGTTGAGTTCATTAGATTATTGGAGACACAAGGTAGAGCTGGATGCTTCAAAAATATTTGGCTAAAGGATGACATTGCTGGTTATTTGTAGATAAAGCCATGATGGAACCTGCTTGGAATCATGAAATATGGAACTGGTGGTCATGTTTAAAAATACAACTAATAGTTAAGTACCTACTGGACACTGTAGAGACTTAGGGGCTAGACAGACATGGTTCCTGCCCCCTTGGAGCTTACACTGTAGCTTCCCCTTAGGTATGAAGAACAGTGGCTACAACTAACAAATGGCCACAAAGATATAATTGAGCCAGTGTTCCAATTATTAGGGTAATTCCTATTTCCTTAATCATTCCTATTGACCATGTTCTATAAGCCTGCATTCTATAAATGGCGTATGACCATGGGCTGTTTCCCCCCAGCAAGTTGTACAAAGTTCTGTGGTACCAGGGAAAGGGCTTAAGGTTAGCAGGGCCTCTGCGGAAGGACATATGAAGTGACTTGGGTTAGGAAACAGGAAGGGATAGGATTCAAGAACAGCTATTGCTTCTGTTCTATATAGGAAACTGCAGCGTGAAAAATGCTGGGCTGGGAATTTTGAGACCTGGGTTTTAGTTTGTGTTCTAATACTAACAAGCTATGTGACTGTGGGTAAGTCATTTCACATTCCATTTGGATGCCTCTTGAGTGACTCCAGGCCTCTCCAGCTCTAAAACATTAAGATCAGGCCCTACGCTACAGCTGGCCAGTGTGTAATTCTTCTGTTTCTATGCTGTTAGGTCAAATAGATCTTCAATAGTTACTTGATTGTTATTACTTTTTTCTGAAGTGGGTGTTTTATCAATGTTTTAGGATACAGTGAGTCTGCTTCTCCCCTTTGGAGTTAGGAAGGTTGTAGGAATATACACTGTAGAGCATATGGGAGCTTTATCCCCTCCTTTTTTCCCCGCTACCTTTCTCCCTCTCCTTCCCTTCATCACATTTCTATTGAGCATATGCCATTGCCGTGTACCAGGTGTGTGCTAGGTTTGGAGATACAAGGTAAACCTGAGACTTTCCCAGTCTCCAGGAGACAAAACCCTAATTTCTTTCATCTGCTGTCTTTCTCTTTGGAAAGAATCAACGATATCCCAGGGGAATGTGCCCATGTCCCAGGGTAACCAACTACAGACAGATGCCCCATTCTACTCAAGCAACTTTTAGAGTGCCTTGAGATACACATCAGATAATTATGCAGGGCCAGGCATGGTGCTGCACACTTGTAATCACAGCACTTTGGGAGGCCGAGGCAGCAGATTGCTTGAGCCCAGGAATTCAAGTGTAGCCTAGGGAACATGGCAAAACCCCAGCTCTACAAAAAAATACACAAATTAGCTGCGTGTGGTGGCCTATGACAGGAGGCTGAGATGGGAGGATTGCTTGAGCCTGTGAGGTCGAGGCTGCAGTGAGCCGAGATCATGCCATTACTCCAGCCTGGGTGACATAGGGAGACCCTGTCTTGAAAAAAAAAAAAAAAAGATAATTATTCAGCCCTAGAGTCATTGTGAAAAGATCTATCTTCAGATATAAGGAAGAAACAATCTTTTATTTCTTAGGATAAATCTGTAGAAGGACCTCCAGACAGTGAAGGCCACTGACTACTTTATACTCTGTAAGCCATCCCTCCCTGGTAGGAAGGACTATTTCCAATCTTACAGAGTACCTCTCAGCAAATAGACGTTTTCACATATACTGTGATTCATACATCCCTATGGCTGGTGACCTCTTTAAAAAGGAAAGGAAAAAGCCTAATCAAACAAAAAGATGCTGCTAGTAATTCTTACCCTATTGTGAATCCTATATAAGCAAATTTGTATCTTTGTTTTTTCCTACATTAGCAGATCTATTTGATGTATATCTCTGAGTGCAGAAAATATTTTATGGAAAAATCAATATATGGAATTTCAAATTCAGAATTGCTGATACACACTATTTGGTTTCACAATTTTATCCTAGGAAATAGTATTAGAGATTTCAATTTCTGGCTTAAATGGTAGAATTAATTACTCTTAACTCTTAATTTTACTTCTGAGTTGAGGTCAAGGAACAGGCAGACACCTGCAGTTAACGTCTATACCTCTCCATGGCCAAGAGTTTTAATTTTCTCGTCTTCAATTTTGTAGATGTTCATCATTACTAAATGGATTGATTAGTATTTTATCTCCTCTCCTTGTCCTTACTTTCCCTCTGGTAAATATGTTATAAACAGTGTAAGGCTCCTAAGATAGAGTAGCTGGTAGGACTTAGAAGAGAAACAAAGGGCACTGATAACTCACATAAATGGAAAATTGGCTCTGGAATAACTGACAACATATTCAAGTATTTTAGTGCAGTGTCACTCTCATTAAGAAGAAGAGAATCAGTAAATCTATGTGACTCTAAACATTCTAATGAAAAAAGGAATATTCTGCCAATTATCTCACATTTCTAAATATCTGGATATTGGCCATTGTAAAGACAAAACATACAGATGATGGACTTGTCTTTCCACCTCTCATTTGCATGGTTTGGAGCATTGTACCTCCAGCCATAGACTCTAAGGCAATTTATATTTGCTTCCTCTTCCCTCTTGAGAGAAAACGAAAATCTTATTTTTCCAAGCAATTAAAACTCTTCTGCTTCAGCTAGGATGAAAGAATTAGGAGTTCTGTCTCCTTGTATCTAATTGCATGTTTCATCTTTCTTGTTTTAATGATTGACAGAAAACTAATAAACTGAGACATCTTTGAATCCAGGTTGAATGTACTCTCTTGGTGGCCCCATTGCTAATTTGTTTGACTATTTTGCAGGATTTCTTACTCTGTAATGGAAAGGTTTATTAAATATGAGGGGTGCAAAGCTTTCTGAATACTAATGAACTTATTTGCCAAAATTTAAATGTTCTTCTTGTCAGTGAATGTCTGTCTCTCTTAACAGGATCCAAATTGAATAATGAAGAAAATTAGACTCTATTGTACCCTCAGGAGAAATCGTGGTGAATCGTAATAGAATACAGAGGGGGAAAGGGGTCACATTTTAGAAAAAAAGAGTAGATAATTTGGATTATTAAAAAAGGGATTAACTCAGGAAAACTCTGTTCTTTTCAAAGAAACGTACTCATAGTCATTCAATGAGCAGGATTTCCCACTGCACAAGCATCTATACCTTTGGCCAGTGTAGAAAGAGAGTAAGGTCATAATCATATGGAGATGCATGCTAGGTTTCAGTAGTTACAATTTACTAATCTCATTCCCATATAAGGCCTTTATATGCCTGTAATGGAATGGGAAAATCAATAAGCTTTGAAAAGGAACACTATTCTTCAGAGAAGTTCAATGGGAGATAGTTGAGTTGGGGAAATTGCCCCAGTTCTTCCTTTAAGCATGAAATGAGGCTGTCCCTATGTATGTTTACTTCCATTGCCTTGGTGTTATCACTGATAAAGTCAATGATCATGATGCCTTTGCCTTGGCAGCACCTGGGGGGCACTGAAGGAACCAAGTAGCTGTACTCATGGCCAGGAAGGCAGGCTGCCAGAACTTCAGCAGCCACACAAGTGGCCAAACATGGTCAGGAACGAAAGTAGTGTGTGTATGGAGTGAAATGAAATGATGAGAGGAAAGTGAAGGATGATATAAAGATGGGGCTGTCCAAAGATGGGAGTTCATCCCTGTCCTGCACTTGAAATAGGAAGGAAAGAACTGGAGAAGGATTAGGTGAGGAAGGATCCTGAAATAGAGAAAATAAAGGGAAGACTGCATGCCTGCAGTGTTTGCTAAAATTAATTCGCCTGAGATTTCAGGAGGAGCAAAGAAAGATCAAGAGAAAGGGAAAACAGCCTCAAAGCCTGTGAAGGTTGAAAAACAAAATATAAACAAAAAATTTTTAAAGCTAAGATTATGCTCTTCTAAGAAAAGAGGCTGGACACTAACAGAAAGCTTGATGACAGCAGGATTTGTATTTAGCGGTTTATTTAGATCCCTAAGAAAAAAGGCTTATGTGACATAGATTCATAAGACACAAATGTGTCCTTGGCTGACCATACTAGGCTTCACTCCCAAAGGAGAAAAAGAATGGTCGGCGCATCTCAGATTAACACCAACCAACTGTGCAATATTTCATTTTAGAAAGCGTTTCCTTGTATTATCCATGATTAAATAAAAAGAGACCTAGTGTATTTGATTGCTTCTGTGGCAAGGCTTGAGAATTACAAACCTAGGTTTCCCTCTGGGAATGATCATTGGATTTTTAAAATTAAGTAAGTGGAAGGAGATTAAGATTTATTTCCATCATTTCAAATCATGATCTGCACCTTTGGAAACAAAAAGGAAGTTGGAAAGTGGGAAGGTGAGGTAGGTGTGCAAGAATGGGGAGAAAGATGCTGCAAGCCAAATAAGACTGTATAATTTCTGAGAAAATTAAATGAACAATAGAGTTTGAAGGATAAGTGGGTAATGAGGAATATGAGATAATAAGATATTAAAAAATAGCAAATTACTTGGGAAAGTGAGGATGAATGATGGTAGATAGTTAAGGGATTTGGGATGGCAAGGAAGGGAAGAGATGACTAGGGTGGGAAACAAAACATGATTAATGGCTGTAAAAGGGCAAGTTTGGACTCTCGATGGCATATCTTCCCAAACTTTGGAGAATGTGCAGAACTTAGTAATAAAGAAGGAAAAGATTAAAAGAGTTCATGGTTAACATGAAATTGTGAGGACAACAGAGGAAGCAATAAATGTCATTAGTCCTCAGGAATGAAAGCATTTCTAGAGAAACGTACTAGTCTATGTTCTTCATTTATGAGCAGAATAGTTTTCATCTACTTTTTAATAAAAGGTTAATGTATAAAATGAATGCTATTAAAGGAAAGAAAAGCTAAGCATTATCAGGAAAGTTGAAGAAAAGATTGCACCTAGAACAACTGAAGTAAACCAGCAAACCTATTTTACAGCCTTTTCTATAAAATTTTGAAATTCATCATCTTAATGAAAGAACTGGAAATAGTTTTTCCAAATAGAAATGGGTAATGATAAGGGAGGAAGTTTTAACAGTTAGAAATATTATAGAATGCATTCTTTTACATTTTTTCCCCATAAAAATGAGAGGAAGCTAAAAAACTTATGGGTATAGCTTTAAATACTTTGGATAAGAAGATTTATAGCAATGTAAGGTTATTGTTAGTAGTAGAAATAACATTAATTTTTTAAAAATATTAGTATTTGGAGCAGGACTAAATACCAGTGATCATCCTTTTTGGTTTCTTGTGTTTGTGTAGGAGATTCCTTTCAGACAGACAGTACCAGACCTCCTTAGGAGGGAAGCTGATAAAGTAATTTAGGTGGAAAGGTTTAATGAGATAATGATGCTAAGGCCAGTTAACATCTAATAAGAACATAATCATGAGGGATGATATTGTTGCTTATTAATTATAATGATGCAGAGGAAAGAGACAAGGTGGCACTCATTTAGCAGAGAGTACTCAGGAGTAAGACCGTTATCCCAAAGGGGAAGTGTTGCAGTCAGAGTTAGAAGTAGGTCAACATTTAGCAGAGTTTGAAATTTATGGCCGTTGGGTTATACTAGCAACCACAGAACTGAAGGCCAGGCAGGAGGTAACAGATGCCTTTCTGATGGTGGCCAGGGATGGAGTGGAGACTGCTGTGGTTGCTGGGCCATGCACGGAGGCAGACTCCAGGGTGAGTTTTGGGAGCTGTCTGCTTGCCTTAGATTCCACAGTGGTCATTCGTGGGCAGACAGGCAGGTGTCCAGAACTGGACTGGATGTGCTTCCAGTTCTGTGACCTTCCCCTCCACTCCACTGGGTCGGGTGAGTCAGACCCAAGGATAGCTATTCAGTCAGTGTTGGCGCCCAGCTTTGTTGAGGGAGCCCAGAAGATCCTTTGGTCCTGTTTTTAGAGGCGCAGACCTAACTGTTATCAGTTGAATTGCATTTATGATTCCTTGGTATTAGTCACTAACCACATTCCGCTTCCTGAATTCATTGCGGGTCTGGTCACCTCCATGTTTGCCTAGGATGGCAGAATTGTAGTATAAATTTATTGCAGATACACTAATGTCCATATTAGTCAGGTGGGCAGGAATAAAGAATTCGAGGAAGAAACAGCCATGTGAAAAAAACATGGAGCTTTTGGAAATCTTGTGACTCCTCAAGGGAGGCATAGAAGCTTGAAACAGAGGACTAGCCTGGGGAAGTTAATTTGGGGCTGGGTAAGGAATATAAAAACTCTACCCCTTATTCAGCACCTTTTCCCAATATGGGTCTCTCTCTGAGTCCTGGATCCTAGGCTATTGCTGACTCCTTTCTTGGGTCTTTGGATGCCACCTCTGCAATGATAGGGAGGGGTTTTCTATACCTTCTTGTATAGTTAATTTTATTAGCTGGATGAGGATCACTTCACAGGATTTTTCTTGTCCTATATAATGACCCCTGAAATAGAAAGGAAATAATATTCACATCATTAGCTTTTTAAAGCAAGTATATTTTATCTTATTAAATGTGTGGTTTTAGAGAGGCAAGAAGTGACAAGAAGATGCTAGACTAGAAGATGGAAGATTCAGCTCTAGTCCTGACTCATGCCTATCAGCTCTATCACCTTGGACAAGTCTCATGCCTTTCAGAGCCTCAGTTTCTACATTCATAAAATGAGGCATTATTGAGGGTAAACTTTATGATTAAAGAGCCATGTCCAGCTTTAAAATTATGTATTTATGCATATATGTTTTTACAGATCCTACATCTATTAAACTGTTATGGGAGAATTAATTGATAAACCCATATGAGAGCAGATATTTCCTTAAATCTGTAGTTCAAAGTGGACAGTTAAGGTCAGAGTTACCAAGGAACCAATGCCGTAACTATTGAGTACTAACTATGTGGCAGGTGCTTCACAGATGAGGAAATGAAGATTTTCCAAAGTTTAAATAAATAGTTCAAGATCATATAGTCAATAAGGAGTAAAGCCAATGCTCAAACCCAGGCATCCCTGAAACTGAAACTCATGACCTTCATCACCACTGTGTGCATCTCCCCCTTTTTTAGAACCCAAATGCTTATGTCCTATCACTTATGGCACCAGCCACCGGAAGTTTTCTTCAGTCATTATGGTTCTCAACTGGGATGCGGGGAGGGAGCAAGACAAGGAGTAGTTTGAAAACTCTTCCCAGTTGATTCTGATACACACATGTCTCTGCCTCTAAATTCAGCTGCTCTCTTTAAGACATAACTTGGCCAGAGTCATTCTAACATTATTACCCGAGAGGATCTTACTTGAGAATTTTCTGCTATGTGCAGGTTCATGTTTCTGTTTTTTCCTGCATGTCTTCAGAGCAGGTAGAGACATTGAACACAATTATTCCTCTTCCAAATGGGGAAGTGAAGCAAAGAGAATTGAATGATTCAATTTTACTCACCTACCCAGTGGTCACAGAACTGACATCTTCCATGCCTAAGACTAGCCGCCACAAGACATTGTCTTTCTAGCCAATTCAGTTAATAATGTATTTTATATAGAAGGAAAATTTCACTATTGTTTTTTGTTTTGGAGTTTTCCCAGTAAATGGATCATTTTAGTGACATTAGTTTTTTTTTTTTTTTTTCCTTTGAGATAGTCTTAGTTTGTCACCCAGGCTGGAGTGCAGTGGTGTGATCTCCATTCACTGCAAACTTCGCCTCCCTGGTTCAAGTGATTCTGTTGCCTCAGCTTCCCAAATAGCTGGGATTACAGCTTCCTGCCACCACTCCTGGCTAATTTTTGTATTTTTAGTAGAGATGGAGTTTCACCATGTTGGCCAGACTCAAACTCCTGACCTCAAGTGATTCGCCTACCTCGGCCTCCCAAAGTGCTGGGATTACAGGTGTGAGCCATCGTGCCTGGCCTCATTTGGTCTTAATTCACAATTCTTTACAGTCTCAAATGATTTCTTTTGGTCTTTTTTTTTAATTTTGTTTTTTTTCTTTCTTCTTGTTGAATAAGTTCTTCATTATTGCTCAGTATGGTTGCATTGAGCTCATTGTGAAAAATTAGAAACATTCAGATACAGGATTTAATTAAATAAAGACAATAGAGTGCAGTATTATATTGCCATTTAAAAGAATGAGGCAGCTTCATCTATGGAGTGGTATCCACGATACACAGTTAAAATTTAAAAAGCAAAGCACAGAACAATGTGTATGGTGTGCTACCATTTGTATAAATACATACATATATGTTTCTATGCATTGCCTAACTGAGGAAGGACATTTAAGGAACTGGTAATAGTGGTTGTCTCTGGGGAGAAACTGACTGACTCAGAAATTGGAAGACTATCTCTGTTGTCCCTTTTATATAGTGTATCATGTTCATGTATTGCCTATTCATTTTTTTAATAAAGAAGAAAGTAGAGCTATCTTTACTGAGATGGAAAAATACAAAAGACATATTTTAGGTATAAAAAGCAAGGTGCGGAATAGTGTAAATAGTATATGATATTTTTGTAATGTAATTATACATACATACATATATGCATGGATATACACACACATATACACATCTATAAGGAGATGCACCAAATTGTTAACAGTGGTTCCCCCTAGGGAAAAAGAAAGTGTGTGTGTGTGCACGTGTGTGTGTGTGCACGTGCGTGTGCGCACACATACTTTCCGTTTTTTATCCTATGTAGTTCTATATTGTCTGATTTTGTTTTACACAAGGCACATAGCAATTTATAATAAATAACTCATACATCTCAAACCCAAATAATTGCACTTGATTTCTGTACACCTATCAAGAAAATTCTCCAGCATTTCTGTCTAGCTTTATTTTGCTGTTTGCTATATCTCATGGATTCATTTCAGATCTCTTCTTTGACCTTTTCTCTGAAGCTTTGTGAAGTTTCTATTCCTTTATCTTTACTCTCATGCATTCACCTTTATCAATAGGGCCCAGCTAAGGTCATGACCATGGAAATCATGGTAATACTACTGGTAGTTCCTCTCTCAGCCACTTCCCTTTTTAATTAATCAAGAATAATGCAACTAAAATCTTCCTGATTCCTACTTTACACACTTCAACTTGGTTAAATAAAACTCCTGACCTATTTCAGGAAGATTTATTTGCTTTCTGGATGATTCCTATCTACAAATAAGTTGTATTTCCAGTCTCAAAGAACAAAATCCAAGAGAACTTCCTCAACTCCACATCCCCTTCACATACCACACCATTTCTCTGTTTTCCTTTACAGCAATTCCCCTTGACAACGTTGACTTTACTTTTGTAAAGATACTTTCTCCCCTCCCATTCATCCTTAAACCTATTCCTCTCAGGCTTTCAGCCCTAACCGCTGTCTCTGAACTCTTGTGTTGAGGTCATTTATGGTACTTACTTGCTAAATCCAGTGGCCAGTTTTCAGTCTCCATCTTTACCTCCCAACTTGTTGGTCACAGCCAATCACTTTCTCCTTGCAATACTTTTTTTTGGTCTTCTGGACACTTCTCTTTCTTGGATCTTCTTCTGCCTCACAGACTACTCCTGAGTTTCTTCTTTATCCTCTTTCACCTTGAAAAGTGGGGACTGCTCAGTTCTCGAGCCACCTGCCTTCTTTATTCAAACCCATTCTCTCAGTGAGCTCATCTAGCCTTTGGCTTTGAATACCATCTCCATGCTGATGTCTTCCAAGTTTTTTTATGTGCAAACTCCAGCTTGTACCTAAACTATGGACTTGGTGTCTCCTTCTTCTGTTCTTTTTTTTTTTTTTTTTTTCTGAGACAGAGTTTCGCTCTTTGTTGCCCAGGCTAGAGTGCAGTGGCATGATCTTGGCTCACTGCAACTTCTGCCTCCCGGGTTCAAGCAATTCTCCTGTCTCAGCCTCCTGAGTAGCTGGGATTACAGGCATCTGCCTCCACGCCTGGCTAATTTTTGTAATTTTAGTAGAGATGGGGTTTCACCATGTTAGCCAGGCTGGTCTTGAACCTCAGGTGATCTACCCCCCTCGGCCTCCAAAAGTGGACTTGGTGTCTTCTTGACACCACTATTTAGCTTTCTAACAGGCATCTAAACTTAACATGTCCAAAACAAGTGGACCCACCTGCCTGCACTAACCTTTCATATTTGCTAAATGACAACTTAATTGAAGCTCTACTTTGTTCTAACTGCTTTCACTACCTCCACCACTAAAGCCCTGGTCTAAGCCTGATTATCACTCACCTAGATTAGTGCAATAGCCTCTTATCAGCTCCCTTGCTTCCATCTTTTCCCCCTAAAATCTGTTCACTGATGGCAGCCAAAGTGGTTCTTTAAAAAATACAAATCAGTTTATGCCATTGTTTTACTCAAAACCCTCCAATGGCTCCCATCTTACTCAGAGTGACATCCAAAGTCTTCACCATAGCCTTCAAGGCCTACATGCTTCCTGTATTCACTCTACGTCTCTCTGGTCAGCCCCCATTCTCTCCTCCTTGCTGTTTTCATGCCACCTTGATTTCCTTGCTGTTTTTTGAACATACCAGGCATGCTCCTACCTCAGGGCCTTTATACTTGCCATAGGTGTGGAATACTCTTTTCTCAAGTATTCATGTGGCTCAGTTCTCTCCCTTCATTCAGCCCAAATGTTACCTTATCAGAAACCTTCCATGAATATCCTATCTAGAACAGCACTCACCCATTTCACGGTACCCCTTTACCCTGCTTTATTTTTACCATCATCTGACACATTATATATCTACCTATTAGTTGTCTATTATAAATATGAACTGGAATATAAGACCTATAAGAACAGAAATTTTTTGTTTACTACATCTTTAACATTTAGAAGAATGACGGTTACAAAGAAAGTGCTCAAAAAAATGTTCCCTGAATATTGAATAAAGAATGGTGAGAAGTTCACTAAAGCTTCCTTTAGCCTATTCAAATTATATGGAATTGCTCTTAAGACAGTTTATTTCTCCATCTCAATTTTCTCATGTCTTTTAAAAAAATTTGTTCTAACTTTTTATTTTGAAATAATAGTAGACTTACAAGTATTTGCAAAAAGAGTATATAGAAGTTTCTTCTACTCTTCACCCAGCTTCCCCTAAATGTAACATCTTCCCTATCCTTTCTTTTTATTATTTCCTGTTTCCTTTACTTCAGTTTCTTATTTCTTCTGTAAGTCTTTCTACACAGGCTTTCAGGAACTCCTCCATCTCTTATTTCATGGCCAAATCATTGGTGAACTTTATTCAACACCAACATCAAATTTCTTCTCCAAGATGATGGTCCTATCAAGGAAGGGATAGATACTTCAATTAAATATGCTTAATCCTATTTTTCATAATAACAAATAAATCAAAAGAAAAGAAAGGCTGTTTCATCTTTTAAGCTTGTTCTACCGAGAGATACTATCTCTTCTGTAAGTTCTGTATAGCAGTTTGTTTGCTGTGATTTCTACAGACAGGCAATTTGTTGACTCTAATGTGTATTTTCTCTCTTATATTCAACTGTTTAGGAAAAGTTGAATAAAAACAAATATATGATTTCTTTTAAAAAAATTATTTATTCTGCTGAGTCTCTGTCAACACACATTTATTGTGTACCTACTGTGTGCCAAGCTCCATCCTAACGATGGTCTCTTATTCCCCCAAGATAATCTGTGATGAACATCACCTTTAATACATTGTAAGTTCTGAAAGATTGATTGAAAACTCCTTTCTTCCAGGTAAGTAGGTTATTCTCTAAGGAAAGGGCATTCATGTTCAGGTCATAAGGGCATGATTATGCTAATAACTGATCTCCAGGGTTAAAAAAAGAACCCATGTCCCTTCCAATATGCCTGAGATATAAGATAATCTACCATTTGACAAGATAAAGCTCATCAATTTCATCATCAGTAAAAAGAGGGCATAACTGGGATGTCACTAACTGCTACTGTTAAAATGAGCATGTATTAAAATCCTTATGGATGTCCCCTTCATATTCAACATTAATTAGAAACCTGCCCTATCTCAGTGTTCTTCTATAATCAATCCCCCTTTCCAGTATTACTAAGGTAACTGTAAGCCCTGCATGCCTGAACTGTCCTGGTTTACACCTGTTTTTCCAGCATAATTGTTAATTGCAACCCTGTTCACTGTCTGATGAATCTTGGTTTGGACGATAAATTATATGGTCAACCTAAGTATTAGAGTCCCTGGGATAAACAATCAAGGTGTCATTCTTATTTATTGGTATTGGTTTGTCACAAGCTGTGAAAACAGTTTTTCTTTTGCTTGTTTCTTCCTGAGTTGTCACGAAGACCTTCACATAAAATCACTCTCTCCCATTAAAGTAATTATTGAAGCCCCCTTCAGTAATGACCAGTTGTTTTAGTTTTCCTCCTCAGATTCCAAAGACCAAATGTAGAGATTATTTTTACTGGGTCAGGATCAAAATTGTTCAGAGGCACTAGCCTTGTATAGGGAGAATTTCATCTATCTAATCCACAAGAATCTTGAAGAGACATTTTTTCCTTGGTAACATTATCTCGAAGAAAGAGTCTGTGATTGACTACTAATTTTAGCCCAGAGGATAGAAAACTCAAATGTACTCAATTTCAATGTAACATATGTATTTGTGGCCTAAGATACTTAATGTCTCTAAAGTTGCTACAAGGGAATGAGTAATTGAAAGGTGAGTTTGGGTGGCCTTCTTAGACATAATCTCTGTTAAAACTATTTAATCTGTATGGTTCACAAGAAAGGTTTTCTTGAGTTGATGAGTAGAATGATATTTCTGATAAGATATTTCTACAACTATATTCTTGGCTGATGGTAGTAGCAGCACCACCATTTTTTCATTATTTAATTTTGGAAAATTGACCACTATTTTTTTCATCTAAGGCTGTGTCCTTATTGTACTGAAGCACCCAATCAACTCGATGTAAAAAAAGAAAGTCTTTTAAATAATGTGGAATTATGAAGACAAAACAACTAGTGAGGAAACTAAATTGTTTTTATCTAATTATTTTGTAACTCATCTGTGAACTATAGATAATTCTGCTGGTTTTTGCATTCCTGAAACAGTTGCTGTGAGAATAAATAATATACTTAGTAAAACATTATGAATGTTTGAGATAATAGATGCATAATGACTTCATCCTTGTTTGTAGCTTGCTTGAAAAATTAAATTGAATGAAACAGAGTAGCTTCAGTGTGTTTTTCTTCTTCTCCCTCTTTTTCCTCCTCCTCTAGTTAAAATGAAAGTACATTAAAAATTATTATTGGTATACATAGCTTCATTATAAGACACTGACAGATGCTGAAATATCAATGATACTCCTCTAGTGTTAATTTAAACAAATTCCATGCTTTTATTAATACTAAGAAAGTATCAGGAAAACTGGACTCCTAAATCCCTTCTTAACTTAGGGAACTGGGTTGAAAAGCTAAAGGAAATTTCTCCTAATAATTATGTCTTTTCCTATCTTAGGCATCAACTCCACTCCCTTCATCCTACCTCCCCTGCCTCTCCTAGGAGATGTATAAGAAACTCTGGAGAGGCTTCTTTCATATGAATTGAGACAGCTCCATTTCCAGGAGTTTCTGGGCCTGTTTATGAAACACAGCCTGAGAAATTGCCCAAAGAACCCTGCAGTTCTTGAGTGCATAGGGAAGTTCCATGACTTGGAAGTAATGGCATCAGGTGGTTGGAGAGGGTGGAGTGATAGACCAGGCTTCTAGTCTTCCAGGAAACCAATCGTACTGGGATCATCTTAATAGGTCATATATATTATATATTAAAAATATATGCAGCTTTCTTAAAAAACTAAAGGCCTGCCAAAAGAAGGTGAAGATTTCATAAGATAGAAAAATGTATTCCCTGATTAAAAATAATGACCTATTCCTAACTAAGGGACAAGAACTACCCATAATGCACTACATCTTCTTTTGGCAGGGGTACTCTGAGTAGCCTGTGCACGTCTCTGTAATTCTCAAGAGACTTACTCACTGTCTTCCAGCTAACAACATGAAAGGGATTTATTGATGTGCCAAGGCCAAGGCTTAGGTGTCAGAATTGGGAAATCTGTCATATGATTATTTGGTTGAAGAACTCTAGGTTCCGTAAATACTTTTGTTCCATGAGTGGTTCGTGGAAAAATTTAGAGGCTGCCACAGCAACTGTAAGCCTTCTGTATGGGAACTAGGCAGAGGAGAGAGTGGGGGTGGGATATGTGTTCACTGGGGAAAGGTGACATTTTTTAGGATGTATTTTGCTGGAAGGTTTACCCCCTAGCAGGGCCAGCCTTAGGAAATGCTGGGAAGTGGCTCTTTGGCAACATTTACCTATTTTGGAAGTGTTCTTCCTCTCTCCTACTCCTTCTCCCACTCCTCCCCTTTCCCCACTTACTTACCCAACCCAGAGGTGTAATTTTGTAATCTGGTTACCCAGAGTCCCTTCGTTGTGGCCCTTACCTGAGCTGATACGCTGTGGACCTTGTCCACTTCTCATGTTTGCCAAATTTCTTATCAGATTCTACCTGTATCATGCCCTATTCCCATTGGATATTTATTTCTGCCTTCCAAGGGAAAAGGAAGTGATCTGATAATCTAATTAGAATAAGAGCAGAAAAGGTAAAAACGATTTAATACATTGTTCCTCCTAATGCAGGGGTGGAGGGTAGGGGCTTTATACTTCAAGAGTGGCTTCTACAACAGCAGTGTTTTAACTTAAAGTTGTGAATTTTTCAGTGGTGAAATTCCAGGACTTATGTTTCAAATCGGTGGGAGTAATATTTTGGGGGCAAGAACATTTTTAAAACATCCTCAAAATCATGCACGTAGACAACTACCTGTTCTGAGTAAGGAAGGCCCAACTGTGGAGTTTGGGAGAGTCGGAGTATCTGTTTCGCATAGCCAGGTGTCATCGCAGCTGACAGAGGAGGTGCTGTCAAGGAGCAAGACAGCCTGAGAATGTGCCTGACTGCTCCGTCAACAGGAAGACTAGGGACTGTACACACCTTTCTCCTCCCTGGGGGTTGGCGCCATGGGCTGAGGCCAGGAGTGCCTGGGTGAGGGTGCATAGTGTATATATATATAGTGTATATGCACCTTCACCCAGGCACTCCTGGCCTCAGCCCGTGGTTTGACTACAGCTTATTCCTAAAAGATCAGAAAGGCAAATGATTCAGAAGTATGTGCAGCTGATTCATACTTGTAATATGTAATCTCACAATCCATGCCTGTTTTAAGTGTTGATGTGTTGCTGATGCAGTCTGCACTCTGCTCTCCAACTGTCTCTTAGAAAACAGCAACAATGCTTTATTTCTGATTACATAATGACTCAAGCCAAAGAACTTTTAAAAAATGCCCCAGCAGTTTTGATTTGACACTGTTTATGTTTCATTTTTGTTCTACTAATCCAATATTTTTTGAATATCTTCATAGCCTAGCCAGAACATATTCATTGAGTTATTGACTAGACAGGACTCTGATTTAACCTTAAACTCTTAGGAAAACTTCCCATGTGACTTACAGGATTTCTAGTGAGAATCAAGAGCACCATTGTTGATTCTTAATAATTATGTGGTTTTTGTATGTAAATGTGTGTCTTTCACATGCATAAATGCACACAGGGCATAAAATTTCCAGTGCCATCTAAGCATACACATGTGCACACATGCACATACACACACCCACTGCACAAATCTCTGGTCTTCATTTACTAATTGTTCTCTCATTTGAGCTAACTACTCTACTGCTCCTATAACTACTAAATAATAATTAATATGGAAAGATGCTTAAACAAAACAACCTAGAGTCATAATTGTTAAGTTTTAAGGAAGAATGGCATTGCTACTAGACACATGCAACTAAGCAAGGATTTTTGTAGGAAAGTGATGAGGTTACAGAACTGTTATAATCAGCATCTGCTTTATTGGCAAAAAGCATAAATAGATAGTTTAATCATCTTTTTAAATGGTCATATTGATTAAAACATCAAGAAATGCCATTCAGAAGGGTTTTTTTCCCCATTCAGAGTTGCAATGCAGATCTGTGTGTGAGCCCACACCATATTTGCTGTTTGTTTTCATGAAAATCACAATGCTAATACTGTTAGGGGATTATTACAGTGGTGAGCAATGCTGCAATGAGGCTAAATTCATAGAGTTCTCAATAAACCTGAGCAGGGGAAAATATATATGAGAAATAAAATATAAATATGAGAAATAAACAAAATAATTATAAATTAGGGTCAAGGCTGTTCTTTTCTGGGGAGGAAGCTATTAGTTATCATTATCGCACTACATTAAAGAAATTCTCACATCATGCAAGATTTCTAGATAATAATTGTTATAATTTTTGAGTAGCTAGTCTGTTCCAAGTACCATGCTTAGCACGTTATTTGCTTGGTTCTCATTTGGGCCTCATATTTAATCTATAGGTAGAAACTATTATCATGTCCATTTTCTATATATGGACATGATACCTAAAACCAATACCTAGAACATGTGAATTCAAAGTTGTCCCCAAACAGATCTAAGTGACTTATTTGGGAGCTGTGTTAGGATATGCAGACAGGGCGATATTTTTTTCTCTTAAACTGACTATTGATATGGGCTATCGTGTCATGATGTTTCAATGCATGGTCACACAAGCAACACATATTTTAGTTTTTGTCACATTTCAGTTTTCCCCCCTTTTCTATTACCTTTGTATCTCTGATGGACAAATCTAGCTCACTTTGAAGTTGGTTGCTATGGAATGTCTTCTCCAGTAAAATTTCAGGGTAGTTTATATTTCCCAGGAAGTCATCTTTAGACCTTTCAAAGGGATATTAACTTTTAAAAACACAAACACAGATAAAGTCCTAAATTTACCATGAGAGAATGTTACATCTCCCAGTGCCATCTTCCCAGTTACTCCATATGCCAATTTTAGGCTAATGCCATTTTAGGCACAACCCCGCCCTGTTCCTTTTCTGTCTTTCTTGGGCCTTGGGGTCTTTATAGCTTTTGCATCTCTTTGCCTGCCTCTGAGATCAAGCTTCCTGACACCGTACCTCTGTGTTGCTTGGAGAGGCAGATTAAAATATACAATCTCCAGACGGGAATGATTTAGCAAAATTAAACACAGACAGAGGGCAGAGAAGGCGAGAGGTGTCAAATGTTTCTTCTACCCCACTATCAGTTTGATGTGGTGGCCTTGTTCCTACCTAGTCCCCATTCATGCTGTCCACTACCCAAAGTTAAAA
Organism: Homo sapiens; assembly: GCF_000001405.40. Lineage (NCBI taxonomy): Eukaryota > Metazoa > Chordata > Mammalia > Primates > Hominidae > Homo > Homo sapiens. Next base: position 96,951,089 of record NC_000007.14, on the reverse strand, counting down.
TGTCTTAAATGTTAACAGAATACACATGGATAGAGATATGTATAGGCTTCCTTCTCCCTCCTAACTCAATGCATGGAGTTTTAATTGTGGTTTATTTCAACTTAATTTTGCTTTGCCCTTAGGATGAAGAAGATTTATTTCAATAAGTCTCAAGAGGTATTATGCAATATGTAAGTACTTGCAAGAATCTGCTTAGCCACCTCCAAAAAAAATTATTCCTTTTGATAGATCATTTGCTTTCAGAGTGAACTTCCTTCCCTTTTCCAAACACAAACATGATCATATCGGCGAGTTGATACCAAAGTTGCTGAATTTATAATGCACACACTTATTTATTATTAAAGCCAATGTGTAAATAAAATCTCCGCTTGGTTGGAAACAAATTTAATAGGAAACATGTGAAAGAGCTATGCACAGGAAAGCAATATCATGTAATATCTCCTTTTCTTAGTCCCTGCCTGAAACAAGATATGGAATACACAGCTCAATAGTGCTGGGAGGTTTTATTACAAATGGAGAATTTCTCAATTATCCTAGATCTCAGACTCAGCGTGGTTCAACATGACCCATTAAGCCATCATTTAAGTCCAAGGTGATGACTGACATTGGGAGGGGACGGCTGTCACTGAATACAGAAATGGTTATAAAGATGCCCATGAGGACCACCATTTATTTTCTTCTTATTATTGCTCCACTGTTTTCAGATCATTTAAAAATCCATACTGAGCAAAAAGCTACTATTGGTTAGGCTGTACCTAATCTCTAGCATGCCTCCTGAACACGGCCATAGTATGCCCTTATAACTGTTTTAGGCTGTGCCCAACTTTCAAAGTGGTTTTGAGCACAATTTCTGAGCTCTAGTGGGGATGAAAGTCCTCGTACCCTCCTCTTGTTTCTTGCTAGTGCCTTGCATGGCTTTCTGCAAAATACAACTCATGGATTTCTGCAGCACAAAAAAAGATAAGATGTTCGGTATCTTTCATTTTCTGCAAATAGTCTGTATTTACAATACTACTCCAGTGGTTTCTGACTACCGCTTAGGGCAATTTTGCTTAGCCTAGCGGAATGTCCTGGAAACTACTGGCAATGATTTAGCCTCCAAAATTGGAACGCATTTAGTAGAGACAGAAAGCCTATGAACAAATAGTGGGCATGTGCCAGAGTAAATAAGTGTGGTTCATGAGCTGCGGTCAGAAATGTCTCTCTTTCAGTATGCAGGGCAGAGCTGTTGCTAGCATTTGCCATAAAGTCATCACACAAAGCAGTTTTTCCTCTCAGTAAGACAGACTCAATGAAAAAGACCTAGTCTCACAATCTACTATTGGGCCCATAGTCATAGGCCAAAGGATACCTGAGCCGAGGGGTCATTTTCTCCCGTTATCCTTTCTTAACCAGCCTGCCAAGCTTCTATGAAAAAAGAAGAAAACCCATGAGGGAGTAGGAGGAGGCTGGATAGGTTAGAAAAGGAAAGATTCTTTGTAACACTCAAAGCTCCTCCCAGGATCTCATAACAAACCACAGAGTCAGTTTGCTTCCTCTCTTTTCCAAACCCAAACTTTGGCCCTTACTGTCTAGTTCCTTCGAAGCACTTGGTGAGGCTATCATTACTTGGTGAAGTATTAAGAGAACATTAAGATGCTTTGCTGCCACCTTTCTCCACAGAGTTCTGTCATAGGTTTAGAGACTGAAGGAGGCAGACGTATATGGTTTCCACTTTAGGCTATTTGCATTTTCCTTTAGAACTTAACTCCTTGACCACACGTTACGGAAGGATTTAGTTCATTTGGATTGGAATAGCATGATTTCTGGTGCGTGTGCATGCTTGCCCTCTGAGCTTAGAGTCTGGTTTCATGTAGTTTTCTATTCCTGTGTAGATGTGCAGTCTTAGCAACCACTGAAATTCAAGAAGGAATCATTAAAAACAAAACAAAACAAAACTGAAGAAACCATCAATCCATACCTAGTATGGCATTCATTGTGGGGATATTGTCATAGGGGCATGTATAGTTCGCCTTTAAAGAAACACATAGCAAGAGATGTCATTTTCCAAAACCTTCTTATGATTACCATTGTCATCTTACCATAAAATAGTAAAATATGGATAAATGTTTCAGAAACATCTCAGATATGACAACTTTAGGAATAAAAGAAATAAATACCAAATATTATTTCTGTATTAGGTAACCAATTTTCTAATTCATTCCCATAATTATGGATCCCACAGTTAAATGTAACCAACATTCATTAGACATCCACTCTATGCCAGGCATTATGCTAGGTACTAAGAATACAGAGATGAAAGACAGAAAAAAAATATCAAACTGTTGGCAACTGTCAGTTTTGAATGGTAGGATTTAAGAATTTGCACTCTGGTCAATTTAGAAACTTAAATAAAATGTTTTTTTTTCAATAAGAAAGAAAAAAAGTCCCTCATTTCAAGGAGCTTGAAGTTGATGGATATGAAGGTGAGTGACCCAGTAACTTAAATACAGTATGATAAGCAGCACAATAGAAGGATGATAGAGGTGGCAAAGTTTCCTTAGGACGCCAGTGCTAAGTTGGATATAAAGCTCACATTCTACCATAGAGAAATGAGAACTGGCTTAAGAGATAGAAAAGTGGAGCTGGGTTTAGACTCTTTTTTGCTTATCCATGTGATCACAAACAAATTGCTTAAACCGCTCTAACTCATAGTTTCTTCTCCTATCAAATGGGATAATAATCTCTGTCTTGATTAGTTACAGGGTTGTTGGAGGATTAAATGTGAAGATATATATGAAAGAGCACAAAGACCTGTGCACATAATATAAATGTAAGATGATATTTTTATTATTATTGGTCTCAAAGCCTTACTTGCTGGACCAACCTACATTGCCAATAACAGTTTATCATTATCTAACTGACTACTGAATGTAATGTTTCACTTTCCTTTCATCTGCAGATCTCCAAACTCTTCTCTCAAAGTCACATAATCAAGGGCCCTGAGATCTTAAAAGGCAAAATAACTAGGCTCATATCATTAAATAAGCCCATCCCTCAGCTAGTAGAATCAATAGGCTTTTGCTACTTCAAATGAAGTTGGGAGGCAGAACGGCCTAATGGGATGAGCAGGGGCTATAAATCAGATGAATCTGTGGGCTATTAAAATTTCTGCATCTCAATTTCCTCCCAACACAAAGTATGATAATAATATCTGTCTCAAGTTTTTGTGAGGATTAAATGAGATAAGTAGATGCAATGTTTGGAACAATGTAGCCACTCAATAAATGTTGCCTTTTCTCTAGGCACCAGTGACATCGATCTATATGATCCCAAATTCTATTTTATAGTGCCTGTCTTCTTCTTTTGTGAATTGATGCTAAGAAGCATAATAATCAGGGTCAATATTCCAATATGATAACTGAAGTGACAATGAACAGAAAAGGAATAATCTAAAAAGGAAAGAGAAAGAAAATGTATACTCACTACATTAGACTTGGGTGATCTAGGAGTTCTGGGTTGGTCTGAGTGCTCAATGCATGGTGGAGTAAGTGTGAACACCCAGGAGCTAACTAGGAATGGCTTAAACTGAAAACTGGATGTTCTAATCTCGTTTTGCTTATTTTTCTGATTCCCAACTCATTTTGCTCAAATTTCACCTTAAAAAAGGCAAGCACTTTTCCTTTCCAGTTTCCTGGATCCTTTAATTTTACTTGGACTTCTGTCCTTTTGTGCTGGGTCCAGCAGATGCAATAATAATTTTGTCGGCCAAGCTTCTGCAAGGAGCCCTGCAATCATAGAGTTTCTTCACCTGCTTTCTTCCTGTCAGTCACAAAAGAACAGGATGACATGTATTCAAAATTCACAGGCAAAAAAACAAAACAAAACAAAACAATTACTGGAAGGACAAAAAGGTTTCATGGTGTATGTGTCATTTTTATCCCAGGTTCTGAAAAATGCTGCTACACTGTCATTGCCGTATTTCCCCCTCAACCCCCTAGAATCATCATCCACAGCTATGGATGAAGGCCTAATTTAAGGATGCAGAAATGAAAAATATCCAATTCTCTTCAAAACAGCTTAAATTTTTGATCTTTCTCAATTTGGTGATTTTTGCCAGTAGAAACACTTTCTGCCACTGATTCTTTTCTAAGAATTTCACTCTGGATTACAGACTAGCAAAGAGTTTTAAGATCTGATGAAATACGGCAGAACCAAAACCTAACTGTCACCATTTTGATAATCTCAGCCATATTCTATGATCACTTTAAAAATTTTTTTGATGGGTCTTTACTTCTATCAAAGTCTCTCAAAGGTATGGGATTGGGGAGGAAGAAGGTGGTACAGAACCTAGTGAACCCAGGTTGTACAAACTGGAACCAACTAAAAAAACAGGCTACTGGTCTGGTCAAACCTGAGAAAGCAAATGAGGTCATTTTGGTGGAGGACAATTCAAACACATATGCATACACACACATGCAAGCACAAGCCTGCAGAGGAGGTTTCTTTACCTGGATTATCTCCTCTATCTCTCCTGTCCTTGCCTGACCATGCATACTTCCAGTATTGAACATATATTACTATTTATTTTGGTGAAAAACTATTAGGCTATTTCAAAGGCATGAGAAAAACACAACCAAGAAATGGTGTAAATCAAACTGATCCACCTTTCTGACTTGTGATGTGGTAAGAGGTGGTAAGGGTGTCTGGACATTGTCAGTGCATTGCAACCCATATTCCAAAGTGACTTTGTTATATGAAAGGAGTTTAATTTTTTTCCTTTTTGTAACCTTGTGAAATTTCCACATTAAAAAGCAATCACATCTTTCAAACTGGAAATGATTGTGTTTGGCACCACAGTCTCTGGTGTAATGGGTTGAGCTTGTTTTCGCTAGAGTGAAATCAGCTTTCAAAATAAATCATCTGTAACAACATTCTACTCCCCAAATCATATAATCCTATTAACCAAGTTTCATTTTTTTTTTCATTGTCACTGAGCTGACAAGATTGGCCAAGTTTCAATGTGGAAACAGAAAGCTTTGGAGGTCCTGGCCAAGGCAAGGAGAGCTACCCAGCTCCAGTCTTGCCAGACCTTGATGAGCCCTTAAATGGACTCATCTGTGCTTCATCTCCACCTAACGGGCTTTGTGGGGAACAGGGTCATCCAATCACTTAACAATTCAAGCCACCCAACAAATAGTCCAGTGGGGACAATCGAAGGACAGTGGGTTACCATGGTCATTCCAGTGAATAAGACCTTTATCAAAAGTACATAACAGTGCCAGTGTGCTGAATGAGAATGCATCCCAAGTGGCTGCGGGGAGAATCTTTGCCAGAAGTGTAAATTATGTGGCAATATCTAAAAGAGCACCTTATAATTTCAGATTTCTCAGGAAAGCATATTTTTCTTTGGGGGTAAAAAGAAGAAAATGAAACATCTTATAATAACCAAGTAGATTTGTTTTCTTCTGCCAGCAGGAAGAAAGCGCTCCTAGAAAATGTTTAGGGTGTTTCCAGCCAAAACTTACTGTTCAGCTTGGTCTTTGTCCTTTCCAAATTGTATGAGCCACTCTTTGCATTTGAGATGATCAGTGAGGCAACTGGCCATCTGTGAGCATCATAATGGTCTTATTAAAGTAACCCAGCTAAAGTGGTTAGAAGCAAATATCAATTTATAATTTTCCATAAGTGACAGGTCACAACTTTTGTTAGCCATAACCAGATTCTGTCTTAGGCTGAAATTCGCAAACCTACGTCTTCTCCCTGGAGAGTACTCCTTCCAGTAAGTCCTTGGGGCAGCTTTTCCCACGAGCCAGTATCTTCTGGCATAATATTTACATCTAGGCCTCAGGGTAACTCAATTCTTCAGAGTCAACACAAACTTGGGGTTGGTCTGATTCTGTCCTTTGGAAAGCTTCCCCCAGACCAGAGTTTTGTGTCAGATTCTTTGGTTTTCAGCTTTTCTTACTCGACTGGCAAGCAGTTAACTCTGACTTTAGAATCAGTCCTGGGTTTGAATTCTGTCCCTGCTACTCACTGGCCTAATAAACTTGGCCAAGATATTTAACCTCATTAAGATTCAGTTTCTCAAACTATTGAAAGGATATAATAATATGCCCTGCTTAAGGCCGGGTGTGGTGGCTCATACCTGTAATCCCAGCACTTTGGCAGTCCAAGGAGGGAGGATTGCTTGAGGCCAGGGAGTTCAGGACCAGGCCTGGGCAACATAGTGAGACCTTGTCTTTAAGAAAAAAATTTAGCTGAGCGTAGTGGCACATGTCTGCAGTCCTAGCTAGTTGGAAGGCTGAGGCAGGAGGATAGTTTGTACCCAGGAGGTACAGTGGAGCTATGATCACACCACTGCACTCCAGCCTGGGTGATAGAGACTCTATCTCTAATAATTAATAATAATAATATACCTGGCTTAAAGAATTACTGTGAGGATCAAATAATAATTGGAAATTATGGAAATTAGCAGTTATCCTCCCCCCTCAGAATAATTATGGGACCATTGTGCATAAAATTAAGTGCATAAGAACAACACCAAATAGTAGGAATAAATGATTTTGTCGTCTCAAGCCTTTGAAAGCATTTCTGTTGAACTTTATTATAATAAAAAGAATAATTAGATACAAATGGACGGTTCTAGATGTTCACCATTTGTCTCCCTTTAATTGCCTAGAAAGAGAGTGGCTTCCTTACATTACAGATTAAATAGTATTTAAGAGTAGATTCATTCCCTAAACCTCAAGAAAAGCAGCAATTTTCTGTGGGAAGTTACTTTTGAGTCTGAACCAGTTTTAGATACACTGGCAAGGATCATAGAGCTTGAAAGAATGATAACTGGCTTTTGTAAGGTATCTATTTAAAGATTTATGGTCATTATTCAAACCAGTGAAAATAGAAGTTACATTAAAGGAAGAAGGATAGTTATCTTTCAGTGAAAAATTTAGTAGTTATGCTAAAATGAATCAAGGCTTTTCCCCCCACTCTAAGTAAGGCACCAACGATAGGAAAATAGCCATATAATATATGAAGAATTTAATTCTTAAAGCATTAAGTACTATCTTCCTATGAGAGAAACTTGTGTATATAATTTTATCAGAATATCAGACAATTATTCTTAAGGGTATGGTTATGACATTCTTTCTGTGATCATTTATAAAGTTATTCTTATTTTCATTCTTTCCCAATGATTGATCAGGAAATATTCATCCTTATTGATATACTGTCTAGATCTAAAATGTATTTTTGGTTTTAAAATGTATTCTGTGTTCAGTTGGACATAAGAGCAAACAAATGTTTATCTTGATTTAAAAATAGTTAATTATATGTAAAAAATAGGATATATATATGTGTGTATATATACATATGTCAAAATAGCTGAGGATATCTATATCTATATCTATCTATCTATCTATCTATCTATCTATCTATCTATCTATCTATCTGTCTATCTATCTATCTATCTATATATTTTTTGAGATGGATTCTGGCTCTGTCACCCAGGCTGCAGTGCAGTGGAGCAATCTTGGCTCACTGCAACCTCTGCCTCCTGGGTTTCTCCTGTGATTCTCCTGTCTCAGCCTCCCGAGTAGCTGGGATTGCAGGAATCCACCACCATGCCCGGCTAATTTTTTTATTTTTAGTAGAGACGGGGTTTCACCATGTTGGCCAGGCTGGTCTCGAACTCCTGACCTCGAGTGATCTGCCTGGCTCAGACTTCCAAAGTGCTGGGATTACAGGTGTGAGGTACCGTGCCTGGCCCAAATTGGATACTGACAAATCATTTCTTATGACAAGTTGAGAAGCCACATTAATGGCATATATATTCATAATATAAATATATGTGTTGGGCAGGAAGTTAATTCAAAGCAGTTGTCAAAATATCTGAGGAAATTACATTGGCTATTTATTTATATTTTGTTTATTTAACAATATTTATTGCTTATTACAAACATTGTTAATGTTTATGGGGCATATTTTACATACAATAAGCTTCTTCCATTTTAAGTGTACGATTCAGTATTTTAAAAGTAAGTTGATAGAGTTATGCAGCCATCATCACAACTGAATTTCATCCTGGATTGATGAAATATTGCTCCGGAGTTTAAGGTTGCTTAGACAGATCCTCAAGGATGTGCAGCCAAAATGAAAGCGTCCTCAAACAAGTTCATCATGCCCAGGTGGCATTACTAACTTTTGGCAGACAGTGGCAAAATCATGTGTTTACTATACATCTGCCTTCATGACTAGCCTCTGAGCTCTCTAGCAGGGAGAATGGCACACACCAATGATTTAGCAGATTTTCCTATAATATCAAAATCTGATATTTACCATCTGTGGATGGCAAATCTGGTACCAATACCAGTTCAAGTGCTTGGTTCCTCAGGCTATCTTTTGATTTACATTTCATGTTACAGCGCTAACATATCTCATATTAGAAGTGTTTATTTTATTTTATTTTATTCTATTCTAGTTTTTAGAGAGGGTCTTGCTCTGTCACCCAGGCTGGAGTGCAGTGCGTAATCATGGCTCACTGCTGCCTCAACCTCCTGGGCTCAAGCCATCCTTCCACCTCAGACTCCTGAGTAGTTAGGACTACAGGCGCAAGCTACCATGCCCAGATATTTTATTTTTTATTTTTTTGTAGAGATGGGGTTCTCCTGGGCTCAAGCAAACTTCCCACTTAGGCCTTCCAAAGTGTTAGGATTGCAGGTGTGAGAGCCTGGCCTAGAAGTGTGTTTGGTAAGTGTGTGAAATAGGTATAAAATTCCCACAACTTTGGGCTGCTGACTTAGCATTTTTCAGCAGCAGGTGCTTTCACCAGTAAACACGAAGGCAGTGATCTGAGAAGATGAGCACGGAACATTTCTGAATCCCAGGGCAGTGGCAATCTGTCAGTGCACTTGCTTCTCTGGAGCTGCTTCTGTCTAAGACTTACCCTGGAGCGCCACTGTTGTCTCAGTCAGTATCTCCACAGAGCAAGGGATATTTTGTAAATATCATACAAAAGTAGTAGTTGAAAATTGCTACTCCCAGGAAATAATCATTGTGCTTCCAAACAACCAGATGTTAAATACAGCATAGCAGTCACTGAAAGTGGCACGCTTCGCTCTGACAACAATAGCATTCAACTGGGGACAGATCTTCTGACCTTCTCTTTCAGGCTGCCAAAACGATTAATTGAAAAGTAAAAATGCAATCAATCAATTCACTCCTTTGATACATGATGGATTCTTCTTCCTCCCTACCCTATAAAACCAAACTCATTTAAACGGCTTTCCTTTTACAGTATTGGAAACCATTTTGGCAGTTTGTAGAGAGAGCTTCAGCGAAAATTTAAATCGGATGATGCACAGTAGTCCTCAGTGAAGCACAGCTGTAACGAGTCCAGGTATTCTCTTCACACAATGTCTGACAGATTTCCCAAACAAAGTAAAAAAGGCTGTTGGCAAAGAATCTCACCTGTCTGGGTCTTTTTTCAGAAGAGCGTCTTGGAAAAGGGGATGTGTTTGCAGTCTGTTGAAAAGAGGGACAAACGCTCCATGAAACACTAAATCATCTGGTCCCCTTCAGAATATTAAATCTTAACTTCTATAGACAAAAGACAGAACCTATACTCAGAGTTTATAAAGTTAATTTGACTCTGAGCTGGAGTAAGCAAGGATATTACCCCATTAACCTTGGGCAGACAAGCCGGCTTGTATCATGGTCTGGAATCTTGCCCTTACAATCCACAATTGCTGTGTATTACATGATCACTTGCCTGCTAACAATTCCTCCCAAGTGGTAGGATGGCTTTTTTTTTTCTGCTCATAATAATACCCCATTTTCCCTGGGGGCACAGGTGTTATTCAAAGAAGGCTGTACTATAAGATTTTTGTTCCAAAGTTTTCCTGGCCAAATGGCTACCACTTACTACATCACCTCTATATCCCTACTAATGTTTTCTGGCCCAAGCAGGAATACGTAAAGGAAAACTAGAAGGAGACATTGGGCTTCTAACACTGTAGTAGAGTGGGCAAATCAAAGGCTAAAAGTCATGTAAATAAGGTTTTTCATTTATGAGAATGATAAGAATTTTGGTCAACTCAAGATGGAATCCTCTTAATTTGGGCATCTAAAATTTCTGCATCACAAAAAAAGCCTGTGGTGTTATGCTGGCTGGCTAGGTTGAAACAGAACAATAAATAGTTGAGGTGAACTCATAAACCTTAGAAACTTAGATTATATTTGCAGCATAGATGGTGAAACATGGAATATTTCTTTTTAGTTCCTATTGCATAACAGTCTATGACACAAAGATGGAGTTTGGAATGCATTTAGATATCTAATACAGCTGTATTGTATATATTGTGTGTTTTTTTAAATTAGGCTGTGGCTGTGTGAAAACAAGGACTGTATCTTGGGCATTTTCAAATCTCCAGCTTCTAGCCCAGGTGCTCAGTAGGTATTTTGTGAATGAATGAATGAATGAATCATAGTATTGTGAAGAGATTGTAGACATGGGAGGGATGCATCTTGAATAACATGGTGTTAAACTTAACCAAAGTTCCAGTGGTGGGCATTTCCTTCAGTCCAGATCATCAGGTGAAAAATAATTCACCCACCAATTCTGGCTAACTTAAGCCTTCAGACAGCCATCATGTGTTTGTCTTCCTTTAAGGGACCTGGATCATATATAATGTAAGGTCACCCTTAACAGATATTAATGTAAAATCAAATTAGTTAAAATTATTTTCATCTGGGTGTGGTGGCACATGCCTGCAGCCCCAGCCACTCTGGAGGCTGAGGCGGGAGTGTTGTTTGAGCCCAGGAATTCTGGGCTGTACTGCACTATGCCAATAGGGTATCCACACTAAGTATGGCATCAGTATGATGACTTCCCTGGAACAGAGGACTATAAGTTTCCTAAAGAGGGGTGAAGCAGCCCAGGATGGAAACAGAGCAGGTCAAAACTCCCATGCTAATCAAATGTGGAATTATGCCTGTGAATAGCCACTGCACTCAGTCTGGGTGACATAGTGAGACCCCATATCTTAAATAAAAAGTAAAGAAAAAAAGTATGTTCAGAAATATATTTCTCATTTTCACAATCAGCACTGAAAGCTGGAAACCCTATCAGTGGTACCTCCTTTTCGGTGAGTCTTTTAAATATATCGGTGACTGAATTTCCTGTCCATCTCAGACTAACACCCATAACAGTACTTGTTAGGTGCCACCACCTTTAACAGAAAGATCACATCAATTTATGTATGTCCAGCTAACAATAAAACCAGAGGTTCACATTTCTATAAGAGAAATTATTTGTGAGTAATTAGTTAATGACTCTTCTTAGTTATTAAGGCATCTTTTAAGGAGAAGTGAAGTTATTTTACCTGATTAATATACTAGATAATACTACTCACTCTCACTTGTTTATATTATCGTAGTGATTTGAGATTATTGGATTCTAGAGAACTTTACATTTTATATAACCTGACTTCTACTGGATTTGTGTTTAATGGGTACACATTGTACTTATCCTGTACTTAATTTATACTTAATTTCCTATACTGATTGTACTTATTCTGTACTTAATTTATTGTATTTCTTACCCAAAGGAACTCAGAATGGCATGTCAGATATTTTATTAATCCTCATTACATTTCAATAAAGTGGCAAACATTGCGATGTTAATTATGGCTTTAGGTACTGAAGGCAAAAAGAAGTTAGATTATTTGTCATAGGTCAGTCAGGTCAGGTATTCATTCATTCAACACTCAAAAACCATTTCTGATATATGCCCAGTACACATCAGAGTAGGAAAAAGTAGAAAAAGAAAACAGAACAGAAAACATGCTTCAAGTTCCTGGGCCCTCTTTCTCTAGCAATATTCATGTGATGAATATTTATAACTTTACTAGTTAGGATAATGCTAGTTGTATTAGTGAGGGCAATGCTAACTGTTCTAAGTAGGTACTAAAATGCATAAGGCCTTACACACAATATAAGTTTCTTTTTTTTTTTTTTTGAGATGGAGTCTCTCTCTGTCACCAGGCTGGAGTGCAGTGGTGCGATCTCAGCTCACTGCAACGTCTGCCTCCCGGTTTCAAGCGATTCTCCTGCTTCAGCGTCCCAAGTAGCTGGGACTACAGGTGCGTGCCACCACACCCAGCTAATTTTTTGTATTTTTAGTAGAGACGGGGTTTCACCGTGTTAGCCGGGATGGTCTTGATCTCCTGACCTCGTGATCCGCCTGCCTCGGCCTCCCAAAGTGTTAGGATTACTGGCGTGAGCCACCACGCCCGGCCCATGTTTATTTCTTACCTGTAAAATGTCTTGAGTCATTTAAGGGGGCGTGGGAAGGAGGGGATGTACCAGTCATTCAGGGATGCAGGCTGGTGGAGGCTCTGCAGTCTTCAGCATTTAGCTTCCAAGGTCACTATGATTATCTCTGTTTGGTGGCTGGAGGAAGATAGAGTAGTGGAGAAAGTTTGGGAAGCTCTATGAGCTGAGTCTGGATGTGGCACCCATCACTTCTCCTATCCCATTGGCTAGAACTCAGGCTTACAGCATTGCTAAGGTGCAGGGGGGCTTAGAAAATTACAGTCCTGGCTGAACAACTTACTTTACCCAACTTTGTGCCATAAACAGGAAACAGTTTTGGCAACTGTTAACTGTCACTGCCTGATAGCCTAAGTCGTAGTTAGGCTTCTCTGATCTTATCCTTTAGAGGTTTTAACTTGTCCTGTCCTCTCGTACTGAGGTCATCAAGGCAATGATTTGATGTCAGAGAAACCTGGGCTCTGTTGAACAACAGTAGCCACACTGAGTGTCACGGTATGCATGTGTTTGCTCCTTGATCAATTTCTGTTGTTTAAGTCTGACTTTTCTTAGGCCTTTAGCTGATGCTAATTTAATGCCTAGGTCTATGTAACTGGGATTCAAACTCACTCCAGTGATTCTGCGGAATTCCTAGGGCATTGCCACCAACTCCACACTGGCTTGTATCCCTGTCTGTGTTGTGCTGGTGGGCCCAGTGGTGTTTGTTGTACATTGTTTAAAATCTTTTATAAAATAGCTGTCTCTTCTGTAATGCATAATCATCTTCTACTGTTTGCTGTTTATTGTTGGAAAGTCTCCTGGGAGCTGGAAAATAATAGTTCTTCATTTTGAAAAATAATTTTTTTTCTACTTTGAGCTCTGTTTCTTCTTCTTTCATATTATATCTTCTGAGGGCTGGAAGTTACCTTGAATGTGCCTAAAGCATCTGCTTTGATGATACCAATGAGCCAAAAAGGAGTTTTGCCAGGATGTTGAGTGGCTAGATAAATATGTTACGGAAGAAAAACTCACCGCTGTGGAAGATGTCAATAACAATGGCTAATAAATTGAATGTGTGTCAATTTGAATGGGACACAAAGTGCCCAGATTAAACATTATTTCTGAATATGTCCATGAGGGTGTTCCTGGATAAGATTAGTATTTGAATCAGTGGACTCAGTATAGTAGATTGCCCTCACCCATGTAGGTGGACATCATCCAATGGACTGAGGATTGGAATAGAACAAAAAATGGAAAAAAGAGGAATGTGCTCCTTTCCACCCTGCCTTACTGTTTGAGCTGCTCCTCCGCTTGAACTGAGACTTATACCACAGGCTCCCCCAGCTCCCAGGCCTTCAGATTCGGACTGAATTACACCACAAACACCACCACCTGCTTTCTTGGGTCTCCAACTTGCAGACGGCAGATAGGACTTCCTAGCCTCCATAGTCATGTGAGCCAATTCCGCATAATAAATATTTCTGTCTCCCTCTCTCTTTACATACATCTTATTGGTTCTGTTTCTCTGAAGATCCATGACTAATACACCAGACAAGATGCTGAGCTTTCTATAGACATAATTTCATTTAATTTCCATAACCTTTGGAGGTTGATATGTTATTCCTATTTTATACATATTGAACCTGAGGTAGAGCAGGGTTGAGTAACTTGTCTAGACTGCAGCAGAAATAAGTGGCAGTGCTGTGAATGAAACCAGTATTTGTTTAACTCCAGGTGTGTATTTGCCATCATTTCAGTGTCCTGGCAATGGATTTACATCCTCAAAGTTTCTATTTTCCATAGGCTGTCCATATATACCTTCTACATATCCCATTAGTGCTCTGGGCAAATAAATGGTGCACTAAATAAAAATAGATATTTCAAGACATTTTTCTTGATTGTCTTGTTCCTCCCATTAAATTATATGCACTGGGGAAGGAGCAGGCTTCTTAGAATCCAGAGTATGTTTCTCACCAGATGAACCACGATTTGCAGCTTCAACTGCAGTACTTGACAGCATTGCTTAATAAAAAGATTCAAATCCACCTACAACTTTATACTCAAGAACAGATTATGCCAACCTTTAAAGGCAAATAGTATGAGAAAAATGATAAGGTAACCATTCCCTGGTGTATATTGATCAAATGTGAGCATTATGGTTTCATTACGTGTGTTAACTTAGATTGGGATTAACTCAAGTTAGGTTTAATTTGGTACCACTGACAAAAAAAATCCAGGAATATGAATGGGAAGAATAAATGACACACACCAGCCACAATTTTAAGCCTTGACATACCTTAAAGATATTTTAACTTATTTTAATTTACATAATATAGTATCCATCTGGAATCAGAGGGCTCTGACACTGTGTGTGACTCTCGGAAAGTTGTCATCCTTTCTAAGCCTCAGTTTACTCATATTTAAAATGCGAATAATAATAGTGTCTACCTCATAGGGTTGTTGTGAAGATTAAATGAGATAATGTAAACGAAGCACTTGGGGATCAGCAAGCAATAGTAAGCACTTATCAGTCTGCTTGGGCTATCATAATAACAGAATATCACAGACTGGGTGGCTTAAATAACAGAATGTAATTTTATCACCATTCTGGAGACTAGAAGTCCAAGATCAAGGTGCTGTTGGGGTGGGTTTCTGGCAAGGCTTCTCCTCCTGGCTTGAAGATGGCTGTCTTCTTGTTGTGTTCTCACATGGCCTTTCCTCTCTGTGTGCCTGGAGAGAGAGCGAGCTCTCCAGTATCTCTTCTTCTTCTTATAAGGACACCAGTCCCATTGGATAAAGGCTCTACCCTTATGACCTCTCTTAACCTTTATTACCTTCTTACAGACCCTCTCTCCAAATACAGTCACATTTGGGTTTAGGGCTTCAACATATGAATTTGAGGGAGGAGGGGGACAAAATTTAGAAGATAATGATGCTCAAAAACAGTAAATTTAAAAGTTATTTCATTGTATTGCATATCCACTCAGTACACTGCTTTATCTTATGTGGGTATAAGACCTTGTAAATGTTTTCAAAGTTAAGCTCAATTGAGATTCCTTGAGGGAATCTCCAGAGCAAAAGTAGCTTAGGTATTGAGTGGAGTTCCTCGTGGAGGGTGATAGTAATTTAATTCCTAGAGACATGTGGTAGTGGTGTGTATGTGGAGAGAGGGAATGTTATCCAGAGAGCACACTGCAAATAGAAGTAGCTTAAGTCTGGAAAATGCTCATTAGAATCAAAACGTTAAGACATCTGGCATAATTAAGGCTCTTTAAAAAAAAACTAATGCTTCTTTCGTTTTCTTTCACTATTTTTCCACTAATTAAAATTGAGTCAAGACTGTGAGTGTCCACTTTGGCTGAAATGGAAATGTGGAGTCCATGTTCAGCGAAATGCAATTTTTTTTTTTTTTTTTTTGCATTTTGTACACTGCCGTCTACTTTCTGCCTCATCCCATTCCAAGCATCTGACAGGTGTTAAGAGTTCCTATTGAAGAATTAAACATCTATTTTAAAGTTCAATGCCTGAGTTACTCGTTTGAATTCTGGCATTTGGGGATAATTTTGCTGACCACCAAAGATTGACCACACAGAGCAATTGTTAGCAAGACAACAGGCTTTGTCTTCTTAGTCTAAGCAATTGTGAAAGTAACTCCCAATCTTAAAAGAGCTCTTTCCAAGGATTGGAAGTAACAAGCTGTCTAAGAGGGGTAAGGGCGGGGGTGGGGTGGTGGGGGGCTGCAGATCTGTACTACTGGACAGAGCCACCTGCGTTTCCAGAATAACTTTGAAAGGGGTTTTTTCCCCCCTTATTTTGGCAGGACATTAGTCATCATACTAAAGATCTGGTATTTACCAGATCCTTTTAAACAAATAATCTGGAAGCAACAGGAGGAAATCTGTAATAACTTATAATAAGCTCCTAATTTAGGACTGTTTAGATTTTTGACAGTATGCCTGAAATGAACGATGTTTATATGAAGTTCAAGACTTCTACAAGCAAATCTGCTCTCCCGAAGGTGATGGCTTGCTCCCAACACTCAGAAACTAAGACCCCGGATTTCATGTCATGTTCTAAGAACAGAATCGTGACAGTAGGTCTATTTTTATAGAGGGCTTATGGGGAAAAGACCACTCTGGGGAAAATGACTCTTCTCCCCAAAGCTAATATTTCTGTTACACTGGCTTTAAGACAAGTGAATCCAGATCTATGCTGAGAGTTTGGATAAAACAATGAGTAGAAAATCTGACCCCTAATTTTAGTAGCATATTAATGAATTAAGATGGCACGACCTGACTGAAGGCATCAAGACCACACAATAGAGTGCTGTGCCGTGTGAATGCAGAACTTACTTCAAGTGCTTTATCAAGCCAGAAAGGCAAAGATCACTGTGGACTGAAATGGAAAAGGTGAACTTCAGCTAAGTTTTTCATTCATTCAACAAATATTTATCAACTACCTTCTATATACTGGTCATTGAGCTGAATGGAGTATAGTAATAAAGAAGATATGGTTTCTAATCTAAAAAAGCTTGTGTTCACATGAGGGAGAGAGACATTAAACAATTAAAAACAGTTACAGATTAGGAAAAGGGCAATGAGGGAAATAAAAAATGTACAGACTACAAAAGAGAGGCAAGCAATACTTTAGACAGTGTGGCCAGGAAGAGTCTCTATTAGGAGGTGACATTTTAGCTCCTATTGGATGACAGGAAAGATCCAGCCGTAAAGGCATTCAGGGAAAGAGCACTGTTACATAGAAAACCACCCATGTGAAGGGCAAATGTAATGAAGCCACAGGTGACTGAGCAGACAGAGAGTTCCAGGAGACCACCCAGGATGACTGATGCTGAGGGGATGGTGGGGGTGTGTGGGGATGGGAGTAGGGTAGAGAAGGGGTGATTTTTAAGGTACTGATATACCTTTTCCTGTAGAGGCAGGCTAAGTAACATGCTCAGAGCTTCTTGAAGCACAACAAATATAGTGAAACCAAAAGCTGGGAAAGCTGGCCGTGGCCATCACCTGATCATTCACAGAGCACCTTCAGACCTGGGAATCCAGGTCTCTATTCTTCTTTGTTCCTTCCAAAGAGTTTTCATCTTTCCCATCTCTAGAAGAAGAGGAGACAATTTACTGTTACAAGGTTTGCTTATCATTAAAACGTAAAATATGCCTTCCTAAGACAGTGAATATCTGTGTGTGCGCACGTATGTGTGTGATGATCTTGCATCTCTGAAGTCTGACTTGGGGTGGGCCCCAGCTTCCTTCCCTTGCCTCCTGCCATTAGCCTATGTGTCAGTTGAGATCTGCCAGAGCCTCTCTTTAATGGTTCCCAGGGCTGTGCTTGGGGCCTTGAAGCCAGGGCAGATTTTTCCATAGGGGCTCATCGCTGGAAGTCCTTTCTCTTGCTGCTCTGTGAAAGTATGACTTTGTTTTAGTGTTTCTGGCTCCCATTCTTTGGAAACCATTGTGAAGGGCTTTCATCATAGCACTCAGTGCTGGCCCACCCAACTCGGCATTGCATCAGCGGAATTTCTGCCCCTGAATCAAGGGTGGTGTATTATTTCAGATAGGTCATTAATGGAAAGATTCCGTAGTTCCCCTCATGGTGCCTATCTTGGGCAGAATGTCACGTTGGTCTGTGTTTATTTGTAAACAGCCTCAGGCTCTGACGTAAAAGAAAGCCTTGTGCCCATTAGACTGTGCAGGATCAGGCCCACATATCCTCCACAGCTTACCCTGGAAAGATATCTTGGTACATTTTTCTGCACGGACCATAATCTCTGTTTGTGGACAAATTGCTTCTCAGACTTCCTTCCTACAAGTCAATGTGCATCTCAGAAAAGAACACATTGTTGTTTTGCTTTTTCCTAAATAAAGAAAAGCAAAAATAAAATAAAAGACATGTCAAATCTTTATAAAAAATAACTCCTTCATGATAAAATATTTAGAAAATAAGCCCTAAAGATGAGAAGAGGTAAATCATCTGATCTCTCTCACTCACAAAAAGGGGACATGCTAATGTTATCATGGCAGTAGACACAAATATAAACTTTCTCATTGATATTCAAAAGGATAAACATGAACACCAAATTCCAACTGTGAAAAATCTAAAATATAGCCATGTATAGTCGATATTTCAGGAAGGCCATCTTTCTTTTTTTTTTTTTCTTTCTTTCTTTTTTTTTTTTTTTTTTGAGACAGTCTTGCTCTGTTGCCCAGTCTGGAGTGCAGTGGCGCCGTCTCGGCTCACTGCAACCTCCGCCTTCCTGGTTCAAGCAATTCTCTGCCTCAGCCTCCTGGGTAGCTGGGATTACAGGTGCGTGCCACCACGCCCAGCTAATTTTTTTGTATTTTTAGTAGAGACGGGGTTTCACCATGTTGGCTAGGCTGGTCTTGAACTCCTGACCTTGTGATCTACCCACCTCGGCATCCCAATGTGCTGGGATTACAGGCGTGAGCCACCAGGCCTGGCCCATCTTTCTTGTCTCTATGCTTGGAAACAAAAAATAGTTTTGATGAAAATTAAGTTTATTATATTTTGATTATATTGTTAGGGATATAGCTTCTCTACAAATATTTACTTCTCTCAGTGCCTTTTTAGATTTTGAGTTTGGAACTCACAATAGCACTTTGAATTATATACATGTCCTTCCTATGAGGAACGTCACATATTTGTGGGGTATTAGCACATCCTGGGAGTCAAGAATGAAGAGGGCATTCCATTTAACTTTTCAGGTGAGATTCAGTGAGGTGTTTATGACTCACTGCAGCAATCATCTGTGTTAGGAACAGAATTGGACTTGGCAATGTCCAGTCCAGGGCCTTAGCCATTGGTCAAAGAGGAGCTGAGCAGTAAATGAGTGCAGCAAGCTCCATGAGGAGGGATGGATGGGGAAGGTGACCTGGGCTGCCACCATGCTGCCCTACTCAGCTCTGTATTGTCAATTATGACTTCCTGCTGGGCACCTGAGGCTGGAGGCAGCGTTGCCTAAACTGCACCCAGTATTTAATAGAGTACACATGCTTTGCTCATCAATGGGAGATTACCGGATTACTAGGGATAAAAAAGGGAAGGTCATTGGATCAGCTGACACCAGGCCCAATTTAGGCTTTAAAACTATAACAACTTCTTGGCTTTTAAACAAGCCTATCAGCAACTTTTTTTTTCTCAAGGCTAAAACCACCTTTTCAAGGGCTTCTCAGCATTAGAAGGCATCTCAGCGTTAGAAGGCAATGAACTTTCAAGTGTTCCTAAGAGTTCGCAGTGGGTATGTATTCAAGTTTCAGTTTCCTTGCTTGTAAAATCAGGATAGTAATATCTACTTCTTAGGGTTGCTGATGGATTCAGATAAGAAAAACTCATAATACAGTCTAGGATATAGTGAACCTTCAATAAAAATAAGTGATTATTAGGTACCAGGAATATTTGGTGCTTTTTAAAAAAATTTTTCCTTCAACTTTTATTTTTAGTTCTGGGGTACATGTGCAGGATGTGCAGGTTTATTACATAGGTAAATGTGTGCCATGCTGGTTTGCTGCGCAGATCAACCCATCACCTAGGTATTAAGCCCAACATCCATTAGCTATTCTTCCTGAGGCTTTCCCTCCCCCTACCCCAGTGTGTGTTGTTCCCCATCATGTGTCCATGTGTTCTCATTGTTCAGCTCCCAGTTGAAGAGAGAACATGCAATGTCTGGTTTTCTGTTCCTGTGTTAGTTTGCTGAGGATAATGGCTTCCAGCTCCATCCATGTCCCTGCAAAGGACACGATCTCATTCCCTTTTTGGCTGCCTAGTATTCCAAGGTGTATATGTACCACATTTTCTTTATTCAGTCTATCATTGATGGGCATTTGGGTTGACTCCATGTCTTTGCTATTGTGAATAGTGCTGCAATGAACACACATGTGCATGTATCTTTATAACAGAATGATTTATATTCCTTTGGGTATATACCCAGTAATGGGATTGCCGAGTCAAATGGTATTTCTGCCTCTAGATCTTTGAGGAATCACCACACTGTCTTCCACAATGGTTGGACTAATTTACACTTCCACCAACAGTGTAAAAGCATTCCTTTTTCTCCGCAACCTTGTCAGCATCTGTTGTTTCTAGACTTAATAGTTGCAATTCTGACTGGCATGAGATGGTATCTCATTGTGGGTTTGATTTGCATTTCTCTAATGATCAATGATGTTGAGCTTTTTTTCATACATTTGTTGGCTGCATAAATGTCTTATTTTAAGAAGTGTCTGCTTATGTCCTTTTCTCACTTTTTAATGGGGTTGTTTGTTTTTTTCTTGTAAATTTATTTGTGTTCCTTGTGGACTCTGGATATTAGACCTTTGTCAGATGTATTTGGTGCTTCTAATACATTGTCTCCTTTTTCTGGAAATATAAATGTTTTCTAAGAAATTGAACTTGGTATCATTTAAATTGTCTTAGACCATGCTATGAGCAGATAAATACATTCATCCATGCAACAAATATTTACTGAGTCCCTCTTATGTTTATTCTGTGTCAGGCATAGTTCCTGGTGCTAGAGCTACAACTACAAAGACACCAGAAAAGGTTTTTGCTCCCATACAATGTAAACTCTTGTGAAAGAGACAGACTAAACAACAAAAAAGAGATATATAATATAAGGAAATAATAAATGATCAGAGAAAAAGTGAGGATAGAGGATGGTAAAGATGGGGATTTGTCTCACTCTGTTAGAGTAGCTAGGGAAAGCCTCCACGCAAGTGGTATTTAGATCAAGACTAGAATAAATAGAGGGAGACAGGCATTTGATAATCAGTGTTCAAGACCAAGGCTAGAGTAACATCAAAGTTCTTCAGGTAGAAAAGGACCTTTGAATTTTTGAGGAAAAGGAAGAGATTCTCAAGGTTTTTGTTCACCTCTATTGCCATAGCAGCTTCCTAACTGATCTCCTTGCTTTGCACCTTACTGTGGTCAACTCCCCAAGCAGCAACCAGAGGGCTTTAAAAAAACAAACTCAAAAAACTTAGATCACATTATTTCCCAGATCACAGCTTTACAGCCATTTCCCATCCCATTTTTAAAAAGTCCAGACTCCTCATGTGGCTTTCAAGGATACCTAAGATCATCTAGCCCCTGCCTATCTTTCTACTGCCATGCTCAGCTCATCCGTAGAAGGGAGTGAGAGGAGCATGGAAAGATGCCCATGAAGAGGCTGTGGTAGTAGTCAAGGTGAGAATTGAAGGCTTGATTAGTAGTGTTGAGGTGGGGCAAAGTGGTTACACTGGGGATATATTTGAGGGAAATGCTGACAGGACTTGAGGAAGGATTGGCTGTAGGCTCTGGCTTCATATCTTTTCGGCTTCTCCAAGTTGTCAAGTGCTGTTAATAGCTACTGCTAGCTAGGGCCTTTTGTTTCTCTGGAGGCATTATTCTTCTATAGCAAACTAAAAGTCTACATATGTAAAACTTTATTTTTTAAATGATCAAAATTGTCCCATGAAATTTCATCTCAGCATGGCCTCAGAATTGCAGCCAATTCTCCAGAACTAGAGTGAAACATTAGCTCTATGGGGTGGACATTCTGCCAGTGGGCCATTTAGGGTTCTGATAGGAGGGGTAGAATGGAAAAAGAGATAAATGTCAAATTACCTTTATCAGCATTATTTATACACCACTGTTTGGACATAGCTTTCATTGACACTATTGGCTAAAAAGAGTTCTGGATCATCTATGAGTCCATTATTCCATTATTTCTACTATGGAATTCATTTTACAAGGTTGAGGCAATTAGAGGATGGGAATATATTTTGCAAACAACAAATGCCCTGGGCCTGGTAATGGCGTCGAATGCCCCATCTAATCTGGCTCCTGTTCCCTCTTTGCCTTCCCCACTCTTACTCCATACATATTGGTCTCATTTCCACTTATAGAACATACCTCCTTAAGTATTTTTCACTGGCTTAAGTATTTTGCTCTTCTCCCATAGGCTAACTCACTCACTTCATTCTAGTGCTGCTGGAATGCCACCTTCTTAGTAAGTCTACTCTGACCATTTTATTTAAATTGCACCCAGCTCCCCACATCAGCCCTCACTCCTGTTCCCCCTCAAACAGGTCTATGCATTCTAAACTACTATGTCATTTACTTTTGCACTTTTTTTATTGTTTATCTCACTAGGATGAAGCTCTATGAGGGCAAAGATTTTTAATGTTTGGTTCTCTGACACAGCCCCAGCACCTAGAACAGTGGTTGACATATACTAAGGACTCACAAAATATTTGTTGAATGAATGAATGAATGAATGAAGTTATTATTTTTGTTGTAAATGGTGAAGTGGGGAGTAGAATGAAGGAAACCACAGGATGAAGACCTGAGCTGTATGCCTACCACAAATTCAGATACAGCCATATGTTGTTTATTGATCAGGATACGTTCTGAGAAAGGCATCCTCTGGTGAGTTCACTGCTATGCAAACATCATAGATTGTACTTACACGAACATAGATGGGGTAGCCAACTACAAACCTAGGCTAGATGGTATATAGTCTATTGCTCCTAGGCTAGAAACCTATATAGCATGCCACTATACTGAATACTGTAAGCTATTGTAACACAATGGTAAGTATTTGTGTATCCAAACATAGAAAAGGCACAGTAAAAATATGGTACAAAAGATAAAAAATGGTACACCCATATGGGTACTTACTATGAATGAAGCTTGCAGGCCTGAAGTTGCTCTGGGTGAGTTGGTGAATGAGTGGTGAGTGAATGTGAAGGCCTAGGACATTATTATATATTACTATAGACTTTGTAAATACTGTACACTTAAGCTACACTAAATTTATTTATAAAATTTTCTTTCTTCAATAATAAATTAACCTTAGCTTACTATAACATTTTTACTTTATAAACTTTAACAATTCTTAAGCATGACTCTTTCATAATAACACAGATTAAAACACACACTGTACAACTGTGCAAAAAATTTTTTTGTATCTTTATTCCATAAACTTTTTTATTTTTAAAATTTTTAATTTTTTTTTTTTTACTTTTCAAACTTTTTTGTTGAAAATGAAGACACACATACACACACATTAGCCTAGGCCTGCATAGAGTCAGGATTATAAATATCACTGTCTTCTACCTCCACATCTTGTCCCACTGGAAGGAATTCAGGGGCAATAACATGCATGTAGCTGTTACTGCCTAAGACAACTATGCCTTCTTCTGGAATACCTCCTGAAGGGCCTGCCTGAGGCTATTTTACTGTTGATTTCTTTCTTAATAAGTAGAGGAAGTACACTCTAAAATAACAATAAAAAGGGCAGTGTGGTAAATACATTAACCAATAGCATAGTCATTTATTATCATTATCAAGTATTATGTACTGTACATAATTGCATGTGCTATGACTGGCAGCACAGTAGGTTTATTTACACCAGCATCACCACAAACATGCATGTAATGCATTGCGCTGAGACATTACGACAGCTACCACGTCCCTAGGCGACAAGAATTTTTCAGCTCTATTATAGTCCTATGGGCCCACCATCATATATCAGCCTGTTGTTGACCAAAACATTGTTATGCGGCATGTGACTGTATATATTCCCATGAGTAGTCTTCCTAAGACCCAAAACTCTTTCATGGGGAGGAGAAATGGCTGGGTAGAGCTACCTAGCTGATCCTCAGCCTCCCAGTCTTAAATTGCTAGGGGCTAAGGGTCACCCTCAAGCCTCGCTACGGTGTTCTAAATGACAAAGTAACTCATCTTGGGGAGAAATGTCTAAAACAAGTGCGGCAAAGGAAGCTGGCACCCTTATTGCTTCTGACCCCTCCCACTTTGGACCAAGGCAAGTGTCCTAGGAGATAGGGCTGGAAAAATAGTAGGGCTAATAAAAAATCAAGTTACAAGGCAGCACTGTTTTGTGGCCTAATAATAGGGTGTGATGCTGTCAGGGGAGGATATTTCCCTACACACTCACGTCAGTTTGGGAACTATTGGCATATCAAGGAAAAATGGCCTCGTAGGAAAATAGCAGAGTAGTGGCTCCAAGAATTTCTTCTGGTAGCCGTGTCTTAAGGAGGGCTGCAGGGGATTGATTTGTGCAGTTGTACAGGGATTCTCCCCTAGGGCTACAGTGTTATTGTTAGGAGTGGAAGGATTTAGACTGAACAGTCCACCAGCTATGTAACTGGTGTGGGGAAGATTCAAGAACTGGTATATTATTTTTCTTGTTAGGGCTTTGTTATACCAAGAATGGTGTGCTCTGAGAAAAGTCCCATCGGCTCATGCATATTGCTGTTGGTCACTGTCAGAATGGGGAAAAAATAAAAGAGTCCTGAACCCACTTACAATAAAGGATTTCCAAGCCAAGGAAGGCCTTTCCAGGGTCTACATCATGTAGCTCCTGCTTCTCTATTAATATGCAGCGATGGAGGAAATGAACTCCTTTCCCGAGTGGTGTGATTAGGATTCCTGGTTACTCTGCAAGAAGAACAATCCAAAATCCCATGGACTTGGGAATTCCAAGAAAGAGTCAAGGGTAGGATGGTATAGGTGGAGGTCTTCCTACTGAACTGTGAAAATCACAGTGGCAAACTCAGGCTGGTAGCATCAAAAGGAAGAAAAAAGAGCTAAGAAGCTTAATTTCTTGGAGATTTCTCATCTTTTCCTTTTCCAAATTGTTCCCTCCAGAGAAAATAAAGAAATAATGAGGCAGGAGCCAACATTGTTTGGGATTTCTGAATGTAATACAACTGAAGTAAAACTACATTCTCCCTTTACTCCCTTGAAGAAAGACCCTGGAAGTGAAATAAATGGAGAAATGAAAAATACTAGAAACTTAACCCTTTCTTGAGTGTTCAGGCAGAAAATTAGAGATGATTTTCAGACTGCAAGTGGGAGAAACCCCAAACTGTTTTAGTTATTTTAAAAAATAAATACTAATTTATTTTGAGCTGCTGTAAGCTAAAAAGAACAGGTAGGTGCCAAATCTAACTGACATTAAAAAAAAAACCCACACACAAAAAAACCCAAACAAAACAAAACAAAACAAAAACAAAAAACCTGCCAAAAACCAACAAAAAAACTATTAGTTCTAGTACCTTTCCCTCTTCTTGCCACAGTACTTTTGCCTGAATGGCATTGTATCAGTATAAGGGACATCATTGGAAATGCAAACTGACAGCAAGAGAAATGCCCGAGTTTCCTTGGAGGATCATGAGCCCCAAAGTTGCGCAGCTTTCTGAGGAATGTCAGGAAAGGGAGACTCAATATTGCAGAAGAACCCCCTTCAAAATCACAGGAAACAAATTCTTTAAATTAGGAAGGACTTGTTATCTGATGGATATAAATTTTGTGAGGTTTCATAGTTTTCCATTTGTTGACAGAGAGAATACTATTGCCCTAGGGCACCCTAAACAGTTATGGAGCAACACAAGTATAAATCAGTATATAAATAAAAATACAAACTTTCTTTTTTTTTTCTCCCCCTGGCAACAACAGCATGCTTGGGTTACTGTTGAGCTGGCTCTTGGGAAGGGGTCACAGATTGAATAGTATTTCTTTTTGTCCTTTGGAACTAAAAGTTTGACCTGTGAGCAGTAGTTCCCAACCCTGGAAGATCTGCTGGATTACTTTGGGGATTGCTTTTGAAAACTATAACCATTGTGTTCCACCCTACACTTGCTAGGGTATGGGGGTGAGGCACAGACATCTGTGTCTTAAAAAGCTCCCCAAGTGACTCTACATAAATCCAAGGGTCCAAATGTCTAGAGGTGCCATGGAAGGGCAGATTAGTTCAAGGGACCCTTCCGAGATGCTAGTGATACTTCTGTGGAATGTAGGGGGGAATGTGGGTTGTGTGTGTGTGTGTGTGTGTGTGTGTGTGTGTGTGTGTAGGGAGGTGAGAAGAAAAAAGAATGGAAAGTAGTCAGTTATGTCCTGGGATGTATAGAAGAAAGATAAAACTTCACCTCACACCTCACAGAAGTCCTTGCAAAACAATTACCAGTTCAGAAATCTCTCTCTCTCTCTCTCCTTCTTTCTTTTTCTTTCTTTCTTTTTTTTTTTTTTGAGAGTGTCACTCTGTCGCCCAGGCTGGAGTACAATGGAGCGATCTAAGCTCACTGCAGCCTCTGCCTCCTGGGTTCAAGTGATTCTCCTGCCTCAGCTTTCTGAGTAGCTGGGAGTACAGGCGCCTGCCACCATGCCTGACTACTTTTTGTATTTTTAGTAGAGATGGGGGTTTCACCATGTTGGCTAGGCTGGTCTCAAACTCCAGGCCTCAAGTGATCCACCCGCATCAGCATCCCAAAGTGCTGGGATTACAGGTGTGAGCCACCGTGCCCAGCCCCATTTCAGAAATCTCTTGATTCTGGACTTGATCTGAGAAAGAAGGAAAGGAAACCCAACTAGCTCTTATGGAATGCCTCCAATGCATCTAATACTATTCTAGGTGTATGAGTTCATTCATTTTTTCATTCAGTCATGAAGCACATCCTTCATGCAAAGTACTGTGCTAGCTGTTGAGGTTACAAAGACTGAAAAGACAGTCCTTATCCTTAAGAAGCCCACAGATAATTACTACCCAGAGAAACATGTGCTATGATGAAAGGTGCTTGGGAGACTTTGGAAGAAGCTCTCAACTCAGACTAGGTGGGATGAGAGGGTGAGTTTACAAAAATTTCCAAGAAGAGGTGGCACTTAAACTAAATCTTAAATAATTCTGATTCTCGTATTTACTGCTGCAAAATAGTGTAGTATGGTTGGGCAGAGAGAGCTAGAGAAAGGATAGAAAGGGGTCGGGATAGGGGGAGGAGCCAAAGATGAGACTGGAGAGGCAGGTGTGCTGGAACCAGGTAATAAGTTGCCTTGACTTTTTCCCCAGATGCAGCAGGAGATACTGGAGTCAAAGCAGGCAATGACAGCATCATATTTTTGGCTGAGGAAGCATAATATAGTGGCAGCAAAGGGAACACATTAGGACAGGGTGAGGCTAGACATGGGAGCCTGATAATCTGAGATGAAGCAGTGGAAATGAGAATAGAGAGGAAGGGGTTGATAAGACTTGATGACCAGTTGTTTGTGTATAGGAGAAAGGAGGAGAAGTCAAGGATGGTGTCCAAGTTTCTTTTTTGGCAGCTGGATGAATCATGGTGCAATTCATCATTTATTATTTGCTTTAAGATAGTTCTTTGTTTTGCCTTTATAATAACCTTATGCCTTATTTATTTATCTATCATATCTATCTATCTATCTATCTATCTATCTATCTATCTATCATCTATCTATCTATTTATCCATCTATCTATCTATCTACTTAGGAGCAGGGTCTTGCTCTGTCACCAAGCTGGAGTGCAGTGGCATGATCATAGCTCATTGTAGCCTCAAACTCCTGGGCTCAAGCAATCCTCCTGCCTCACCCTCCTGAGTAGCTGGGACTACAGGCATGCCACCATGCCCAGGTAATTTTTTAATTTTTATTTTTTGTAGAGATAGGGTCTTGCCTTGCTGCCCAGGCTAATCTTGAACTACTGGCCTCAAGTGATTCTCTCACCTCAGCCTCCCAAAGCACTGGGATTACAGGCATAAGCCAACATGCCTGGCCACTTATGCCATTTTTAATAAAGATAGGAAAGCTCTGAGAGATCAAAGAGAGAAAAGGAGGAAAGTTCCAGCTCTCCAGCTTGTAACTTGGGAGCTGGGATCCAAATTCAGGTCAGCCCGACTTCTCAGACCATGCCTCCAAAGCCCGGGACAAAAGCAAAACTTAATAAAGCTAAACAGAAAGAAAACGGCTTTGAGTAGGCTACATTCACAATAGAAACAACATGAGCTAAGATCCGAAAAGTAGAATCCCAGCACTTGAAATGAGTTCTTGACTGCAGTTAGCATGGTGAGATATGACCTCCTTTTTGACAAGGTAGTCAATTTTTTTTTCCCCAATGCTGTGCAACCTTTTTATATCTCACTGATGGCAAATAAGATTGAACTAAGATTTTAAAAACAAAAAAAGTTGCTGTTAAAAATGTCCTTATAAAAAAGGTAAAATGAAGCCTCTTAACCTTTGCTTCAGAGGTTTGCTTATTCCACCTCTGAAAATAATTTGTTTAAAAACAATCACCTCACTGGGGGAGTTTAATAAATATTTAAAAGTTTTTCATGGAAAACTAGATTTTTACCTAGAATCTTCTATGGTAGTAATGAGATATGATACTTTAAAGAGAGTAAATTCTGTATCTATGCTTTCTGAGCCAAAGGGTTATGCAGAAGACTCCATGATGTCAGGCCATTGACAAAGATTCCGCCATTTAAACCTACCGGGACAATGTATAGCTCATCCATGTAGCCCCCAGGTACACATTTGGCTGTTTCATGGTATGATTTAACCTTGAACTTCTGCTGTTTCTTTGGCTGACATTGAATTTAGTCTATGTGTCTAGTATCTTTGAAATTACTTTTGCCTTTCAGTTTTGGGAGAAACAGCTTCCTTTTTAGTGGAATAGGATATTGCTCTTTTGTAATATTCCTAGGATCCCCTTATTCATGCTTTGAGTTGGCCGCATACCAAAGATAGGTTTAATTTAGATTTGCCCCCTGTATTTATTCCCCTGAAACTTATCTTTATCCAACTTGTCTCCCTAACTATACTTTCCCTTTCCCACTCAAAAAGAGACAATCTCCATTCAAGAATTAAATTTCTTGGTTTGAACAGTTTGTTGGTTTGTCACTCCATCTCTTGAGGCTTCAACTTGCCAGGGCCTGCACTGGGGCTCCCAACACTTCAGTTTCCCCGTATGTTGGATTGCCTTCACTCACCTTGAGAGATGACTGTGAGGCATAGCTCATAAATGTCATCATAAACTGCTCTGCAAAAGTATGTCTCAACGTCTGTGATGCCAGATTCAGAAGGGCTCAATTGTGTGTATCTGGTCAAAAAAAAAAAAAGGTAGAGGGTGGCCTTTTGATGCTGAACAGCATGGTGAGGAGCTGCCAATCTTCAAGTCTCCTATGACGGTCTGAACTGCATTTTCTGCAGTTGTCCTTGCTAGCAGCAAATGTTCTAGCATTCTTTCTTATTAACAGAAGTCAGCAGGCTTGCAGGTCAGTACTTTTACTTTAGTTAGTTGGAAGTGGCCCTTTCCCCCACTTTCAGGAGCAGGAATTTTGAGACGGTAACCCCACCCTTCCATAGCAGGTCACATAAAATGCCTAGACGCTACCCTCCCCCTATGGGCAGCTGGCCTATTTATGCAAGAGAACAATAAGGAGATGGTTTCTTTGCTTCTATTTCTTTGGCAATGCGAGAGAAGGAGGTGGCTGAAGCCAGACACACTGGCTCCACGCACATGCCCAAGCCTTTTTCAAAGTCTCACCCTATTGAGTAACAAGAAGGCAACTGTCTCCATATTAACACCACCAGTGACGATATCATAACTGGATTGGCTAGTTTTCTTTCATTGAAACCCTGGCTTAACGGGTGTGTCTCTGTGTCTGAAAAACATAAATGGAAAGAACTGAAAGGGAAAAAAGACAAAAGTGAAATCACTCCTTTCTTGGCAAGGAAAACAAAAATATTCCACTTTAATGAACAAAGGCAATTGCCTGCCACTATAGCTGAACAAGGACCTATTAATAGTTTGAGACACTATCATTTAAATGTAGGGGGCTTTGAATCTGTAAAACTCAGCCACATGCAAACTGAACTATCCAGGTAACTGTTAATTGTCATTCAGGCCAAATGCACTTTCCACCTTTACTTCCAAATTCTTCTGCAGAGCTAGAACTTTTGCCACACCTACTATTGCAGGAACTTTTCTGCTTCCTTATCTTTTTGCTGGCTAGTCTGTTTACTTGAAATGCCCTTCCAGTCTTTTTATACCTGAGGAATGCATACTCACTTTCTAAATTCCACCTTTAAGTTCTTCCCTACCTTTTCTGTGTCCTCAGGCAGAACTGGTTACTCATGAGGAGCTTTGTTTAAATTAAGACTAACATTGGCACATTCGATTACCCCTTGGGATTGTGACTTTCTAGAGTTTAGAAACTGTTTTTTGTTCCTTTCTGTATTCTCAGTGCTTTTTGTGGTTCTGCACAGTGATAGGTATAGAATAAACTTTGCTCTAGCCATATGGTGGAAACCTTTAGTTATCTGAATTTTAGTTATGATGATATTTGTTAATGATGAAATCTGATTTTTAACACATGCTCTGGATTTTTGGCTTCATTTGGTTTTCCTGTTATCATACAACCTAAGGGTGAATGCAAGGCATCTATATTGCTTCAAAAAAGTTGTACTCAAGTCAGCAATATCTTCCTTTTGAGTAGAATATAAGACTTTTTACATTTTACCATGTAGGTGAAGGGAGAGAGAAGTTCATACATGGCTGAGAAAGCCAGTGTAGGTTGAAAACAAGGAAGAATGGGATCAAAAAGGAGAGAAAAGAGAGAAAAAGAAAGAAAGAGAAAGAAGAGAAAAAGAAAGAAAAGGAAGAAAGGAAGGAAGAAAGAAAGAGAAGGAAGGAAGGAAGGAAAGAAGGAAACAAAATGTAAATCAGCAAAACATACACAATCATCCATAATACTGATACCTGGAGATAATCACTGTTACCATATTCATTGACTCATTCACTCAAGAAATATTTGTTGGTATATACATTTTATTTCCTGAGTCTTTTATTGCATCTAGATACCCATATCCACACATATGTGTTTACAGGAATGAAATCAGAATATCTTTATTGTACTGTGGCTTGCACACTTCTTTTTAGGCCAATTTGTTATATGGATTACCATGATTTATTTAAAAAAATTCATTATTATTAGATACTTTGGCTGTTTCTAATATTTTGCTATTATAAACAAGGCTGCAAGAAACGTTCTGTAACTATTTCTTTGTCTCCTTGTCTAATTGTTTCCTTAGAAAAAATTTTTTTTAAAATCCTGGCAAAAAATTGCAACTTTAAAAGGTTTTGGTATATTTGGGTAATTTTTGCCCAGAAACATGGTATCACTCTTTAGAGTGCCTTTCCCACCCCACCCATACATTTTTATTTATAAAGTATTACCATTCTTTATAAGTTTTGCTAATCTGATATGTAAAAAATGACACATTATTTTAGGTTTTTTTTTATTGACTTGTTAGTTGTGTTGAACATGACTTTGTGTTTGTTGTACATTTGTTTCTTCTTTCATGAATTGCCTATACAGTTTCTGCCTTATTTAAAAAAACTTGAGTTATTTTTTTCTTATTGATTTTTAAAAACTCATTATATATTAAAAATATTAACCACACTATAAAGATATTCATGAGATGTTAACTTTTCCTTTTGTTTATTGTTTTTCACTTCTTCCATTTCTTGTTTAGCAGAGGAGAACTTTCATGAAATATAATGTTGCTTTGGTTTTTTTCTGAAGGCTTCTGAGTCTTCTGAAAATGTGTACATTGAGAGCCATAAAAGGGATTTATCAAACTGAAGATCTGGATATAGAATACCAAAAAGCAATGTGACTCTGCTCCTTTTCTAACTAAAGGACTTTATTTTTACCCCTATACCTGCTTTTGGTACCATGTGGCATCATGTAAAAATATTTTTTAAAAAATAAATGTCTACTTGACAAGGGTATATTCTCACAGTTCCAGAGTTTGTTGGATTTTTAAGAAACAAATTGTCATGATAAATAATTAATAGGTTTGGAAAGAACCATTTATTTGCAGCTCTGGATTAAGAATGCATACCCAAGTAGGGCCGGGCGCGGTGGCTCACGCCTGTAATCTCAGCCCTTTGGGAGGCCGAGGCGGGCGGATCACGAGGTCAGGAGATCGAGACCGTTGTGGCTAACATGGTGAAACCCTGTCTCTACTAAAAATACAAAAACATTAGCTGGGCGTGGTGGCGGACGCCTGTAGTCCCAGCAATTTGGGAGACTGAGGCAGGAGAATGGCGTGAACCCGGGAGGCGGAGCTTGCAGTGAGCCGAGATCGCGCCACTGCACTCCAGCCTGGGAGACAGAGCGAATCTCCGTCTCAAAAAAAAAAAAAAAAAGAATGCATACCCAAGTAGTACTATAACCCATGGAGAATAATGGGCCCTTTCTGTAGATAAGAAGAGATGATTTTAGGGCACAATCTTCCTCATCAGGCTTTGAGATAGCAGATTTTTCTCTATTACTTTTCATCCAAATGAAATATTTCATCTCAATCTTTTTGTTATTCATACGAATTTGTTTAAAGTAATAAATATTCTCCTCCATCCTAGTTCTTTGTTTTCTAGATGTGAACAATCGTTCAGTTAAATAAAATTATTACCAGATTGAATGTGGTTTCAGTAAGAATAGTTATTAGTAGGGATATATTGCATGTTTTGACCTTTAAAAAGTTAAACTTTCCCATCGTCCACATTTGGGTTAGAATTATAGAAGGCCCACTGTGTCTGAGCAGCATCTGAAGTCCCAAAGGAAACCACCAAGGATAGGCAGTTTTGTTTTTTCAACCTGGAGGAAAGGCTGATATTCTATGACATTTTGGAAATAGAATGTCCAATAAAACTTGTGTCAAAAATGGTAGTTATCACAATGAACAGAGAGAGAAAATGCATGGAATGATTTGGGGGGAGGTAACACTTAACCAGCTATTTTTCTGCAGAATATTTGGTTGAATTCTTAGTGAATTCTGCTTTTTGTCCTTCAAAATATTTTATGCAAAATTTCAAATCAGTATTAAGTAGTTCACTTAATACAAGAAAAACTTTTACTTTTTTCTCTTTATGAAAGTTTCTAAATTAGAACAATAATCCATGCTGGTTGGGACTATGTCCCACTCATGACCTAAGCCCAGTATTTCTAAATTTCTATCTGATCATAATCTATAGGATATGAAAGTAAGAGAGCCATATTCCCAGGAAATCTCAATAATTTCTTAAATCATGAGCTGTTTTTGTCTTTAAAATACTTCCAACCCTCTTCATATTCTTTAAATATTATTTTGTATGGCTTAGTTTGTTTTGTGCTACAGAATACCACAGACTGGGTAATTTTTAATGGACAGAAATTTATTGGCTTATGATTCTGAAGTTTGGGAAATCCAGGTTCAAGGGGCTAGCATCTGGTGAGCACTTTCTTGCTGCATCATTCTATGGGCAAAGAGAGGGTGAGAGAAAGCAAGAGGGGGCCAAACTCATCCTTTTATAGGAATTCTCTCTTAAGAAACCCAATCCTGTATAATGGCGGCATTAATTCATTCATGAAGGTAGAGCTTAATCACCTCTTCAAGGTTTCACCTCTTAATACTATTACAATGGTAATTAAATTTTAACATAAGTTTGAGAGAAAACAAACATTGAAATCATAGCTATAGATTGGGCCAGGTGCTGTGGCTCATGCCTTGTAATCCCAGCACTTTGGGAGGCCGAGGCGGGCGGATCACAAGGTCAGGAGATCGAGACCATCCTGGCTAACACAGTGAAACCCCGTCTCTACTAAAAATACAAAAAATTAGCCAGGTGTGGTGGCGGGAGCTGTGGTCCCAGCTACTCAGGAGGTTGAGGCAGAAGAATGGCGTGAACCGGGGAGGCCGAGCTTGCAGTGAGCCAAGATCGCACCACTGCACTCCAGCCTGGGTGACAGAGCGAGACTCCATCTCAAAAAAAAAAAAAAAAAAGAAATCATAGCCATAGATATCTAAAAAGAGTTTTATTTTTTAACAAATAAATTTTACTTTTAGTAGTATTTATAATTTTTTTTCCCATAGCAAATATTCAAATGCTGTAAAATGTCAGCCCAGACTATTGGGTAGTATTTGATTAATACCACAGTTCAGATCTCTTGGCACTATGCAGAATCATGTCTCAAAATTGCCAATTAAAAAACTTGTATTGCTTCTAAAACTTGTTATTTCTTGGAATACCACTCATAGGATTTGTTTAAAATATTCTATTTGTATAGACATACTAATCATTATTTCATTTGTAAGCTTGACTTACTGTTAGTACCAGCTATGGCTATGAATGCTCACTTATAACATTGCAACAGTTATAGACAAGACTGACCCATAATGTAGTGACCACTTCTCTTTCCTGTGCTCCTGTCTCAATTCCTAGACATGCTGGTCAACCTTAACCTCCACTTTGTGTGTTCATATTTCCTTCGGTTGCTTTCCACCTGATGTCAGTGGAGCCCTTCAAATCAGCAACATCTCTACATTGATTGCTGTGTTTTAGCAATCAATGTTTTAATTCTTGCAGGCAAATTGTAAAGACTTTTCCAGTCTTTAAAATTTCTTGAGAGTTTTTTTCTTGGGATTTTGAAAAACACAACAATTTCCCAAGAAATACTAGGAAGGCATTCCCACATGGAATCACTATCCAAGCCCGACCCCTTTGGGACTGACCAGGGCTGCTCCTTGTAGACTCAAGCTGGGTGGAAGGCAGTGTGACATGACAGAGTCACCCAGGACCAGACTTCAGGAACCATGGGTTTTAATCCTGACTGCCCCACTAACTATAGTTGTATAACCTGAAGTCGGTTTCCTAACTTCTCAGGAAGTTACATAATGAGTTTGTACATAATGAGTTTAAGGGAAGCTAAAAGTTCTTTTAATCAATGTTTTATAGTGTTCAGTGTACAGGTCTTTCACCTCCTAGTTAAGTTTGTTCGTAAGTATTTTATTATTTTGATGCTGTTGTAAATGCGATTGTTCTCTTTATTTTCGGGTTGTTTGTTATTAGTGTACAAAAATACAACTGATTTTTATATGTTGATTTTGTATTCTGCAACTTGACTGAATTCATTTATTAGTTCTAACAATTTTTTGGTGGTGTCTTTAGGATTTTCTGCATGTAAGATCAAGTCATCTAAAAACAGAGATCATTTTACTTCCCTTTTTCTGATTTAGATGCCTTTTGTTTCTTTTTCTTACCTAATGCTAAGACTTAGAGTCCTATGTTGAATAGAAGGGGTGAGAGTGGGCATCCTTGCAGTGTTCCAGATCTTAAAGGAAAAGTTTTCAGTTTTTCACCATTGAGTGTGATGTTAGCTGTGAGCTTTATGTATGTATGTATGTATGTATGTATGTATGTATGTATATATGTATGCATTGAGATGGACTTTTGCTCTTGTCACCCAGGCTGGAGTGCAATGGCATGATTTTGGCTCACTGCAACCTCTGCCTCCTGGGTTGAAGTGATTCTACTGCCTCAGCCTCCTGAGTAGCTGGGATTACAGGTATGCGCCACCATGCCCTGCTAATTTTGTATTTTTAGTAGAGATCGGGTTTCTCCATGTTTGTCAGGCTGGTCTCGAACTCCCGACCTCAGGTGATCCACCAGCCTCAGCCTCCCAAAGTGCTGGGATTACAGACATGAGCCACTGTGCCCGGCCGAGCTTTATTTTTATTTACTTGGCTTTTATTATGTTGAGGTAAGTTCCTTTTGTACCTAATTTGTTGAGAGTTTTTACCATAAAAGGGTGTTGAAGTTTGTCAAATGCTTTTTCTCCAATCTATTGAGATAATCATGTGATTTGTATCCTTCATTCTGCTAATGTACCACGTATGTGAGGAATCTAAAAAATTCAAACTCATAGAGACAGAGAGTAGAATAGTGGTTGCCAGGTGCTGGGGTGAGAAGGAAATGGAAGTATTAGTCAAATGGTACAAAGTTTCAGTTATACAAATAAATAAGTGCTGGAGATCTACTGTACAGCATAATGCCCATAATTAACAATATTGCATTGTGTACTTAAAATTTTGCTAAGAGGGTAGATCTTACATTCTGTTCCTATCACAAAAAAATTACTGATAACAAATGAAGAGGGTGGGAGGAAACTTTCTGAAGTGATGGATATGTTTATGGCATAGATTGTGTTAAGAGTTTCATGGATATATACTTGTCTCCAAACTCAGCAAGTTGTATATATTGAATATGTACAGCCTTTTGTATGTCGCTTGTACCTCAATAAAATGTTTTTTTTTGTTGTTTTTTGATAAGCTGAAAGGCTATGAGAAGAAATAACATTTTATTTCTGAGAGGTTTCAAGGTCACTGTGAGGGGCAGAAAAACAAAGGTCTGCCAGGAAGTTGCCCTTGGGTGGGAGAGTGGGTTCTGACAGTCACCAGAGGAGAGGCCAGTGGCTGATGTTTGCTTTTTTTAACTCGATGGTGGCTCCAGCCACCTGTGCTGATGGGAATTGGGGGCTGCAGCTAGTTGGGGGACGCCAGCACACCCAACTGGCGAATTTCAAACTTGCCTTTGCATTCAGACGTTTTAAGATACTTTGTGCTAAATCCAAATCAAAAGGAACTTTATTGTTTGTCATATGAAATGTTAATAAAATAATAAAAATCTCTCTCATTAGGGCTAAGTTTATAACTTAAAACCAGTAACAATTATTATCACTTCAGATATTTCTATAAGTTGGACAGGTCTGGGGCAGGTTGCGGAGCAATATGTTTTTCTTTTAGAGGGAAAGGGGTTGGCTGTCAGCATATTTCATTGTAAATTAATAATAAATACGTTCATTTACTTCTGGGATCAACGTGTTCTTTACTGAAATAAGGTACTATTTTCTAATTCTAGATTGGTCAAATTAATTTTTTTGAGTCAGAGGAGCCCTGGAAAATGTGGGAGGAGCTAAACTAGAAAAACACTTTGGGAAAGAGTATTTAGTTATGCCACATTTTCTCACACGTTTGACTTCAAGCCGTCGATCCAGGCCTTTTTCTATGTTAGACATTTCCTCTACTGTCTTGCAGCAGACATGCTGTTAGATATTTCATTCTATGATGTTGATCATGATGGGGCAGTGCAGGTCTGAAGAGGGCTGTCAGCATCTAAAATGGAAAGAAAAAGTTGAAAGTAAGGAGCATTTTAAATGAAAACTTAGGATACTGTAACTAATTAGATGGCGGTAGAAGACTGTAGAAAGGTTTTGAGCTTAAGAGATTGTAGAAATGGTGCTACTTATAATAAGATGAGAGAAGCAGGAGGACTTATTTTGGGATGAAATATATTGACCTTGGGATATCAATGGGACTTTTCAGGTAAGTATAGCAGGAATCTGTTGCTTTATAGCAGAAGCATGAAAGAGGCAGGTGTGGGGATAGAGTGGTGATTGCCGAAGTTCTGTGAATGAAAGAGATTTCAACTAAAAGAGAGGAGAAGACAGGATGGAGCCTTGTGGCATGCTCACACAAAGGGATGGAAAGAGGACAGGAGCCCTGAAAGGAGATAGTTCAGCTTATGAGAAATAAAACAGGAGAACCAGATGAAGGCTTTGTAAGAGAATCCAAAGGAATAAACAGATGGTCAGCCATCAGGAACTTCAGAAAACTCGAGCAGGAGCAGGACCATTGTATCTAACAATGGAGAAAGTACCGATCAGCCAGGGAGAATACTTGAAAGAAAGGGTCTACCTTGTTTATGTTGGTGTCCTGGAGGAATTGGCTCTAACAGGGGTAGTGGGAGAACAAGAGCTTAGAATGCTACCCTAGTATAAAGCTGAGACTAGCATGGGCGGCCATGAAGAGTGGGGTATCATGTGGTAAACGGGCTGACAAACATGGCCATCTCATTATAAAATCGAGATAGAAAGCCCCCAATTCTATAAGGTTAGTATTTTTTCACCACTAAGCAAAATAAAGAGCACAAAAGTTGGAACCAAAAGAGAAATCATAATGGCCTTGTAATATAAAGTTAACCACACATAGTTAGTGTTATGATTTTTATCTGTGTATTTTAATCCAACAAATCAACACATTTCCAAGATTCAGCAAAGGCAGTTATGTAAATTTGCATGAATATAAGATTTAGGGCCAGAGAGTATAGGCTCAAAGACTTCAGTTTGAAAGAATAGTGAATACAAATGTTAATGATGAATGAAAATTATGTGCTGTTAGCCCAAGAAGTATTACTTGACCTTTCCTGCACTAATAGTATGACAGTAATGATGCAACTACCATGGACTGAAGCAGACACATGCAGTAACATTTGACTGGAAGTCTATATCACTACCCATAACATGTATGGCCGATTACAGGCATTGACATCAGCAGCACTCATGTTATGATTTGGATGAGCATAAGCAGATTTGATGGCTACAGGAAAAGCACCATGTTTTCCTCCTCTATAGGTAAAAGGAGGTCACATTGTCAGCTTTCCCTGGTTTCATTTTCCTCATCAGAAAAAAAATGAGAAAGTTGGATAATATTATCTCTAGTACCCTTTCAGAAATAAGGTTCTGATTCTCTGACTTCAAGGACCATCTTCCAATATCCATTAAAATATTAAAAATTCAAGAAAAGATGCTTGCTGAGCTCTTGATTGAATGAAGTTTGAGAAAAGGGTGGATTACTGCAGGTTTTGCAGGCCAACATTTGTGTAGAATGGTAATCTTCAAAATTATTGACTTTGCACCTCCATTATTAAAAAATTGAGCACAAACTACTAATATATGCATATTTATTTATAAGTTATATACATATATGGTCAGATTTATACATACATTATAAAAAAGACACAGAAAATAAATTGGGAAAGTATGATACAAGAAAAAGAAATCCAAGGTACTCCATGGGATTAGCACATCCCACTTTGGAGATTATTTAGAGAGACAGGTGTTTGCTACCTTACACTAAAGACCTAATAGTGTGACTAATAAGTTTTACAACTTAGCAATCATTTTATTTGATGAGAAAGTATTCCTAAAGCTTAAACATGTTAAATTAGGAATAAATAAAATAAATAAAACATAGTTGTTCCTTGCTTTTCAAAATGACAAATTCTTCCAAGAAGCATTTTTGACAGTAACAATTTGAAGCCTAGTCTGATTTTTATCAACATGGTAAATCTGACTTTTGCCAACATGAAGCTTGCCCTTGTATTGTCAGCCATCTCTCTGATGTGGATGTTTACATTTGTGATTTTAGATCATGCAGAATAGATTTGCATTCTATTTTATTATAGACAGGAACAATTATGGAGTCTAAGCTGTCTAAACTATTAAAGCATCTTCAAATCCTTTTTCAAATTCTACTGTCAGAACTAAAGAGGCAAAAATGACTCCCTGACTAATCAAATACCAACTGTATATGGTGGAAAAGAAGGCTTGATCTACACGTCATTTCTTTAAACAAATCTAAATAAACTTGCTCAATTCAGAAATAATTCCTCTCTACTATAACAAACATAGGATGCAGATCTATGCCATCTCAGGAATGGCTTTAACTTGTTGGCCTTTATTCTAGAAAACAGTAGTTTAATATCAGCTCTATTAAAATAAATTACTTTTTAGCCAATATTATTCACCAAGCAATTAAATGAATTCATTCAAGTAATTGTTTCTATATATTAAGATTCATCCCTAAAGCGTGACACAACTCACTTGCAGCACAACAGAATTGACAAGAGAGGCTGGAACTGGGTCTGCTGGTTCCAGGGATCTTGTATTCTGGGCCAAGGAGACAGCAAGGTCAGCTCAGGAACCACAGAGACTCCCAAGGGTTCTATCCTTCATTCTGAACTATGCTGACCCATCCTTACTGGGGTCATCTTCCTCCTTCTCTCTTAAGAAGAAAGATGGTGAGGGCTGGAGTAGCTCAAGTACTTTCCACTTCGGGCAGGACTGATTCAGGAACTGAAGAGGTGACAACACATAGCACTTAACATTTTCTAGACAAAATAACATATTTCATATTCTATGACACAGAACTTAAAGGTCTCAATTGGAGATCTGTCCAAAAACATGAGCAAAATTTAATCTCTTTGGAGGGGTACGCTATATACTGTCTTTGGGCATTTGGCATCCATTTATATCTTGCTCTCTCTCTCTCCCTCCCCTGTACTGAAAGCCTGGAAGGATAAAATTTGCATTTCTCAGATTCCTTTGCAACTAAGATTCTGGATATATTGTGATAGGCACTTGGAAGAGATTTGAAAAGTGGAAGAAAGTTAAAGGCTGTCTTCCTGCAACAGTGGCAGCTGACAACCAAGGTCTGGACTCCACGTTTCTCGGTCTAGTCAGCAGCATCATGAGTGGAAGGCAGCCATATTCATGGCAGCAGTAGTATTAACAGTAGCAGTAATTTTCTGAAATCTGGTGCACAGCAGACCTTGAAGCCAAAAGACATGTTGCAATCCCCTGACTCAGGCTTTTCCAGCTCTTCTGCTGAGTGTGTAATCACTTAGTTTCCTGCATTAAATCTCTTTCTACTGGAAATACCTAGAGTGTTTGCTGCACTATATCCAGATAGAGACAGAAGGACTTTTGACCCTACACATTGATACCTCTGAAGGTCTCCATTTTTTATTTACGTATTGTACAGATATCCCTTTTAGGGCACACATACAAGCTTCCCAGACAAAATGTCAATTTCACCACTTCAGGTCTTCATTGGGAAGTTAAAACTTTGAATGCATGTTGTCCAGCACCTCCTAAAAGCCAATTCACAAAACAGATATCGAAAAAAGATATGTTAACTCTTCCTTCCTCTGCATACTTTAAGCTCTGTTTCTGCGATATAATTTCAATTGGAGTTATTGAAAGTTGCATATGGGTCTTTCAAATGATCCTTACATAAGAATTTAAGGGACCAATTTCTACTAGCATTTATTGCCAGAAAAAACATTTTTTTTTTTGCTTAGTAATCTTGATAATAAGAATAATGTAATCCATTTTCTTTCCTTGGTTTTGTTCTGATTTTCAAAGGCTCAAAGTCATATTAGGAATTAAGTGTGGCATCTTTCTGGACAAATTATTTTTATCTTCTTTCTTCTTGGTTTCTGATCATTTATTTCTATTTTAATTATACACATTAGAAAATGGGTACGTAGGATTTACTTTGAAATAAGGGATATCTGTACAATACATAAATAAAAAATGGAGACATTTCCTCCCTGCTTTATATCAATAACTGTTATTAGCCTCAGTGCTGTTTTCTATCTATCTATCATCTATCTCAAAAATATCTCTCATTTTATATTTCTTAGTCATTGATGCAAAAGCCTCTTGGATGGTGTGTCTTATACACAAAATAATAGCATCAAAGAAACTCCTTAAAAATAATTGTTTTCTCAATGCTCTGTAATAGTCCTAAAGCTGATTCATAAAAACCAATGAGCCAAAGCGAAGCAACCAAGAATACTGTAAACAGTGAAGAGTTAACTTTAAAAGTGTGAGTAAAAACCAAACACAAAAATCTCTCTCTGCTTTTTTCCTTCTAATATTCTCCTCACACAATTTCCTGTTAGTCTCTCTGACTTTTCTAAGAGATATTATTCCCTTTTCCAGTACCAATTTCAGCAGTGATGGCCTAAAAGGTTCTGGTGCCCCAAGTGAGACTAGATTATAAGACTCCATATGGGGTCAAAGATAGGAGGGTTCTTAGGGATTTTTACCAACAAAATAAAAGCGGTGGGGTTTCACATCACTTCAAAGTAAGGATACCAATAGAAGCAGATTCTCTTCTTGTCATATTGATAGAGATGCAGAAAGATCCCTCCTGTCATGTCAGTGGGAACACTGACGGCCTGAGTGGGGAATTGAACTATAAACTGGAGAGTTTTGTGAAATTTGGCGTCACACACACACACACACACACACACACACACACACACACACAGAGTGGAGAATATATACATACACACACACACACACATATCTATATGTATAGACACACCCACAGATACCACAGATACTTGAGGTTGAGAAAGAGATTTTCATATATTAGCAATGCATGTCTTGCCCTCTAGTAAGTTTTCTTTACATCCAATGTATCTCCAGGAGATTTAACTGAAGTACAGAGGCTTCCAGGATGAGTTTGACATCACCCTTGGGTTTCCCACATGCTGAGAGAAAGGAGCCAAATGATCTTACTGGGGAGGTCAGGAGCAGTGAGAAACCCACTGTCTCCTGTCTTTTTTTTTTTTTTTTGGTTTCTTTTTTTTAGAAGTCACTATCTGTGAGTCCCAGTATCCTGTATACTGTTGTCTGGGGACCAGTAGGCAAAGGGACTTAGATTTCTTGTGACTTTGTCTTTGTATCTATTGTCTCAATATGTACAAGCCACTTCTAATGATTCTTAGTGATGTCGTTCATTGGACAATAGTAGTCTTGAAGGAGGGAGTAAATAATTAGTGCTTTTTAGGATGTTGGAGAAGTACCACAGAATATTTGTATTCAGTTTTCCACGTTAATGTTCTGAAAGCCACATAAGAATTCCATTAACTAAGAACTTTCACCTCCATCTAATAGCATACTTCTCAATTCCGTGATCAGTAGAATTAACACTGATTCAGAGAAGGCTTACTTTCTTTAGAAAATGCTACTTTGTGTCTTTGAAACCAGAGGAAATGATGCTTAGGGTAGTAGACCATAGTCGTTCTGGCTGTGCTCTTAACCAGCACAGCCAGGCTTTGCACTGCAATCACAGATCTATTTGGTTGGAGTTCTGGCCACTTCCCATTCTAAACCTCGATATCCTTATATGAGAAATAGGCACAGTAAGAGAATCTATCTCATATGACTGTGAGGATTAAATAAAATGATGCATGTGAAGTGTTCAACCCAAGGCCTGGCATATAAAGAGCTCATTAATTATGAGGTTCTGAGGCAGCCTTAGAAACAAACTCTCCTGCTCCCTCCCAGTGGCTCTCTCCTGGTGTCTCTGGCTCTCCCAGTGCATCTGAGTCATGCTCTCGCCACTACTGACAGTCTGGTTCTCCTGTCTTGGTCTATTTGTGCTGCTATAACAAAATACCCAAGCCTGGGTAATTTATAAAAAGCAGAAATTTAGTTCTCATAGTTCTGGAGGCTGGGAAGTTCAAAACCAAAGCACTAGCAAGTTTTGTGTCTGGATAGGGCCCTGTGTCTGCTTCCAAGATAGTGACTTGTTGCTGCATCCTCCAGATGGGATGAACTCTGTATCCTCACATGGC
Source organism: Homo sapiens (assembly GCF_000001405.40). Lineage (NCBI taxonomy): Eukaryota > Metazoa > Chordata > Mammalia > Primates > Hominidae > Homo > Homo sapiens. The sequence goes on along the minus strand of NC_000007.14, from coordinate 96,907,887 downwards.
CTAACTAGTTCCCTCCAGCCCTTTGAAAAAGTATTAATCCATGAGAGATAAGCCCTCATGACTTAATCACTTCACCCAAAACTCCACCTATTAATACTATCACAATGGAGATTTAAGTTTCGACACATAAATTTTGGTGGATATTTGGACCATAGCATTTCCCTATATGTTTTATTTGGCATTCAGGAAGGAGCTAATATGATTAATTGACTAAGCTAAATACTATCTTCTTACTGAGCAGAGTTCTTTCACACCATGTGTCAGCCATGGGTACTCACAAAGGGGAAAGTAATATGAAAATCCATTTATTACAAGATACTTTATTCCAGGACATTGAAGAATGACAGTCAGTCATTATTAATTCTTCTAGAGCTTCCTCTTTAATTAGAATAGTTTTGCATATTCAGGAATTAGATTAGGATGGTAATTTGCACACTTAGATCATTTTAAAGGCAGTCTAAGAAAATCCTGTTTCCACCTGGTCATATCTGATTTCAGTGACAATTAGAATGCTCTTCGTTGAGGCTAAGATAGCCAGACTCAAACCATGGATATCAATACTTTTGTATTGATATCTTGTAAACTTCAACATATTCTCTCTTTAGAACTAGCTCTAGCCCAACACTTGAAGGGGAACAATGCCAGACTCTGCTTCCTAATCGTGTGTAATTTCTAATTAGCTGCAGAAAATTTTCACTCCAAATAGCCCCAAGCACCCAACAACAACAGCAATCCAAACTAGCTTTTAATTTTTTGGAAGTTATGTTAGTAAAGTTCTTATTATGCCATGTGAAATTCTACCCAGCTATTTGCCAGAGATGTTTAAAGGCAGCCTGCTACTTTTTGGGTGGTTAATACCTGAGGCAAAATTTAGAAAAGAAACATGAAAGTTCTTGTACTACTTGAGGTTAATTACCTGTGTGGTGAGGCTTAAGTATTCAGCTTATGTAAAATACTGATCTGTTCACTTCTCCATCTAGAAGGGTATAACTTGAACTGAAGATATGTTATTTTCAGTGGAGTTTTGGGTACAGATTTCTATGAGTGCATATGAATGAATGAAATTTTATTTTATTTTAAAAATGTATTTTTGTATAACACAACAGCCAAGAAATAAAATAGGAGTCAGTGAAATTTCACATAGATGAGAAAATTCACAGCATCTTTATGCTAGGGTCAGGATAATTTCCATTTCTCTGAAAGTAAAAAACCCAAATCACAATTTTCTTAATGTACTTAATGTCTACATGTAATGTATTTAAAAGAATTATGGAAACATATAACAGTCACTTTAATTGCCATTAATTGCTCTTGGTTTTTACTTGAGATAGACATTGATTTTTTTTGTGGCATTTATTAGTTTTAAAGTTGAAATGGCAACATTTTAGCTTTAGTTTTGGGGTCAGGAGTTAAAACACAGCTGGGTATGCCATCAATTTAAGATAATTTATCAGGTTGCAGGATAATTATGAAACCAATGGATATTTTCATAAAACAGATACAGATTCTAAGCTCCTGTAGAAAATTATAAGTAAATATTATCAGGAAGGTTCTGAGTCATCTACAGAGAAAGTATTAACCGAATCAGCACAGAAAGTTCTAGTTTGTTCTCCTTTTCTTAGCATGGAGAACTGAACCACGAATGGCAGCTATGTGCGCACAAACTGGCCCCCACATACTTCCTCCCACCCTGTGGCTAACAATTTATGGACAGTATGATATTCAAATGAAAACTAATACAAGTGATAGTGATTGTGTCTCATACCTTTCTTGAAATTCAGTCAACTTTGAGTAAAATGGCTCAAATAGTGACTTTGTGAAGAAACAGCAGTGGTTACAGACCTGATGACAATTAGGATTATGCTGAGTGCTCAGAGCTTTCTAGGATTCTGCCTGGAGTGTGTTGCTTTCACAGCAGGGTGTGCCATGCCATTTGAGTTGGATTTTAAATGTACAGTTTGAAATATTCAGAATCAGTCAGGTATGATGTTTCATGCCTTCATACCAGCACTTTGGGAGGCCAAGGCAGGAGGATCTCTTGAGGCCAAGAGTTCAAGACAGCCTGGACAATATAGCAACACCTCATCCCTAAAAAGAAAAAAATAACTGGGCCTGGGGTGGATGCCTGTAGTCTCAGCTAATCAGAAGGCTGATGTGAGAGGATTGCTTGAGCCCAGAATGTTGAGGCTGAGGTGAGTGGTGATTCCACCATTGCACTCCAGCCTGGGCAGCAGAGTGAGACCCTGTCTCTAAAATTAAAAAAAAAAAAAAGAAAAATAAATATTCAGAATGCTCTTTAGTCTGGATATGGTCTGTGAGAATGTCTCTGATCTGAATAAGAGATGGGTGAATGAATACCTGCTGTATTGTTTCATGTTTATGGCAGGTGAACACAGTAACTTCCCATCTTAGTGAAATCCCACTGCTGTTCTCTATGGACATCAGTATCACCAAAACATTAGTGTTCAGCTGAAGTGATTGGGGAAAATAGCCAGTGCTATCTAGGGAGCAGGCCTTGGTCAGGAAGGACAGTAGAGCATAACTGAATTTGTTCCTGTGACCTCCAGAAATCCCAGTCACCTGAGGTCTTCAGTGTTAACTTTTCCATTTTCTCTCTCAAGATCTCAAACCTGAGAACAACCAAGTTACAGATGCTCCCATTAGTACTGATTCCTTTGGCGAAATGTATAAGGTTTTTGGATATAAAAGAGGCTGCCCAGCATGGAATTGGGTGGAAGGGTAGGGGAGGGCAGAGAAATTATTAGGTATGTCCTTCTGATTCTTCCTGAGTGTTATGAAATAGTCATTTGGATAGAAGTAGTGACAGGCAAGCCTAACAGAGAAACCCAACTGAACCCAAAATAATACACATAAACACACAGTACCCAAGAATCCATTATTTTTTTACTGTGTGTGAAAGAGATCTGAAACAAGAAGTCACACAGTCTGATTGTATTTTAAAAAATGAAGCAGAATAAAAAACCACAAATATACCCTAATTAACAAACTAAAAATAAAATACATGGGAAACCCACAGGAATTAGTACAGATTTTCCTGCTAATCTTTTCTAAGTTTCTTCCGGCTTCTAGGAGAATGAGGACTATCTAGTCTGAGAGTCTGACTAGATAGATAGCTGGGCTGTAGCCACGCTTAAGTGATGGTCCATATCACAGAAAGGAAAGTCCCTCTAGTCTGGCTGTGCATCTATTTTAATTCCCTGAGCAGAGAAGGAGCTTAGGAGAGCCAACTGCTCGACACTGTTAACCATTATCACTTGATAGTGCTTTTTGAACACGCTCTGTGTGTATGAGCCTCTACTAGGACTTGGTAGAGGTCAGCTTTCTCAGGATCTTTTTGTGTGTGTGGGCCAGGGGGCTTACAGAATTTGCATTCTAGAAAGTGCACATTAACTAGAATGTAGTATCAACCCAATTCCCCTTCTCCTCCCTTCTCCCTTTGCTTTCTCCAGAAAATCCTCCCATCAGCATATGGTTGTCCCCACACTACTCCAGTTCCCCAATCTATCCTCACCGAAGTAGGGATTATAGCAGAAGCTCTGTAGTGGAAGAGGGAGGCTTTGTAACAGTAACTTGCACCAGGATCTTGTGGCACAGACTTCAGCCATAGTTGTTATCAACCAAGCTCCCTGGTACCCCATGCCCTCCAAAACACACACAGATTGTGGTCTTTGAGCCTCCTCCCTAACAATTAGATACAGCTGATATTCTTCTAGGCCTGGGGCCTCATCTGGACTCCATCTCATCTTGAAACTCTACTACTGAAGAATACATTGCCTGTTGAAACCTGCCTGGCCTCTTGACTCCTGACCACAGAACTCAGGAGAAACTTCCCTTTCTCTGAATAACCAGGGCACTGATCTTTTCCTTTCCCATTGAATTTATCACATTATACCTTATAACTATTCAAATTTTAAGATGTCAGTTACTTAGTAGCAATACTTTTTTTCATCTTTGGTTTACATGCAGTACTACAAAGGAAGGAGCTAAAATTCTCTGAGTTGTCTCTGGATCTAATCTGAACCTTGCATGAGTAGAGATGCAAAAATAATTGCTAGATAAATTATTTATTGTGTCCCAGCATTCCTTTAGCCTCTGACCTTCAAGCCTTGCTAGTAGCTATAAGATAGTCCTATATATAGGGTTGTGAGGAAATAATTAGGTGTTTGAATGCGTGCTATGGAAATGAAATGTATTTTCAAACTCTTCATCCAGGTACTATATTGGAGGATTCAAGAGTGAATAGTTGACTGACTGCAGTCAAATCTTGATGCTTTTCTGTTTTTTTTGCAAGAAAAAGTGAAAACACTATAAAATTCATGCACACATTCATTCACTCAACTACTCGTGAAAAATAACATTCACAAGCTACTCATGAAAAATAATATTAGATGGTATTATAGAATGTATTCATTACAAGTTTAGTTTAGCACTTCAAGAAATCCAAGAGTTATTAAATGATTCAACCTGTGCTCCATGTAACAGTTATTTTTCCTAGAAAGGTACTTTCAAACTCTAACATGCATACACATTATCTGGGGCATCTGGTTAAAATGCAGTTTCTGATTCCATTGGTTGGGATGAGGCCTGGGATGCTGTATTTTTGACAAACTCCAGGTGATCCTGATGGCCCGTGGATCACACTATAAGAGTGAAGGCCTTAGGAGACCTTGTTCTTGCTCTGAATGACTATGCTTAAGAGGTCATGTCTAACAGAAAGAAGACCCATGCATAACCTAGATTCTTCCTTCTCCATGTAGTGCCTTGGGCAAAGGAGCTTCTTTTGAGCATTTTAAAAATGGGATTATAATGTCAACTCCACCTCTTTTAAATGAGTTGCTAAGATCATATGAGATGCCTGTGAGAGAACTCCACAAATAAAAAGCAGCATGATTAATATTGATAATGATAATTACTAATTTCACACTTTAGTTGAAATGTGGAGTCTTGAGTAATAGTAATTTCAAATGGGAAAAGGACGAAAGCTTTTAAAACACAAATATCTCACTGGTGTGATTACTTAACCTACAGAAGAGTTGGGTGGAATCTGACAGAGGGTGTCACCTGGGTGAGAGAGATGCTAAACGTGGTTTCCAAGGTGGGAACAATAGACACTAGAAGAGAGAGAGAGGGAGTGGGGCAAGGGCTGAAAAACTACCTATTAGGTACTATGCTCACTACCTGGGTGACATGATCACTTGAAGCCCAAACCTCAGAGTTATCCAATACACCCATATAACAAACCTGCCCATGTAACCCCCAAATCTAAAATAAAAATTGAAATTAAAGAAAGAAAGAAAAGGAAATATGGTCTACAGAAAACTTTGCTGTGTGTTGAGTGGAAGCGATGCTCCTTTGCTGCCATTTAAATGGGACTTGGTAAAGAAACAAATCCATGCAAAGGCTTTGGTATCTAATTTGCATTTATATTTTTATGTCATTTGACTTGCACATCAACCCCAGGCATTGGCATTATTTATTCCCATCTTAAAGATAAGGACCCACGAGCTCCATGAAGGCAAATCCTGCATTCTTGTCCTCAGCATAGCATTCTCAGCAGTAGTACAATGCTGAAACAGAGTAGGCATCCTAGACTATTTGTTTAATGAATGAATCAAACATGAGGTGTCTTGTTCAAGGTCACACCCTATTAAGTGGTGGAGCAAGGCATTGTCCCAGATCTATTTGGCTTCTAAGCCAAATAATGGCTTGATTCCAAGATTCACGTGAAGTCTTTGTTAGAAATACAGATCCTTGGCTTCTGCAGACCCTTGGAGTTTCTCACTCAGCTGCCTAGGCTGAGCCCAGTGATTCATATTTTTAATAAGCGACCCAATGGATCCCTTTGACTCATTCATATATTGAACATATATTTATGAAGCATGTAATATATGTTAGTCACTGTTCTAGGTGCTGGGGTGCTTTCAGCAAACAAAACAGATCAGAATCCCTGCTGTGGGACATCAAGCCAGTTTAAGCAATCCTGCATTAAACTGTGAGGACATTGGTTTCTGTAATTCAGTTAGAATTAGGATCCAAGGGTGATTTCCTTCATCCTTTCACTCAAATTTGTTGTGAGCAGTAAGAGCATCTTGAGCAGATGAAAGCAATTTCAAAAGGTCATCTTTTGAGAAGGAGCCAGGGCTTTTTGGGTGGGGCAATTTTTCATTGTATGAGCCTTGTTTAGCATCCCTGACCCTTGGCACTAAATACCATGAGCACTACCTCACTGGGACAAATGAAAATGTCCCAGCTCCTCCATCCCCTCCTTTTCCTGTTGAGAACCCCTGAAGAGACTGAAGTAGACACATGCCGGCAGGAGGATGCTCTGCTGAGCCTCACCTCCACCATTTGAGGGCTTTGTAGCTGGTAAAGAGGATTTCTTGGTTCCTTCTTCTGAAGATCAGGCCCTATTTAATTTCATAGAGATATTTTGTCAAGACAATGTTGTATTTTAATTATCTATAATGCTTTCAGAAATCATTCATTTTAGATTTTTAAACTATTGCATGAAAAATCTTGATTGCTATCATTTAACATGTGTTGCCCCTCTTTTTTTTAAAAAAAAAACATGAATAGAAATTTCAGGTACTTCAAGGAAGGAAGTAAATGACTCCCTGTGTTTAAAATGTCTGCTACTTTAACAACCTGTAGTTACTTACTGACTTAAATGAGTAACCAGCATAATTGCTGTATTTTTAGTCCTCAAAAATCTGTTTCTGTAATGGAAATCTTCATGCAATCAGTATAATCAATTGCAAAATTAATAAACTAGGGCGATCTACAACACAGCTTTTTCTGCTTTGAGAAATGAGGGGAAAAATACCTCCATGTGTGGTTTAGTCCTGAAAGACTTTTAGTAACAAATTCTGAATTGTATGGCCTTACTTTGAAGTTGCTGATGACGCTCATTTTTCTGTCATTTTCTTAAACGTTTTCTGTGCCAAACTCAGCATTTAAAATGGGCAGAAGGCAGTAACTTAGGGAACCTCTTAGGGGGACAAATTTTTCTCAAAGAATTTTGCATAAAATGTCTGTAAGCAATTCCCTATTTTAGAAAAATAGCGAAGCTACTTACATGTTCATGGAAACACGTAGAGACATGTGGAAAATAAACCATTTATCTCAAGATTTTCATCTTGTTAGATAAGAGATGTACTCCATTTGTTATAATATCAGGAACAAACTTAACACAGTTGTCATACAACAATACAGTGAGCTCAGATTGTTAAGAATCGTGGCTTCCTATTTGCAATTTGAGAAAGCATTTAGTGGGGTTTGTGCTGGGTGGGCAACCTATATTGCTCTAAGAAATGCAGTTAGTTGCTGAAGTATGCCTGTTCTAATATTCACAATAACAACTGCCTCAATATCTTTTTTTCTAGGAGGGCAATATTTAATTTATGTTATTAGTAATGTCATAAAAGGGGCAAAAGATATAAAGGTTTAGCCCTTCTTAGGAATTGTCTGTTTTAAGATTATTTAATTTCTTTTTCATTGCATGATATAAAATGAGCCAAGTGTCCCTTATTGAGGGCTTCCTAGTCTTGTTCCACTGAATTTGCTAGCTATCATCCAGGAGGGCCTGCTTCTGAGTAGGTGTACCCCACTTGAAACCATCCTAGGGAAGCCAAGTTCAGTAATTTCTAATAGTCCATGTGTGGTCTGAAATCAAAGCCTGCAGAAAATTTTAGATATCTAAATATTATAAACCGAATCAAAATCTATAACATTTTGATTAACAAAATATTTTTAAAGGTCTTTCTTTCCAAGTAACCAACAAAGCATGGTGCACAAATGAAGAACACTTTAATTTTTTTAAAAGTTTTTGTTGACTTTTAGTACTCTCTAAATGCAAATATAAAACTAAATAGGGAGAGCTACATTTTCTGTTCATAATAAGCCTTGTTTTATTTTGCAAAGCACAGAACTTCCCCCAGTTTAGGTTTTGTTAATGAAAAATAGAGAAATATAAAAAGGCAAACTCAAGAATAATTTGCTGTGGAAAACCAAAGTTAAAATGGGTTATATCCAAAAAAGAGTTGGTTTGTATTGTCCTGGTTAGTGAAAGAAAGAGAAAAAAATTATTGATACAAACCTCAAGCTCAGTTGCTGTTAATATTGGTGTCATAAAAGTTAATTACCTAAGTAGAAGTTTGTAATATGTATATATGTAGTTATGATATATTTTACATAGTTGAGATTTAATTTTGAATTATATTTTTCTATTTTGTGCCAAATAAAAAACACAGCACATTTATGGACAATAACTTTAAAGAAAATAATCCTGTGGATTAAAAAAAAAAAAAACCTGTTCATACCATTGACAACATGAGAGTAAAAATAAGGTTTTTTACTTTATAGTGTGTTTCTTTATTTCTTTCATAGTTTGTTTCTTTATTTCTTTCATATCCTTGAAAGCAGATTTATTTTTCATGAACAGCAAAGACATAGGCCACAATGAAATACAAGCACTATGTAAAGACAGACACACTCATTTAACAACTAGCTGCTATAAAAATAAATTACACATATGACTCAGGGAAGTTGTTAATAATCCTACTTTGTTTACATTATGCTTAGAAAGCAACATAACTTAATGAGATAAGATATTAAGCTAATGGTGTATCTTGGAATCATAACGTTTTCAAGCTCTGCCAAAACTGTAGGCAGATTGAATGTGGGTAGTTTATACTGATAGTGTTTTCAAAAGAGGAAATGAATAAGGCCCTGCTCAGGATAGAAGCTATGCATTCATTACCTAAGAAAGAATATTAAGTACAGATAAATTAGTGAGCTGCTTTGAAAGGACACAGCTCAAATAACAAAAATGGGGAACAGTTCAAGAATCTTGGGGGTATATTTAAGAACTGTGGATAATAATAATAATAATAAACCTATAGAAAGCCCATAATAACAAGTGACCAAGTTTCCAAAAAATCACGTGGCCACATTCTAAAGCAGGTGAACAGTGTTTAGAATTTTCTACAAAACCAAGTTTCTTCCTACTCCCCGAACTCTTTGAATGGGTTAGTTACAATGAATTTGGCCATACTCAATTTTACATTTTTATTACTCAGAAAAACATTAAACTTTTTAACCTCGGAGTTGCCTATTTGATTTTTAAAACAATATGATATTCAAGTAGGTAATGCTCACTCTTATCCACCCTTTTTAAAGGGCATAACTGATTGACATGGTAAAGCAATTTCTCCTCATCTTAGTGAAAAATGTAAAAGTAAAAGTCATAGATTATGGTTTTACGTGCCAGAAACTTGGATGGCAACAACATGTAACATGTAATGAGCACCATCACCCCAGTACAGCACAACATCTAAAAGCAGATTCTTTGCACAGTTGTCTGCAGGCTTGGTTTTGTCCTTTCAAAATCGACTTAGTATTGCTTCCTCTCTCGTCCTACACCCAAGCTTTGCAAAGTGCCAGAAGAAAAAAAAGAAGAAGCAATACCAAACCCCTACTTTGCCAAATTAGTCAGAAGGCAGGATCTAGAAAATGTAGACATTATCTGTTTTGCACCAGTAAAACACACCACAGCCAGGTCAAGCATATGCACTTTTTCTAAGGGAAAGGTACAGCATGTGTCGGTACATTCAACTTTATATAAAAATAAATACATTTCAAAAGACATAAGGCAAGGGCAACAAGAGAAACATAATTTGCAAAGTTTACTGCTAACTAGTGAGAAGATGGCATGACGCTATTTTGCTCTTGCATCCAGAAAGTGACACTATTTTTATGGGTAGAGGGAACTGATATAGCATAATTAGCTCTAGATCCAATATTGAAAGCATTGCGTACCTTGAAGATGATGCTATCAGGTGAACATAAGCTGGCAAAAGGTTATGCCAAAATAATATGGTTCAATTGGTAGATTATTGATCCCTATTACTTCTCAATTCTTTCTATGAAACCAATTCAAATTAAAGGAGCAAAAGGAAGTGAGCATCATAGTAGTCAGTCCATCATTCCTTCAATTTTTATCTTGCCAGTGATTACAGAAGTCTCAGGGAAACAATCCATAGGCTGTTTTTTTTTTCTATGTCCTAGGGAATGGTTTCTGGTTAACTGCTGCATAACAAATCACCCCAAAAGTTAGTGGCTTTAAGCAACATTAATCATTATTATCTCATAGTTTCTTGGATCAGAATTTGGAACAGACTCATGTAGATTTGGCCTGGGGTCTTTTACATGGTTGTAGACAAATAGTAGCTGGTACTATAGCAGTGGCCTAGAGGAGCTGGAGGCTGGCCAGGCATATCTCCATATCTATCTATCTATCTATCTATCTATCTATCTATCTATCTATCTATATATCTTTCTATCATCTATACCTATCATCTATTTATCTCTATCTTATCTATCTATCTATCTATCTATCTATCTATCTATCTATCCATCCATCCATTTATCCACCCACCTACCTACCTATCCATCTATCTGTGTATCATCTTCATATTGTCTCAGGCTTCTCCATGTGGTCTCTCCTGGTGGACTAGTTTGGGCTTTCTCATAGCATGGTGGCCTCAGGAGAGTCTGACTGCTTATGCGGTGGCTCAGGACTCCAGTATGAATGTTCCATCAAGCAAGGTAGAAGATATAACTTTTTTTCTGACAGGCTCAGTAGTCACACACACTGGCATTACATTTTATTGGAAACCAGGAAGGAGAAGAATTAGACTGAACTGACTCTTAATATGGGAGGTTTAGAAGATCTTATGCAACCATAGATATTGTGGATGGTCATCTTTGGAATACATTGTCACAGTGCCTTTAACTCTGAAATGGTTTGTCAGATTGGTGATGTGATATTTTGGGTAAAAATAGATGTATCCTTTGTTAGTAGATGACTGATGATGAACTATTATGCTAAAAAAACCCTAATAATCTTTTGACTCCTTGAGTCAAGATATCTCATTTGTCAGTGATACCTCCACTGCATGGAAACCCCAGTAATTTCCCGCAGTGTTAGTAGGCCTTTGTTGTTTCTTTAACTTCAGGCCTTCCAGAAGGTCTGGAATTATACCTTTAGTTGAAACAGATTCATTTTTATTACAAAAATCCAGTGACAGTGGGAATAACAGAAAAGTGGAGGCCATTTGGCTCAGGTGAGAAAAAAGGAGAAATGTGATGCCAACACTGAACGGACAGGAGGGATGGGCTATATTATGCTGGCCTGGTAATCTCTCTCGGTATCACTTTCCCCTCCTGTAAAACAGAGAGCAGCACTTCTACCTTGCCTCACAGCAAAGTAAAGCAAAGCTAAGGAAAATGTTTGGGAAGCAATTTTCAAATACATGGTTCTTTCTGGATGCCAACTGGGAGTTGCAATGATGATACCTGGATTGTCTTGCCCTCATATCTATGGCATGATGGCATGGCCTTTATCTTCAGAAGGTGAGACCACAGACCTATCAGCCAGACATTTGCTTTGAATGTTTTTTTTTTTTTCCTCTAGTGGATTTCTGTTGAGCCACCCACATTCCTACCTGGTCTTTCTCTCCAACAGTAGAATGTCCTTGCTTGGTGACTGGCAGGGTCAGCTAAACCTCCACTAAAAGAAAGAAAATACATTAATCTGTAGTACTTTGATGTATTAAAAGCAAATTATAACCAAGAAACAAAAACAAGTTGATCAGAAAGGTCTGAAAAACCTCTTAGGCAAATATTTATTGAAATCTGATGTAAACTCTTGGGAATCTGCAATAAATCATAAATTTTGTACACTTGAAAATAGAAGTGAAAATCTGATAGTGTAAGCAACATTTTTAGTCAATAGGCGTCAGAAGTTTACCTTAAAAGGGTAACCCCAAGGGACAAAGATTGTTTTACTATGGTGAATCAGGATAAGCTCATCCTCTGCAAAAGATTTCTGTGGTACCCAAAGACAGGGTCAGCCCACTGGTTTAGTGCTACAGAGTGTTTGATTTGGAAGTAGTTTCTTCAAGATCAGTAGGGCTGACAAACTGAGGCCCTTCTGAACATGATTTTCTGAGATGAACATCACTGCAAAATTCCAAACCTATGGGGCATTTAAGGTGTGTTTATTGCAAGCTCTCGGGGGCAGGTTTTGGTTGTGGACAGCTCCACGCTGCAAGGGTAGAAAAGGTAATACTTCTTGGTGTTCGGATGGCGATGACCATTTATCTTTGATACTCTCACCTACCAGGATCATTAAATAATTCCTGACTTTTAAGATACCAGGAAGGAATCAAACCCCAACTGATTTTAAAAAAAACAGATTAGAAATATAGCAATTATTGCCTGGATAAAGAGATAAGAAAAGTTTCTAACAATCCTTTAAGTCAAATTATTTACTTGGAAGAGGCTCACCTATATGGCAAGCACAGCTTGATGCTTTTGCAAAGTCCTCTAACTCCCTTCTAAAAGAAGCCGTATTTAAGTAATCATCCATTTATACCATTTATACCGGCAGATAACTGCACACCAAGCAACACTTTGTACTTCTCAGAGAAAATTTGAAAGAAACAGATTTTCCTAAAATGGGAGTTCAGTGATATTTTGGGTTAAACACAGTGCTTCTATTGTTTCTGTAATTTAGAGTCCTTACTACCAGTGAGCAAAGAAAAGCAACGATTCCAGAGACTCCTGTAAGCCAGATAATATAGATGGTATTTCACACTTTTGCATTGTTCCTGGTGAATAACTTCCACTGGGCTAATTAGTCTTGGAAAGAATTTCAGATGTCTGTGTACTACACTGTTGAAAACTGGGCATAACAACAAGCAAACTACTCTTTGAATAAAATAACATTTCATGGACTCTAGGTACATCAAGGAAGTATAACCCCAAACTGAAAGACTGAGTTGCTCTGGATGGAAAATTGATATAAATGTCAGACTTTGTAACCAAAAACCTGCCAGACTTTTGCTTAGCAATTGCTTACTGTGGTTTCTCAATGTGTGCTTTGTATAAACAGATTAACATTGTTTTCTAAGTGTTTCCAAAGGGCCTAGAAACTAAGAATTACACATTGCTTCTGTCCATCCCTCAAAAACCAACAAACTCTTCCCCAAGCTCAACACCTGTAATTGAAAATCTACCATACAGTGGCCTTCACCTTCTGTGCCAACAGATGTGAAGATGCCAAGAGGTCCTTCAGATGTTTGTGCTTCTGGGTCTCATGGGGGCACCAGCATGGGGAGGGAAAATGATCCCGGAATTCTAAAGGTCATTGCTTGACTGAAATAATGAAAATTGCCCACATGTTGGAAAAAATACAGATGTGATTACTGGAAAGTCTGGCAATCAGACCAAGAGGAACTAACGGGGCTAGAATTTCAGAGAGAGAGAGAGAGAAAGCAAGGTGTACCAGAGTGAGAGAGAAATAATTATATTCCTCAGCCTTTAGGCTACCACAATCAAGTTCAAACATAAAATGGAAGAAATATTTACTTGTGCCAAAAGCAATAAAATGTCAACTGTTACCTAAACAAGCACTCATTTCTGAAAACAAATCTAAACATTAATAAGTAATTAAAGAAAGTGAAAATTATAGTTTTTTTAAACAAGAGAAGAATGGGATATATATATATATTTGAACTTTATTTTAAAACACTGATTGTATCTAACTACCATTTCCTTACAACTATTTTATTCTAAGGACAGCTTTCCTTTCTGATGTGTCTCTTCCCACTCTTCCCTTGAAGGTACTGGAACTCTCTGTATGGTGATGCTTATATGATTATATTTGTAAAAAGTTGCATTTTCTGCCCTAAATAAGCTTGACAATTATATGTCACAATGTCTGCTTTGTACTCTTTTTACTCTGGGTGATTTAGTGGGAGACCTAGAGGCAGGATGGGGTAGTGGAGAGCTCAAGGGGTTTAGAGGTTGAGTCAGAGCTTAGCTCCAACCCCAGCTGTATGGTCTGGGGTCATTTATTTTCATTATTTATGTATTCCTTCACATCTAGGGAGCAATGGGCTCTGAATATGTACTGGAATTAGAGATTGACACCCTACCCATACAGAGCTTTTAGGCGGAGAGTCCCCTATCTGAGTTCTGTGGGTAGGATAAGGGGGTGGAGGAGATCAGGGAATGCTCCCCAGAAGGTGTAAAGACTAGCGCCGGCCGGGCGCGGTGGCTCACGCCTGTAATCCCAGCACTTTGGGAGGCCGAGGCGGGCGGATCACGAGGTCAGGAGATCGAGACCACCCCGGCTAAAATGGTGAAACCCCGTCTCTACTAAAAATACAAAAAATTAGCCGGGCGTAGTGGCGGGCGCCTGTAGTCCCAGCTACTTGGGAGGCTGAGGCAGGAGAATGGCGTGAACCCGGGAGGCGGAGCTTGCAGTGAGCCGAGATCCCGCCACTGCACTCCAGCCTGGGCGACAGAGCGAGACTCCGTCTCAAAAAAAAAAAAAAAAAAAAAAAAAAAAAAAAAAAAAGACTAGCGCCAGAGGCTCATGTAGGAGTTAGCCAGTGGAAGGGCGGGGGTGTTGTGGAAAGAGTGCAGTAGACAGAGATAATGCCATATGTGAAGACCCAGAGGCGCTGGATCTGCAAAGACTCATTCCAGTGGTCTTTCAGCCTCATATATATTTGTTTTGAGACAAAGAAAGATGTAGGGTTTTGTCTAGAACTAGAATCTTTAAAGACAAACTTCAGAGATGAGATTACCAATGGTATCTGTTATAGTTATCAGTGGGTCTCATTCAAATTTTCTCTTTTTAGCCCAAAGGGTTCCTGGTAATGTACAAGGTGGAAACCTAAGGCTTTATTTCGAGTAAGAAGGAGGAACTTCTTAGGTTACATCAGCACTCTTGAAGCTACTGAGGTTGCAAACCTGGGCTTCCCCCACATCAAGTGCATCTTCCAAAATAAACACATATTTTAGCTTGATTCGTCTAGAATGTTGATATGCATAAAAATCACCTGGGGATTTTATTAAAATGCAGATTTTGATTCAGTAGGTCAGGGTGGTTCTGAGATACGCCATTTAAAGCTCCTAGGTGATCCCGATCCCTGTGGTTTGAGGACCCCACTTTAAATTGTAAGGTCTCAAAGTAGGTAAAGAAGTCTCCATTCAGGGAGATCAGTTTCCTGAAAGTTTCAGTATTTTAAATAATTTACTTAAAACACATTCTCTAATTTTATCTGTGTCTCTATGTCTCTGTCTCACCGTCTGTCCCTCTCTCTGTCACACACACAAACAGTTGTATATAGTTTAAATTCATCCTACTGGCTATACACAAATATGTAACAACTGACCAACCAAACAAGAATGAGGCAACTAGTCTGGTTATTATTGTCAGTCTTAAAAATGGATTAAACAAATATCCTGTCCACTATCATACTTTTAATGAGCTTATGCAATTTCACTTTTCTTTCTGGTGTGTTCTAGAATAGTAATGAAATATCAGAGTAACAGTCAAATACATGTGGCCTCCAAAATCCAAGAAGGCCTACCTGGTGTTGTATCTCTTTCTTCAATGTGGGAAGTCTGGAAGCAATATGTCTCTCTCCTTTAGAAGGAATATCGCAATATGCTCCAGAACACTGGTTTCATAGAAACTTCCCCATGGAGCAGGGCCCTTAAACTTTCCTTGCTTTATTTGTCTCTCTCCAGCACACGTATCTTATTAAGGCATTTGAGGTGCTTGCTTTTGCTCACTCATCAGATCCAATTAGTATAGCATTACAAGGTAATGGACCAGGGTGATGTTCTGTGGAAAAACAATTCAATCAAGATCCCTGTGAAAGTAATTCAGAGATATCTGGGGATTCAAAGCTACCAGCCTTGGCTGTGTTTGTCCAAATATCTCATCCCAATCATCAGAAGCCAAATTCTTTTCAACCTGTCTCCAATCTTAGTAAAAAGACACCAGGTGGTTGGTATATTTAAATTGGAATTGGCAATTCCAACTCTTACAATCAAACCTTGGCCTGATTCTCAGCCACATCTGCCCTGAAGGTACAGAGATAAGAAAATCTATAAAGCACCACAGAGGATCTCTGGTTCTCCACCTTTTGTGCTAGACCCTTATTGACTCCAATAGGGATGGCACCAGGTTTGAGAAGCCAAATAAGAGACCCAGAGCTAGCCAACAAGACATGGGGTTTGTTGAGGGAAACCTGCGTATACGGTGGTCCAGTGACAGCAGGCTGGACAGGAGAACTGCTGCCACTTTTAAAAAGCATGCAAATATCTTGTCCACTGTCACACTTTATGTAGCAGTTTATAAAGCACCATCAGTTAGCACTCTCCCTAACAACCTCCACCTGGCAACCTTCATTTAACAGAAAACATTTAACCTCGATCCCTCTACGAACCACGTTCCACAGGCCAAGCTGTGGCAGAGTGTGGGGGGTTGTGTGTTCCTCATGGATAAGGAATACATCTCCGGTTTGGCCATTGTCTGAACTCTGAACACACATTCAGGTGTGTCTGCCATACAGGGTCATTCTCAGCATATGCTTAAGTTATCGCCATCAGGTGCCTCTACCCTACCATACAAACTTAACCCTAAGGTTGGAAATTCAAGCTTTTATGCTTATCTTTTTCTTTAAATATACTTTCCAGAGCATTCCACCCTATCATTTTTAATAACCACCATTGTCACCATAGCAATTAAGAGCCACCCTGTCTGCTAGAGCCTTGGTCTCTACATTCACTTCATGCCACCTCTGGTGACCATCTGAGTGACCTATATACCTGAGTGCTACTGTATGCCATGGATTCCCAGTGTTTGCTGTCCTCCTGGCAAGGTGGTTTTCTGTGCGCTCTTCAAAGAGGAGAAACTCAGTCCCAGAATCTCATTTTGAGGATCTACTTGTCATACCTCATTCCTGGTATCAATTACTACTTTAGTCAAAGTCCTAGCAGAAATCAGGGCACACTCACAAGTTCTAAATTAAAACAAGACTAACCCAGTTGTTTTAAGAGCTGCCCATCAAAGTGTGCTGGCTGGAAAGAACCTATATTTTCTTCTATTCAACCATATAATATTACCTTTCACAGGTAAGTTTTATAAGCCATCTGGAATTCACCTTTGCATATGAGACAAATTTATTTTTTTCCATAAAACAACCAGTTTGCCATCAAGTTTGCTAAAAATTCATTACTTCCCCACCCACTTGTAATGCCACCTTTATCATATGTCACATTCCCACTGTTTCTAAGCTCTGTATTGTATTCCATTTTTCTATTTCTCTGTACCTACATTGCTTTTATTACTCTGGCTTTGTAGTATGGCTTAATATCTGGTAATCTATTCATGCACTTTATGTTCATCCATATACATGTTAGAGTCAGTATATTAAGTCCTTCAAACAATCCAGCATGCTCAATTACCAAAGGTGATTTTAAACTGCCACCCTGGGAAAATGAGTCTTGTTATCTCCAGCATTTCTGTTTTGCTGAGCAAGGTGCGCAATTTGAAGATAAGCTGACTAACTCATTTGTCCCTGGCGGTTTTCCTTCTCCACTAATTCCTACACAATGCTCCATGTCTCCTCCCAATAAACATTGACTGGTGTTATGGGCCAAATTGTGTCCCTTCCAAAATTTATTTGTTGACATTGAACCTCCAAATACCTCAAAATGGGACTATATTTGGCGATAGGATTTTAAAAGAGGTAACTAAGTTAAAATGAAGTTATTAAGGTTGGTCCTAATTTAATATGACTGGTGTCCTTATAAGAAAAGAACATTTGAACACAGGATCTAGAGGGAGGACCATGTGAAGACACAAGAAGACAGCCATGAGCTAAGGAGAGAGGCCTCAGAAGAAGCCAACACCTTGATCCTGACTTCTAGCATCCAGAATTGTGAGAAAATAAATTTCTGTTGTTTTAGCCACTGTGGTACTTTGTTATGACAGCTCTAGAAAGCTAATACAATCAGGTATTAAAAGAATATTGATTTAAAGGAGTGTGCCACAATTTAGCCTAGTTCTCATGCCCATATGCCTTAATCTGGCCCTTCCAAATCTTTGGCTCTAATTTTGGTCATTTTTTTTTTTCTGGAGAACAGGCCCACTTGTCAACTGTATTTTTTACCATTACCTACGTATATTTAACTGGCTTCTGGAGTTCAAGTGCTCCAATCTAAGTTGTGATGTTTTCCTTCAAGTCTGTTGATCTACAGTGATCTCTATCTTATATAATGGCTATGGAGAGACCTAGGAATCACCCTAGACCTCTGCACCCCCGATGCACCCCGTTGGATGCACATTAAGAGTATCCATTTATCCTGATTATTTCAGTCTCCCGAATGTTTCTTGCCCTGACCTCTTCCCATCTGATTACCATTATGTTGGTTCAGGCCAACATTGCTCCTTGCCTGAGCTTTGCTAAAGATGTGTTCTAATTTTGCTACGATTTGCTAAAGACCAGTTCTAATTCCTTTGCAGGACATTCAAGGCCTTTAATAATCTGGACCAACCTGTTAGCTGAACTTCTTTACTACCACACCTTGCTCATGCCAAGCACCCTTTGTTCCTGCCACACCGATCATTTTATACTTCCTCCAATATGGAACATATTTTCACACCTTCATGGTTTTGGTCATGTTAGTCTCCATCTGCAATGTATTTTACCCCCTATTTTATTGTTAAAAACTCAGCACATCTTTAATTCCCAAATAAACTGACATTTTCTCTAGGAAACTGACATTAGAACCCCCAATTGTGATTGGTAGTTTTACACATGTGACCCCTGCCCCCCAACAGAACCTTTTGAATCCCATTTCTTTCACATTCATCACATTTTGTTTTAGTTTTGTATCACTGGCCTTATCCAATAGGTGGTGTCTTTTCCTCTGTGAAGGAAAAGACAGTATTTTTGTTCATTTTTCTGTACCTACTCAGTATATTAGCATAGGGCTTTCTACATTCTAGGTGATTTTAAAACATTTGGATTAATTGAGTTTGCTAAGTATCAATTCTATAAGTATTTTGAGTTTGGAGGCCTGTCACCAAGTTTACTTAATTTTAGTATTTCATTTTGTGGAAAATATGGCTTATTCATTTGCAGACCCAAAGTATTAAAAGGCTCATTTCTTTCTTGGCTATGAAATAGCTGTTAGAAAATATTATGAAAGGTGAAGTGCAAATTAATCAGATAAGTGAAAATTAAATTCTTCTTGAAATGTCCTCAGAAAGAAAACTCAGGGAAACCATTCAGAAGGCAAAAATTTGATTACATTTGCCAAATCTAAAATATTTTTAGCAATATTTTATGGTGAGTGTCAATCTTCTCAGACCTCAGACAGAGACTATGGAAATAGCAGGACCACCTTCTTGAATCTAGAGGAAGAGCTATTTGGAATTGAAAGTGGCCTTACAATTTGAGAGACTATGTAGCAAAACATATAGTATTTGAGAAGTGGCCAACACTAAGTAGACTGAAACCTTTCATTATCTTTACCCTTTCCCCAATTATTTTTGAAATCAAGTCTGGTGTAAGTACTATTTACTGTGTGGACAGGATCCTTCGAAATGACAGCCAGGCCAATGAAACACTTCCAAGTTGTGGAAGCATTCATTCTGTCTTAGATTTTGTTGGTTTTGTTTCTTGCTTTTTTGTTTCTGATTCTGTTTCTTGTTGCAGAGTCCAAAAAAGAGGCCATCGTGATTGAAATATCTTGTATGACTACAGTGTTTGCTTTTTAAGGACTCTGCAAAGGTACCTTGGTAGAGCCCTTGGGTTTTCAGAGCTCATGGTTTGAAAACCGCTGATTTAATAACTTAATTCATCTTATGGAAGTATTTGTTCTGCTCTAACAGTAGGAATTCTGAGTTTCTCCACTCCTTAGTAATTGATAAAGCATCTCTTTGATAGATTTCTTGACTCTTAACAAGAAGGATCTCTCTTAGTTATGGTTAAAAAAAATCCAACCAGAAAATTTGACAAGAGAAGATGAAATATTTGGCATCATCCATTTACTCACCGCTGGAAGATTCCACTTTCCCACCCTGAGCCGATAACTGTAGAATGAATAAGGAAAATCTTATTGATTTTCAACTAGGTTCACACTAGAAACCTAGCTATGCCTGCCTGTAAAGCCTTGTTCTTCTCTATTTTACATTGCTAGGGGAAGAATGCAATTAGATGAAGAGAAAAAGAGATGGGCAGATTTTCTTTGTTGTAGACATATTTATGAGTCATTAAAACAGATCCAGACTTATGCAAGTATATACATTCTAGGTTCCTCTCCTTTGAGCTTTAACTGTGCTAAATAAACAATGGTGTTACAACTCTTGATCCACAGGGATAAAATGACTAAGACATGAATAGCAATGGTTTTAAAATACAGAATGTATTAAGTCATCAAGGCTGCAAGTAGCTGGAAGACTCTCACATTGCCTTTGGGTCGTCACACATATTCTCCCTCTTAGATTGTAAGCTGCTGAAGCACAGGTATCTTTTCTTCTTTGCGATCTCCCTCCCAATTAGAATAAATGAATAATTACTGACCTTCAAGAAGATGGTATCAGGCTGGAAGTGGCGGTGGACCAATTACAACCAAAAATATTGCTTCCTAGATAGAACTGCTCAAGCGAAAAGTTATATACACATGGCCTAATAATGCCCCTGCTTGGAGTAGGGCCTACTAGTATACTTCATTTCACTAGTTTTGCTTTACTTCTTACAGGGTTGCTTTTTATTTCTTTCTCTTACAGTTTGGCAACTTTGTAGCTACAGTCAATTCTCTCTACTCCTGCCCCAGTTCTACTAGAATAAGGGCAATTGATTTATGCACCAAAAGTCTGATAGTATATAGAAGGTCATTCATGGAGAACTAAGGGGTCTGTTTTAACAGTGGTGGTCATGCAAATTAGTGTGATTGCTGGCCCAGGTCCTGAAAGAAATTAAGTTAAACTGAATAGAAACCAAGCTATGAAAGAATTTGATTTAAAATAAGGTTTTAAAGTATACATTCCCACTCTGGCACCAGATTTTTTTCATGTCACTTTTGGGCATTTTTACCAG
The DNA here is from genome assembly GCF_000001405.40 of Homo sapiens. Taxonomy (NCBI): domain Eukaryota; kingdom Metazoa; phylum Chordata; class Mammalia; order Primates; family Hominidae; genus Homo; species Homo sapiens. The sequence goes on along the minus strand of NC_000007.14, from coordinate 96,886,894 downwards.
TTGCATGACATTAATAAATGTGTATAATAGAACTATAGAGATTGGTTCAGTTTGGGGAGGGTGAGCTTGTGGTAGTAGCATTGTTGGCAGACCGATAGATGTTTTGAATTTATCTTTACTGTTTTATTAGACAACATGAAACGACTTTGAGATATAACTTTATTTTTTTAAAAAATGTCCTGCATTGGCTTCTCCCACTTCATAAGGAACCCTGACATCAAGACAAAGAGCATTAGGGGAAAGCCTTCTCTGGGGCCAGGATCCCTGTGACCTTGTCTCTCTGTGCTGGTTTGACCAGAGTTATTTTTTAAAGGTGGTGGATCATTTCCTTTTAAACTGATCTTTCTCTGCCTTTGGCTGTTTTTCCCTACCTATTCCAACAATGAACAACTTGGGGAATTGATAGGTAGAAGCTGAAGAAGTTCTGGAGTTGGGTAGTGAATAACAGGAAGTGGTGCAAGACACCTGATAATCCCTTCTGATAATGAAGTCTCAGCTCCATTCCATTAATTTCCTTGTCTTATTTCTTCTAGGCAGTTACTGCTTACCTTACCAGGGAAATGGTAGTTGGATTTCATGGGACTTCCCTAAGTCTCAGTATCATGGTATCATTAAGCTCTCCACTTATACTTACCCTTCATTTTCAGTGTAAGATGAAATTAATTAATAACACTACGATAATCTCTGTATTGGATCAGCTATGGAGAATATGAGGAAAAATGACAGCCATTAAGCTCCTACTGAATGGATGGCCCCCTTTTGTAAGATGACTTTTAATTTTTGAAATATATGAAGAGTGCGTACAATGTAAATATACAGGAAAAATAAGAAAATAAACAGCCATGTACCCACTGCCTTGCTAAAGAGATAGACTATAGCAATACCTTGAAATTTCCTGATATTGTAAGCCTTTTCTCAATCCCATCTCTTGTCTCTAAGATGTAATCACAATCCTGAATATTGTGTTATTAATTTCCTTGTTTTCCTTTATGGTTATACCACATATTGTATATATCCTTAAGTAATAAATCACCTAGTTTTGTGAGCTTATAAATTTGATATAAACTAAATTATATCTTCATGTACCTTCTGCAACTTGCTTTTTTTTGGATCACACTTACGTTTTTAAGACTAATTTTGTTGCTGTGTATAGCTGAGGTTCAGTTATTTTTTATTTTGTATAGTATTCTATTATTTGACCTCAATTGTTCTCCTGTTGGTGGATACTTGGATTGTTTCCAGTTTTTTTAAAATATTAGAAACAATGCTACTATAAATATTTACATGCTCTGAATTTCTGGGGCACACACACAAGTATTTCTTAAACATATATTCCTAAGAGTGGAATTACTAGGTTATAGAGTATGCATATTCTAAATTTGAGCCAAATATTTTTAATAGTGTTTATGTTATTTTACTTTCTCACCAGTGTCCACATCCTCACCGACATACCTCTTGATTTTTAACGTTCTGTTTAGTGTGAAATGGTATCTCACTGTGGTTTGAATTTGCATTTTCTTGATTAGTAATGATGCTAAGTGTTTTTTCATGTTTGTGAGTCATTCATGTTTCTTTTTTGAGATGCCTATTCATGTCTTTTGCTCATTTTAATTGGGCCGTTCATTTTATCTTTATTGCTTTATTTGTTGGATATAATTCTTTGTTGATTACATGTTTTATAAATCTCTGGGCCTAGTTCGTGGCTTGTATTTCAATTTACTTTATGGTGTCTTTTGATGAACAGTGTTCTTAATATTATTATGGGAAAATTTACTATTTTTCCTTTAGGGTTTGAGCTTTTCTTTTTTAATTGATATATCATAGTTGTACACATTTTTGGAGTACATGTGAGTTTTTGTGAATCTAATAAAGATATTGTGCATCCTTCATAATTTAATCCATCTGAAACTAATTTTTGTGGCCAGCGTGAGTTAAATCTATTTCAATTTTTTTGCATTTTGTTAACTATTTTCCCAGTGTAATATGTTTTGTAGAACCCTCTTTCTTCAGTTATCTGCAATGCCAACTCTGTTGTATACTAATTTTTATTTATGCGTGAGTCTATTTCTGGACTCCTATTTGATGCTGTTTATCAATTTTTCTAACCCTGTATTAATACATGCTCTAATAATTATTGTAGATTTGTAATAAGTCTTACATGGTAGAACAAGCCCTCCAATCTGGTTCTTCCTCAGAAATATCTTGACTATTCTTGGCCCTTTGACTTTCTACATACATTTTGGAATCAGTTATGCCTAATTCCATAAAAATTCATGTTTGAATTTTTATTAGAATTATGTTACATTTATAGATTAACTTTGGGATTTGAGAAAGTTTGCCATCTTTATGACATTGAGATTCCCTTTACATGATCATGGTATGTTTCTGTATGTATTTAAACCTTTTAAAATGTCTTTAATTTAGGTTTTATAATTTTCTCCATGTAGATTTTTTGTGCTTCTATTCCGGGACACTTTACTTTTTATTGTTGTTTTTGTAAAAGTCACATGCAAGTACACACACACACACACACGCGCACACTCATATATTATGCAACATTAAATGATTTCGAGATAATATTGTTTTAAAATTTCTCTGCACCTGCTTCTTCCAACCCCATAAGGAGGCCTGAGACCAAGAAAAGTAGGCAATGATTATGTTTTGTGGTAGTCAGGTCAGGATTAATATTCTGTATATATCTACAAATGTATATACAGTCATCCCTTGGTATCCAAAAGGGATTGGTTCCAAGAACCCTGAGAATACCAAAATCCACAGATGCTCAAGTTCCCTATACAAAGTAGGGCAGTATTTGCATATCACCTTCACATGTCCCTGGCACACTTTAAATCATATCTAAATAACTTATAATACCTAATACAATGTAAATTCTATGTACATAGTTGTTTTACTATATTGTTTACAGAATAATGACAAGAAAAAAAGTCTGCCTATATTCAGTATGGATGAAACAATTCAATTTTTTTCAAAATTTTTTTACATTAAAAATTTTTTATGGGTACATAGTAAGTGTTTATGTTTATGGGGCATGTGAGATATTTGGTACAGACATACAATGTGCAATAATCACATTAAGGTAAATGGGGGTGTCTATCACCTCAGGTATTTATTACTTCTTTATGTTACAAACATTATAATTATACCTCTTTAGTTATTTTTAAATGTATAATAAATTATTATTGACTGTAATCACCCTGTTGTGCTGTCAAATACTAGCTTTTTTTTTTCTTTTTTTTGAGATAGAGTCTTGCTCTGTCACCCAGGCTGGAGTGTAGTGGCGCAATCTCAGCTCTCTGCAATCACAGCCTTCCAGGTTCAAGCGATTCTCCTGTTCCAGCCTCTGGAGTAGCTAGGATTACAGATGTGCGCCACCACACCTGGCTAATTTTTGTATTTTTCATAGAGATGGGGTTTCACCATGTTGGCCAGGCTGGTCTCGAACTCCTGACCTCAGGTGATCTGCCCGCCTCGGCCTCCCGAAGTGTTGGGATTACTGGCATGAGCCACTACGCCCAGCCCTAGCTCTTATTCATTCTATTTAACTATATTTTTATATCCATTAACTGTTCTCCCAAGCCCACTACCCTTCCCAGCCTCTGGTAACCATCATTCTACTGTCTATCTCTATGAGTTCAACTGTTTTAGTTTTTTAGCTCCCGCAGATGAGTGCGAACATGCAAAGTTTGTCTTTCTGAGCCTGGCTCATTTGACTTAACATAATGTCCTCTAGTTCCAGCCATGTTGTTGCAAATGACAGGATCCCATTCTCTTTTATGGACGACTAATACTCCATTGTGTATATATACCACATTTTCTTTATCCATTCATTTGCTGATGGATGCTTTGGTTGCTTTCAAACCTTGGACACTGTGAATAGTGCTGCAATAAACATGAGAGTGAAGATATCTCTTTAATATCCTTCCTTCCTTCCTTCTTTCTTATTTTCACAGGGTCTCACTCTGTCGCTCAGGCTAGAGTACAGTGCCATGATCATGGTTCACTGCAGCCACGACTTCCTGGGCTCAAGCAAAATTCTCCCTCTTCAGCTTCCCAAGTAGCTGGGGCCACAGGTGCACATAACCATGCCCAGCTGATTATTCTATTTTTATGTTGTAGAGATGAAGTTTCCCTATATTGGCCATGCTGGTGTCTAACTCCTGGGCTCAAGCTATCCTCCTGCCTCAGCTGGCAAGTGTGAGCCACTGCACTGGGCCTTGATTTCCTTTCTTTTTGGTATATACCTAGCAGTGGGATTGCTGGATCATATAATAGTTTTAGTTTTAGTTTTTTGAGGAACCTCTGTACTATTCTCCACAGTGGCTGTGTGAATTTACATTCCCACAAATAGTGTACAAGAGTTCCCTTTTCCTCACATCCTTGCCAGCGTTCGTTATTGCATGTTTTTTGGACAAAAGCCATTTTAACTGGGATGAGATGATACCTCATTGTAGTTCTGATTTGCATTACTCTGATGATCAATGACATGGAGCATGTTTTCATATACCTGTCATTTGTATGTCTTCTTTAAAAAATGTCTTTTCAGATCTTTTGCCCATTTAAAAATCAGATTATTATGTTTATTTTCCTATTGCATTGTTTGAGCTTCTTATATGTTCTGGTCAGATGAATAGATTGCAAATATTTTCTCCTGTTCTGTGGATTGCCTCTTTACTTTGTTGATTATTTCCTTTGCAGTGTGGAAGCTTTTTAACTTGATGTGACCTCATTTGTCCATTTTTGCTTTGGGTGCCTGTGCTTTTACAAAAGATTTTGGAACACAAAATCTTTTGCCCAAACCAATGTCCTGGAGAGTTTCTCCAATGTTTTCTTTTAATAGTTTTATAGTTTCAGGTCTTAGATTTAAGGCTTTAATCCATTTTGATTTGACTTTTGTTTATGGTGAGAGACAGGGGTCTAGTTTCATTCTCTGCATATAGAGATCCAATTTTCCCAGCACCATTAATTGAAGAGACTGTCCTTTCTCCAATGTATGTTCTTGACATCTCTATGGAAAACGAGTTCACCGTAGGTGTGTGGATTTGTTTCTGGGTTCTCTATTCTGTTCCATTGGTCTATGAGTCTGTTCTTATGCTAGTACCATGCTGTTTTGGTTACTATAGGTATGTAGTATAATTTGAAGTCAGGTAATGTCATCCCTCTAGTTTTGTTCTTTTTTCTCAGGATGGTTTTGGCTATTCTGAGTTTTTTGTGGTTCTACATAACTTTTAGGATTATTTTTTCAATTTCTGTGAAAAATGCCATTGGTATTTTGATAGGGATTGCATTGAATCTGTAGATTGCTTTGGGTAGTATGGACATTTTAACAATATTTTTTCTTTCAATCCGTGAGCATAGAATATTTTTCCATTTTTTGTGTCCACTTCAATTTCTTGCATCAATGTTTTACAGTTTTAATTGTAGAAAACTTTCACTTCTTTGGCTAAGTTTATTCCTAGGTATTTTATTTATTTGTGGCTATTGTAAATGTGATTATTTTCTTGATTTCTTTTTCAGATTGTTTGCTGTTGGCATATAGAAATACTACTAATTTTTGTATGTTGATTTTGTATAATGCAATGTTACTGAATTGGTTTATTAGTTCAAATAGTTTTTTGGTGGAGTCTTCAGGTTTTTCCAAATATAAGATTCTATTATTTACAAACAAGGATAATTTGACTTTTTCCTTCGCAATTTGGATACCCTTTATTTATTCCTTTTGTTCTGTTGCTCTAGCTAGGACTTCCACTACTAGTTTGAATAACAGTGTTAAGAGTGGGCATCCTTGTTGTTTTTCTGATCTTAAAGGAAAGGCTTTCATTTTTTCCCCATGAAGTATGATACCAGCTGTGGGTCTGTCATATATGGCTTTTATTGTTTTGAGGTATGTTCTTCCTGTACTCAGTTTTTAAAGGGGTTTTTATCATGAAGGTTGTTGAATTTTATCAAATCCTTTTTCAGTGTCAATTGAAATGATCATTTTTTTTTTCTTTTTTTCGAGACAGAGTCTTGCTCTGTCACCCAGGCTGGGTGGAGTGACATGATCTTGACTCACTGCAACCTCTGCTTCCTGGATTCAAGCGATTCTCATGCCTCAGCCCCCTGAGTACCTGGGACTACAGGCATGTGCCACTATGCCTGGCTAACTTTTGTATTTTTTGGTAGAGATGGGATTTTGCCATGCTGGCCAGCTGGTCTTGAACCCTTGGCCTCATGTGATCTGCCCACCTTGACCCCCCAAAGTGCTGGGATTACAGGCGTGAGCCACTGCACCAACCTTGAAATGATCATATGGTTTTTATCCTTCATTCTGTTGATATGACGTATCACATCGATTGATTTGGTTATGTTGAACCATCTTTGCATCCCTGGGATAAATCCCATTTCGTCATGATGAATGATCTTTTAAATATGTTTGCTAGTATTTTGTGGAGGATTTTTACATCAATATCCATCAGGGATATTGACCTGTAGTTTTCTTTTTTTATTTGTCTTTGTCATGTTTTGTTATCAGGGTAGTACTCACTTTCTAGGATGAGTTTGGAAGGATCCCCTCTTCTTATTTTTTGGAATAGTCTGAGTAGGATTGTCATTAGTTATTTAAATGTCTGGTAAAATTCAGCAGTGAAACCATCAGTTCTTGGGCTTTCCTTTGCTGGGAGACTTTATTACAGCTTCTATCTCAATATTTGTTATTGATCTATTCAGGTTTTAGGCTTCTTCAAGGTTCAATCTTGGTAGGTTGTATGTTTGCAGGAATTTATTCATTTCTTCAAGTTTTTCCAATTTATGGGCATATTGCTGCACATAGTAGTCTCTAATGACCTGTGAATTTCTGTGGTATCAGTTATAATGTCTTGTTTTTCATCTCTGATTTTATTTATTTGGATCTTCTTTCTTTTTTTCTTAGTCTGGCTAAAGTTTTGTTGATTTTGTTTATCTTTTCAAAAAACCATCTTTTCATTTCATTGATCTTTAGTATGATTTTTTTTCATTTCAATTTCATTTATTTTTGCTCTTATCTTTACTATTTCTCTTCTACTAATTTTGGGTTTGGTTTGCTCTTGCTTTTCTAGTTCTTTAAGAGGCACCATCAGATTGTTTGCTTGAAGTTTTTCTACTTTTTTGATGTAGTTGCTTATTTCTATAAACTTTCTTCTTAGTACTGCTTTTGCTGTATTGCATAGGTTTTGGTATATTGTGTTTCCATTTTCATTTGCTTCAAGAAATTTTTAAATTTCCCTTTAAATTTCTTCATTGACCCCTGCTTATTCAGGAGCATATTGTTTAATTTCCATGTGTTTGTATAGTTTCCAAAGTTCCTCTTGTTATTGATTTCTAGTTTTAATCCACTGTGGTCAGAGAAGATACTTGATGTAATTTCAATATTTTTGAATTTTTAAAAGATTTGTTTTGTGGCCTAACACATGGTCTATCCTTGAGAATTATCCATGTGCTGAGGAGAAGGATGTGTATTCTGTAGCCATTGGATAAAATGTTCTATTAATATCTATTAGGTCCATTTGATCTATAGTACAGATTAAATCCCATATTTCTTTGTTGATTTTCTATCTGGATGATCTTTCCAATGCTGGAAATGGGATCTATAAAGCTTCCAGCTATTATTTTAGTGGGGTCTATCTCCCTCTTTAGCTCTAACGATATTTGCTTTATATATCTGGGTACTCCAGTATTGGGTGCATACGTGCTTACAATTGTTATATACTCTTGCTGAATTGATCTTTTTATCATTATATAGCAACCTTCTTTTTCTCTTTTTATAGTTTTGTCTTGAAATGTATTTTGTCTGATATAAGTATAATCACTTCTGCTTATTTTTGGTTTATGTTTGCACGGGATATATTTTTCCATCCCTTTATTATCAGTCTATGTATGTCTTTATAGGTGAAGTGTGTTTCTTGTAGGCAACAAAACACTGAGTCTTTTTTTTTTTTTTTAATCCATTCTGCCACTCTCCATGTTTTGACTGGAGAGTTTAGTCCATTTACATTCAATGATATTATTGATAAGTAAGAGCTTACTCCTGCCATTTATTATTTGTTTTCTCGTTGTTTTGTAGTCTTCTCTTCCTTGCTTCCTTCCTTTTTATAAAGCTAATGTTCTCTGGTGGTATGTTTTAATTTCTTGCCTTTTATTTTTTGTGTATCTGTTGTGTGCTTTTTGATTTGAGGTTACCATGAGGCTTACAAAGAATATTTTATAACCTATTATTTTAAATGGATGACAACTTAACAGTGGTTGCAAAAACAAACAAGAGAGAAAACTAATAAAAACTCTATAATTTAACCTAATTCCTCTACTTTTTAACATTTTATTATTTCTATTTATATCTTCTATTATTGCCTATGTCTTGAAACGTTGTCATAGTGATTATTTTTAGTAGTTTCATCTTTTAGTCTTTCTTCTCAAGAGATAGTTTATACACCACAATTACAATGTTGTAATATTCTATATTTGTGTAGTTATTATTACCAAATTTTCTACCTTCTGATAATCTCTTATTATTCATTAACATCCTTTTCTTTCAGATTGAAGCACTACCTTTAGCATTTCTTGTAGGACAGGTCTGGTGTTTATGAAATCCCTCAGTTTTTATTTGTCTGGGAAATTCCTTATTTCTGTTTCATGACTGAAGGATATTTTCACTGAATATACTACTCTAGAACAAAAGTTGTTTTTCTTTCTGCACTTTAAAAAAACATTTGAAAAAATGCTCAAGGCTGGGTGTGGTGGCTCACACCTATAATCATAGCACTTTGGGAGGCCAGGATGGATGGTTCATTTGAGCCCAGGAGTTCGAGAGCAACCTGGGTAACGTGATGAAACCCCATCTCTACTAAAAAATACAAAAATTACCTGGGCCTGATGACACATGCCTATAGTCCCAGCTACTCAGGGGGCTGAGGCAGGAGGCTCACCTGAGCCTTGGGAGGTCAAGGCTGCAATGAGCTGTGACTGAGCCACTGCAATCCATCCTGGGTGACAGAGAGAGACCCTGCCTCAAAAACAAACAAACAAACAAAAAAACTCAACATCGCTAATCACCAGAGAAATGCAAATCAAAAGTACAGTGAGATATAATTTCACACCAGTCAGAATGTCTATTATTGAAAAGTCAAAAAACAACAGATGCTGGCAAGGCTGTGGAGTAAAGGGAATGTTTATATACTGTTGGTGTGAATGTAAATTGGTTTAGCCACTGTGGAAGCAGTTTGTAGATTTCTCAAGGAACTTAAAAAAGATTTATAATTTGACCTAGCAATTCCATTGCTGGAAAAAAGAAAATAAATCATTCTGCCAAAGCACACATGTGCTCATAAGTTCACTGTAGCACTATTCACAATAGCAAAGACATGGAATCCACCTTGATGCCCATCAACACTGTGGAATGCTACACAACCATAAAAAGGAGAGAAATCCTGTCCTTTGCAGCAACATGGATGTAGCTGGAGGCCGTTATCCTAAGCAAATTAACACAGGAACAGAAACCCAAATACTGCATGTTCTCACTTATAAGTGAGAGCTAAACGTTGAGTAGTCATGGACATAAAGATGGCAACAATAGTCACTTGGGGCTAATAGATAAAGGAGGGAGAAAGAGGGGCAAGGGTTGAAAAACTAACTGTTGGGTACTGTGCTCACTGCCTGGGTGATAAGATCATTCATATTCCAAACCTCAGCATCATGCAATATACCCATGTAAGAATCCTGAATATGTACCCCTTGAATCTAAAATGAAAGTTGAAATTTTGAAAAATACATAAAATAAAAATAAGATGAGTTTGTCATGTCACTCTCTCCTGGCCTGTACAGCTTCCATGAAAAATTCTGCTGCAAGATGTATTGGAGCTCCATTGTATGTTATTTGTTTCTTTTCTCTTGCTGCTGTTAGGATTCTTCCTTGTCTTTGACTTTTGGAAGTTTGATTATTAAATGTCTTTAATAATTAATTCTGCTTGACCAGTTCTGCTGTTGATCAGCTCTGCTGTTGAGAGACTCTAGATGCATCCTCCAGTGTGTCAATTCCTGTTTTCAGCTCCAGAATTTCTGCCTGATCCTTTGTAGTTATTTTAATCTCTTTGTTAAATTTATCTGATAGGATTCTGAATTTCTTCTCTGTATTATCTTGAATTTTGTTGAGCTTCCTCAAAGCATCTAGTTTGAATTCTCTGTGTGAAAGGTCTCATTTCACTGTCACTCAGGGATTGGTCATTGGTGCCGTATTTAGTTTGTTTGGTGGGGTCATGTTTTCCTGGATGGTCTTGATGCTTGTGGATGTTCATCAATGTCTGGGTATTAAAGAGATAGGTATTTATTGTAGTCTTCACAGTCTGGGCTTGTTTGCACCCATCTTTCTTGGGAAGGCTTTTCAAGTATTCAAAGGGAATTGACTGTTGTGATCTAAGTCTTTGTTCACTGCACCCATATCTGCATTAGGGGGCACCCCAAGTCCAGTAGCACTGTGTCTCTTGCAGACTCATAGAGGTCCTGCCTTACTGATCTTGGGCAAGATCCATAAGAATACTCCAGATTACCAGATGGAGACTTTTGTTCTCTCTCCTTACTTTCCCCCAAACAAATGGAATTTCTCTCTCCATGCAGAGCTCCTAGAACTAGGGGAGTGGTGACACAAGCACCCCTGTGGCTACTACCAGTGGGACTACACTGGGTCAGACATAATGCCAACACAGCACTGGGTCTCACCCAAGGCCTGCAGTGACAACTGTTTGTCTACTACTGCCAATTTTCACTCAGGGCCCAAGTGCTCTTCAGTTAGCAGTTGATAAATCTGGCCAGGCTCATGCCCTTCCCTTCAGGGTGGCAAGCCCCATGCCCTGGCCAAGGGTGAGTCCAGAAATGCCATCTGGGAGCCAGGGCCTGGTGGTAACCTTAGGAATCCACATGGTGCTCTATTCTACTGCACTGAGCTGTCACTCAGGCCAGAAGACAAAGTCTTTTCCACTCTTCTCTCCTTTTCTCAAGCAGAAGTCTGCCCCTATGGCCACCACCATCCCAGGCCCGCAGCAAATACTGCCTGTCTACCACCAATATTCATTCAAGGCCCAAAGGCTCTTCAGTTTGTGGTAAATGCTGCCAGTCCTAGGTTTCTGTCTTCAGAATAGTGTTTTCCCACCCACCCAGCCCAGGGCAGGTCCAGGAATGCCATCCAAGAGCCAAAGCCTGAAATCAGGGGCCCCAGAAACTTGCTTGGTGCTCTACCCCACTATGGCCAAGCTAATGCCCAGGCTGTAACACAAAGTCCCCTTTACTATTCCATCTTTTTCCCTCAAGCAGAAGGAGTCTCTCCTCATAGCCACCGTGCAGCAAATGTGCTGGGTCCCATCTGGAGCCACCATGGAACTGGGACTCCCCCAAGGCCCACAGTGAGTACTGCCTGGCTATTGATGTTTATTTAAGGCCCAAGAGCTCTCTAGTTAGTAGGTGATGGATCCCACCAGGATTGGATCCTTTCCTTCAAGGGAGCAGGTACTCTTCTGGTCCAAAGTTTGTCTAGAAATGTGATCTGGGAGCTAGGGTCTGGAAGGGTTGGGGGGCCCTCAGGATTTTCCCTGGGGACCTAGTCTTCTATGGCTGGGCTGGTATCCAAGTTGCAAGAGAAAGTCTTCTTTACTCTTCCCTATCTTCTCTTCAAACAGAGGGAAGGAGTCTCTCCCAGAGGTGTGAGCTGCACTTCCTGGGGTAAGGGGAAGGATAATGAAAGCACTCCCTTAGTTGCACCAGCTGATGTCTCACTAGGCCACCTGCAATCCAAGTCCACTGGCTCCAAGCCCTGCACAGCACTAGTACTTCCTCAGGAATTACAGTCACTGTGGTCTAGACTGCCTTTCAGGCTACTTAGGACTCCAGAGCACTTTAGCTTGTGGTGGTGGGGCTAGCTGGAACTCAGGTTCTGACCACTAGGATGGATGATTCCCCTTTGGCTAATGCTGACTTAAGAGCTCCCACTGTGTGCATCAGCTGAGTTCTGCTCAGTGTTGCTTTCCACTATGACAGGGCAGCACTGAGTTCCAATGCAAAGTCCCACAATCACTGCACTCTCTCTCTCCCATGCACACAGATTCTCACTCTGTGCCATGTGGCTGCTGTCAAGGGATTGGGGAGGAGAGGTGTAGGAAATTCAAGACTGTCTTTCCTACCTCTTCAGTGTCTCCTTCAGTTATATGATGTATAACCAGGTACTGTAATAGCTTATCTGGTTTTTGGTTCTTATGAAGGTGCTTTTTTGTGTGGATAGTTGTTCAATTTGGTGTTCCTTAGTGGGGCATAATTGCTGGAGGTTTATATTCAGCCATCCTGTTCTACCTCTTCTCCCAAATATTTTTGATCTGCTGTTGGTTGAATCTCTGAAAGTGGAACCCATGGATGTGGAACCCACAGATATGGAGGGCTGACTATATATTTATATGTGTGTTATATAAACATATTACATATGTAATATTTTTCTCATTGTATATTGTATAGAAAGGCACTTGGATTTTATGGTTATCTTTTAATAGCAACCTTCTAAATTTATTTATTCTAATAAACTGTGCATGATTTGTTATTGTCTCATCATTTGCAAATAGTGGCATTTGACTCCTTCCTGTCCCATCTTTCTACTTTTTGTTTCTTTTTCTAGTGCTATTGTGCTGGCCTAGACTTCTAAATAATGGTGAATAGAAATGCTGATAGTAGCCAACTTATTTTATACTTGAATGCTTGATATAATTGTACCATGAGTCAGATGCTTGCTTTTATTTTTTTGTGCATGCCCTTTTTCAGGTAAAAGAAAACACAACAGGTGAAAAAAAAGCACATTCTATTTTTAGTTTACTGAGAGTCTTTTTTTCAATTCATGAATACATGTTAAATTTTATCAAATGTATTATTTTGCATATTATTGAAATGATATTTTTCTCTTTTAACCTGCTATTGTGATGATGATGTATTATATTAATACATTTTATCATGGTAAACCAACCTCGTATTCTTGGAATAAATTTTACTTTATTATTATATATAATCTTTTAAATTATATTATTGCCCTTGATTTACTAATATTTTGTTGAGAATTTTTTTCATCTTTGTTCATGAATGAGATTGGCTTATTATTTCCTTTCTAGTGTCTGTCCTTGTTTGGTATCAGGTTTATATTAATTTGACAAAACATTTTGGGAGAGCATTCACTCCTTCCTCCATTTACTGAAAAATTTCATGTGAGATAAGTATTATTTATAAACATTCCCTTTAAAATAATTTAGTTCTGATATTTTCTTTGTGAGAAGATGTTTCCTTTTGCTACTGATTTATTTTCCTTAATGGTTGTAACAGCACTTTACAACTTTTTCATGTTGTGGTAACTTGGTACAGACAAGCCCAGACTGTGGAGACTACAATAAATACCTATCTCTTTAATGGCCAGACACTGATGAACATCCACAAGCATCAAGACCATCCAGGAAAACATGACCTCCACGAAACTAAATAAGGCACTGATGACCAATGAAAATGACATTATCTATACAATACATTGTAGAAAACTGGTGGCAATTTGGTAATATCTTTATGTATTTGGGGTAAACATTCATTATAATTAAGTTAGATAGCTATAAGTAAAATAAAACAGAGAATTTAAGAATATCTAAAATATTAAATTTTATATTCATATTACCTTAAAATATTAAATAGAAAATTTCTAAACAAAATAGTTTCAAATTGTTTTAATCAGATTTTCCTTTTGATTGAAATGGTTATATGCAATTCCTAATCAGGACTTTCAAATTATAATCTCTTAAAATGCTTGATAATCATATTTAACAAGAAACTTTTAAATATAATTTAGTGACAAAAGCTTTTCAACCATGTTTTAAAAATAATATTATTTAAAAACCTGATCACTATTCTTTTTTTTTTCACGGACAAGTGTAACATTGAAGTTTTTGTTATTTTGCCGCAGTGCAAAAAGAATTCTAGTTCAGTCAGACTTTTCTCTAATTTGTAGACTGCTTGGGCATTATCACAGTAGCCACTTTGAAAGGATAGTAGTGATATGCCACAAAAATGGCATGTCAGCCAAAGACAGACGGAGGTACCCTCCATATTGGGCTGAATAAGTATCTCCCCCAAAATTCATGTCCACCTGGAACCTCAGAATGTGACTTTGTAAATGGGACCTTCACAAATAGATTAGTTAAGATGACGTCCTACTGATTAAAGTGGGCCCTAAATCAAATAACTGGTTTTCTATAAAAAGAGGAGAGGACACAAAGAAATACATAGTTGCATAGGGAAGAAGCTATGTGATGATGGGGGCAGTGATTAGAGTGATATAGCTACAAGCCAAAGAACGCTAAGGATGGCTGAGAGCCACCAAAAGTGTGGAAGAGGCAAAGAAGGATTCTTCCCTAGATGTTTCAGTGGAAGCATGGCCTGCTGATTACATGATTTCAGACTTCTAGCCCCCAGAATTATGAGAGAATAAATTTATGGGGTTTTTTTGTTTTCGTTTTTTTTTTTTTTTTGAGACGGAGTTTTGCTCTGTCGCTCAGGCTGGAGTGCAATGGTGTGATCTTGGCTCACTGCAACCTCTGCCTCCCAGGTTCAAGAGATTCTCCTGCCTCACCCTCCCGAGTAGCTGGGATTACAGGCGCCTGCCACCACACCCAGCTAATTTTTTTTAGTAGAGACGGGGTTTTGCCATGTTGGCCAGGCTGGTCTTGAACTCCTGATCTCAGATGATCCACCTGCCTCGGCCTCCCAAAGTGTTGGGATTACAGGCGTGAGCCATTGCGCCTGGCCTCTGTTGTTTTAAACCACACAGTTTGTGATGATTTGGGACAGCAGCCCAGGAAGACTAAAACACCCTCTATGAGTGAAGACAGATGAGACACACTTTCTGGAGCTTTGTCTTTCAGGAGACCTTGATTGGTTTTCCACCTTCCACACCCTCAAGCAGCTACATATTGGTTTGCATACTGCTACAGTTTGGATATATGACCCTTCAAAATTCATGTTGAAATTTGATTCCTGATGTTGGAGGTGGGACCTAATTGGAGGTGTTTGGGTCATGGGAGCAGATTCCTCATGAATAGCTTCCTGCCAACCTCCTGGTAATGAGTGAGTTCTTGCTCTATTAGTTCCTGTGAGAGCTGGTTGTTAAAAAGAGCTTGGCACCTTCTTCCTTTCTCTTGTTTCTGTTGCCATGTGATCTCTGTACAAACTGGCTTCCCTTCATTGTCTGCTGGGTGGAAGCAGCCTGAGGCCCTCACAGGATGTAGATGCCTGATCTATCCAGAATCATAGACCAAATAAACCACTTTTCTTTCTAAATTACCCAGCCTCAGGTATTCCTTTATAGCAACACACATGGATGAAGACACATGCCATGTTCCTTGGGCAACAAGCTTATGATCTCCTCCATCGACTCCACAGGCTGATTGTTATCCACAATGGTCAGTCTGCAGTTGGCTGCTGGAGTGGATGTTCAGGTTGTGGAGTTCCTGCTGGGCTGCACTCAGTGAGTTTAGGCAGTGGACAGGGCATGATGACATTAATAGGGCTCACCCTCCTCAAGAACTGTGGGACCACCACCATTCTGCCTGAGCAGTCCTCCTCAGGGCCCTGAGAGAAGCTGTGTTTGGGCAAAGGTAATTAGCCAGGTGGAAGCCTTGATTGCCCCAGGCCCAGCTGATCACCCCAAGGGCTGATGCAATCCTCACACTGGTTGTGGAACTCAGCTCTCACTAGCAAGCTTCAGCATGTACCTATATGTCAAAAATTGCCTCCAGTGCTTGCTTACCACTGTAGAGTTTTGTTTTCTCTTCTCTGGCCCTTGAGGGAAGGGATCCCTTTCTCACTTTTGCTACAGATTTGATAATTATTACATATTTTATTCAGCTTATTTGCTTGTTCTGTACTGGATGGTTTTCTATGAAAATTCAGTCCATCTTTTTGGGGGAAATGGAATGAGGCTGACTTTTCTTTTATCACAGTCTAGGTCTTCACGTGTTGCTGTGCCTTGATGTAGGATGTTGGTATATCTTTCTTGTGAAATAAGCTTGCGAAAGCACAGGAAGCTTATGTCCTTGATTTATCAGAACCTTATATTGACTACATTTTCAGAATCTTAAATCAGGATATATGGGCAGACAAATGAGGCCATATATTATGGACAAAAGGATAGAATCTTTGAAATTTAAAATTTTATGGCAAAAGCAACTAATTATCCAGTCTATCATTAGACTCCCTTGCTTTCAAATCCCCAACTGGCCACTATTTATTAGCAGTGTGACATGAACAAGTAGTTTACATCCCTTACTGTCAACATCCTTATCTGTAAAATAATATTACTTACATCATGGAACTGTGGTGAGAACTAAATAACATAATCCATATAAAGCACTCGATCCATAAAAATCCACGTTATGTTGAGCAATACAACCCTTGCTCAACAAACAGCTGTTGCTGTTATTGTTACTGGTGCTGTTTTGCTACTCATGTCAGGACTAGCCTTTGGTAAAATTAGTAGGAAAACAAGGCTTGGGTGGACATCCTCTCCTTCTCCTGCTATGTGGTATCCTCTCTCTACTTCACATGCTCCTCTCTCTTAGGCTTGCTGGGGCCTCCCAGTGAGATCTAATTCCTGATACTGCCCTTCCCTCAATGACAACAGTCTGCGCTTTGTCTCCCATTTCTCCCTGCTTTGGTTAAAATGTAGCTGGATATGCCCCATCCTCACCAGACCTTTATTTTTCCAAACTGTCCTGAAAACAATGAAAACCAAGGTGAAAATAGAGGAGAAGCTACTTAATGATAATACACCACGTAGAATGTAACAGTGGTTGTGAATGCTTCCATTTAAAAAGTACTTAATAGGATGGTTATGGGTATGTAACCAAGCCCTTGCACTGTGAATTTTTAGGCTGGAAAGTTTTTAGTATCATAGAGACATTATCCACAGAAGATGAGCAAATATGAGTTAGGGCATGAAAAAGTAAATATATAATATTATTATTCCCATTTTGCAAATGAGAAAACTGTTGCTTAAAGGCACATATGCAATTTTCTTAGGTCACACACATATTCAATGGGAAAGATGTGCATCAGCTCTTTCTAAATATAGAGCTATGGCTCTTACACACAAAGTCAGTGAACATTAATCAGTGGGTAAGATGTGTATGGGAGTCCAAACCCAGCACAAAGTACAATAGGAAGAAAAGGGTAACAGCAGCAATCATGGCAGAAAGACTAGAACAATAAAAAACGGACTTCCAGAAATTTAGAGGGTGTTTACGAAGCCATTTACTAATATGCCATCCACAAGTAATGTTTTACTGGGTAAGGAAAATTGTAGATCCCAAGAATAATACAAAAGAGAGTTAATGTCACTCTGAGACCTTGAGCCTAGCTAGAGGGATGAGAAGAATTTAGCTGTCCTTTGCAAGGAAGTTAGTGGTTACCTAAGAATCATACTTCTTCTGAAGAAATATATATGTATTATAATTTGCTGACTTTCCATGTTCATTCTTTAGTTCACTAGTCACCTGCGTAGGTAAGCTAGTAATGCTGTTTGGAATCCAATAATAATAGAATTGGCTTAAGCCTAGCAGACTATGTATCAATCAGCTTTCTGGCAATTTTGTTTCTAGTTTATCCCAACCTCATTCTGTGTATTAATCTCTTCGATTACAAATTTCAAGAATAAATAATTTCTTTCTATTGTTGATAAAGGAGAAACATCTAAACCTGATTGTACGTTTAATTGATCTCAATGTAAATAAACTTGGGATTATGGATGAATTAATCTACCAGTTAAAAAAATATCTGTAGCAGAGAATGCCCCTGCTTTAAGCATAGTCAGGTAACCTAATTTCATGAAGGCAGATTTCTTTTTTTGCTTGCAGGAAATGTAAGTGCTGACTCCTTTGTTCCTTCTGAATGTTCTATCAAAGACTATTTATAATGAGGTGCACCATTATTCAGTTGCTTTAACAATAAAGAGCAAAGTTGTTGCTAACCTCATAGAAACCAGGGCTAAGTTAAGACCCTTGTTTTCTGAACTCGAGTAGCCAACCTGATTAAAAAAGGAAAACTAAAAGATCCACTTCCTTCTCCTTGTATTTCTCATCACAACTGTTCAAAATCCTTTCTCCCATACAACCCACTGAGGTGGACTGATTTGCATGAAATTGTGTAGTGGGTGATTAAGAGGTGAATCTCTGATGTTGAAGTCCTAGCTTTGAAACTTACTAGCTGTGTTACTATGGCAGGTTATTTCACCTCTTTAAGATAAGATTCTCTCATGTATAAAGTGGGTGCAATATTAAGTTTTACAGGATTGGAGTAAAAATTAAATGGAATTGGCCGGGCGTGGTGGCTCACGCCTGTAATCCCAGCACTTTGGGAGGCCGAGGCGGGCAGATCACGAGGTCAGGAGATCGAGACCATCCTGGCTAACACGGTAAAACCCCGTCTCTACTAAAAAATACAAAAAAAAAAAAAAAAAAAGCCTGGCATGGTGGCGGGCGCCTGTAGTTCCAGCTACTCAGGAGGCTGAGGCAGGAGAATGGCGTGAACCTGGGAGGTGGAGCTTGCAGTGAGCCGAGATTGCGTCACTGCGCTCCAGCTTGGGTGACAGAGTGAGACTCTGTCCCCCCGCCAAAAAAAAAAAAAAAAAAAAAAATTAAATGAGATAATGCATAAAAGTAATTAATTAGTTTAGTGTTAAATCCCATGTGGTCCAGTCTTATAGCAGTATAGCAATAAAAAAAAAAAAACATGGCCTGGAAATTTTTTAAATAATCCAGTTTGCTCATGTTCTTTACTTACATTTAACAAGCCCCTTGAAGAGGATACGCAGCCTTCATCAACACTTTTTAAACCCTCTTTACTGTCACACCCACTCAGTCAGTTACTTGACTCCCCATCCAAAATCTATCCTTAAATTCCTTCTGCAGCCATAGACAAAGAGCCTCTCTTCCCTTCAGTCGTCCCTCTTCTCCCAATTTCAAATCACAAAATCCCAGGGGGAGACACTCATTTGAAGAGATCTAGGGCAGAAATTGAGTGGGCAGAGTAAAAACTCTCTTACTGTGTTGCTACCCACTGTTCGATGGTGGTAAAGTGGTCAGCATAAGAATACACTAAAAGCACTTTCTCCCACAATGTTGTCTAATTTTCTACGTTCTGGTGCCCTTTTAAATTTGTCATTCATTCACATTGTAAGGTTCTGCAACTGGATAACTGAATCACTGACAAATCAAATTCAAAGGGATGGCAGTTTGGATGGTTTGAGGGCAGATCATTTTGGAGTAAGGTACCTCCAACACTGAGTAACAATGATAAGAACAATACCATTTAAATCATGATCTATATTTATACTGCACTTGATAATCTTATGAGGGTTCTTACGTGTTATCTATCTATTCCCCACAAAAGTACAAGAGTAGTGTGAGGTTGGTGAGAAGAACCGAATTATCTCCTGTTTAACAGATGAGGAAACGGGAGCTATGAAGACTGGTACCTCGTGAGGTGATGTTGGGGCTGCAATTTCAGACACCCAGAGTGCTGTATGAGAGCCCTAGTCACTTGAGGGGCAACAGACCAACTAGAAGTGTTGGAGGGGCACAGGAAGGGAGGGCCCCCCTCAGCCTCCCTTACCACTGACCACGGGGAGGACATCATCTCATTTGGTACTGATGCCTTAGCTTGTTGACTCTTTCCATTATATCCTTCCAGTCACTTCATGCTATGATGATGTTGACACCATAAAGAAGTATACCCTGCAAAACTAATTAGTCTAAGAAAATTCTATTGATGCTGCCTTCCTTCTACTATGATAAAAAAATACAAATGAGTTAATCAAACAAAAATTATGTCTCTTTATAAGAAACAAGAGAATTTTTTAGGTTAATTTTTTATAACAAAGGATTGTTAAATATGTCTGTTGTGGTTTTAGTGCACAAGAACACCATAGCCAAGTAGGACCTTTTATCTTCATGTACAGAGCAATGGTACATTTCATTCAATACATTAAATTACATAGACATTAGCCACAACATGTTGATTCAGCTTCACAGGAAATGAAAATCAAGACCATCTGTGTGCATAGCCACTCCACATCACCATAACACACACTGTAATGTGTTCATTGTGTCTCAGCTCCAAAACCTAACTCCATTAGAATGACATCATTGTAAATTTTAGAAAGTCACACACACACACACACACACACACACACACACACACACACACACACATAATCTAAATCAAGAAGTCAAATAATTTTGAATACAAATTTTAGCAGCAATATTCTCTAGCTGTTTTAATTTGTCTAGTGTTCGATAAATTCTGAAATTGTCATGAGATACATATCTTCAAACACTGTGAGACATGACCCAAGTACCCAGCATAGAGCCTGGCCCATAGCAGGTGCTCAGAAAATACATGTTGCTCTTTTGATAAATGACTAGCTCTCAGCGTTTGCTTTGTTAGAATTCGCTCAGGATTCCAAATAACTCTGATTTCAGAAGAGAAGAGGTACCATGGTTGACTTTGGGGTAGTTGGCATCTAATATTTAATTTGGGTCCCTTATTTAGCAAGGAGGGTTAGTAAAGTGGATGATATACCATTTTTGGAAGATAAGCATGGAGAGTTTTAAAATCTTAAGTTTGGGCACTTTTGAATCCTCTAAAAAACCTTGCTCCTTAAAGTAAACCAAGGGGAACAGAAAAGTCTGCTTTCCAGCATTAAAGACTTTTGAATGATCTGTGAATTGTTTAGACATGCAAATTCTCACGCATCACCCCAGAATCACATCGTAAGTACCATTAGAGTAATAGATGGCTCAGTTGTCCAGCTGCCCATTGAAACTTATAAGGAATTCTAGAAGGCATGAAATATGGGCAGGTCTATTAAGACAGTGTGGTCCTTTCACCTAGAAGGCCCAGAGGCTCTTCCAGGTGCCTATGAGGTCAAAACTTGTCATAATGACATTAAGATATTACTTAGCCTTTTTCACAATTTTCAAATAAACAGTGGAGTTTCCAAGTAATTATGTGACTGGTACACAACAGAATGAATGGAATATAGAATGCGTCAGAATCTAGATGCCATTTATTAAACACATCTGTGTCAGTTTTAATTTTTAATTCAAATATTGATAATCCACATAATAAAAATCTTTGAAGTCTTTAGTTTTTCTGAAAACAAACTGAAATTCACCTAGATTAGCATATTAAACAAATGTATTTATAAATTGAAATAAAGATGACAATAAAAATAATTTGTTGAATTAATGAATCAGAGCAAGATCCATCATCAATTTAATGACATATTCTTGGGCAAAAAGAAACCTTAAAGTAAACTTACCTATTGATTGCAAGATGCATGTTTATATTTGAAATGTGAAAAAGATTGTATGTTAGAATCTAAGAAAATCAGTAATTATTCCAGGAAAGGCAGATATAAAGTGCTCTGGAAGTTTGTAGGAGAAAAAACTTATTTTTCAGGCAGAGGGATCAGATAATTTTATCTGTAGGGACTGTTCTTTGAGAGCCCTAGAATTCCTGTGTAAGAGGGGCTTGGAGGTGACAGTATTTGGAAAGAAGTTGGGTGAGCTACTAAGGGAACTGCCTTGAAAATGCATTTGTTTAGCCAACATACTGATTTTATTTGGCTCATATGTTTATTTGGAAAGGCTTAGACTGGGCTGAGGGTGGGGAAAGATTGATGGCAATTATGTAGAATCTTAAAATTTCCCATTTGGGGTATATAGGAATTTATGTCTAGATATACATCTCTATCTGTATACTATGTGTTTGCTTTGCTATTTCTCTTTCTTTTCTCGAAAGCAATAGACTCTAATTGTTCTCTGTTCTTATTGAAAATAACCTCTGTTTATACTTATCCTATGTTATTTTACCTCATCAGTCTTTCTCATATTCAAGAAATTTTCCGAGGAAGCATTTTCGTCTTATCCACATTCATAGCCACAGCATCAGATAGAGCCTAAGTTTCAGTAGATGTGCAAGTTATTTATTGAAATGAATGTCCTCAAAAGGTGCCGATGGGAGGGTTAATTCTTTTCAGCACACTAGCATATAAGGTCAGCCTCCATTTTGTTGAGAGGATATTAAAGCAAGATTAGAGGCTCAACCTGGAGTCATAAATAAATGTCAGAAGAAAACCTGAGGTAGACTCCAGAGGATCCCACTCCCAGTACTGCCTTTGCATCATCTCCAAATTCTAGCAAAAGTCCCATGGATGTTCTATATATTAATATGTACCTTTTAATGTTTCATATGTGCTTGGTGAATTAATATGTACCATTTACATGTCCCCTTTGTAGACTTGGAAGTTGGGGCTATTTACTATTTCACACCTTAAAAAGTCAGATATGCACTTTAAATTGATTTTGAGGGGTAGGTTTTGACCTTTCTTGGACTTCTTACACTCACCTTGCGATTATTGTCACATGCACCCACACAATGGCTGTGGGAGAGAGGTGTGCGTCTGCCTCCATGTAATTACATGCTATGGAGCCTCGTCATTTCTGGTTCTTCAATCCAAATTTCTTAACCAACTATTTTTGAATTGGATCTTTAGTACATCTATGTCAATACTATAGCTTTAAAACAAAATTATGTTTTTTAAAGCTATTTGAACATGGAAAAAATATGAACAATTTCTGAAAGCAAAAGCAGTGTATTTTCTTTAAACTCAAGTAACTGAAATAACTGAAGAGATTTAGTACAAATTGCAAATAAATTCGCCTTTGGATTGAGACGAAGGCAAGAGAAACATCAGACTCAAAGGTCAAAAGGAACATTTTGGAGTAAGTTATAAACCAGAAAATAGGGATTTAAAATGGAAACACTGAACTCAACAATAAGATGAGGTCATGACACCTTGGCAAGTATTTTTTATTATTATTTTTGACTGTGTTAACTCAGAATTTTGTGTTCTCTGGAGTGGAAAAATTCTGTAGTAAGATATTAATCATTGTTTTAAATATTTTTATTGAGTAGGAGTCCTCTAATTAGGGATTTGTCCTCATTTCAGTTGATGCTGGTATCTTAGTCCATTTGGACTGCTATAACACAATACTATAGATTGGGTAATTTATCAACAACAGAATTTATTGCTCACAGTTCTGGAGGCTGGGAAGTCCAAGGTCAAGGTGCCAGGAGATTTGGTGCCTGTGAGGGTCTGTGCCTCATGGATGGTGTCTTCTTGCTGCATGTGTCCTCACATGATGGAGGTGGCAAGCAGGCTCCATCAGCCCTCTCTAATCCCATTCATGAGGTCTCCACCCTCATGACATAATTACCTCCCAAAGGCCTCACGTCTTCATATTATTGCATTGGAGATTAGGTTTCAACATATAAATTTTGAAAGGACACAAACATTCAGACCATAGCAACTGAGTTAATATTTACTCTTTTACCAGCTTTTAAAAAAGTGTTCCTAAAGCCATTTAGCACTATAAAAAAGGCTTAGGAGAACATTGAAAAGTATCTTTTGATTGAGTGAATGAAGAGAGTTGGGTCAGAACATACAATGAGTTCACTATTCTTCCAACTCAATGGGTCTACATTATGTCAATTTTATTTCCCTTCACTGGAAGTGGCGTAGCTCTTCTCACACTACAGTTATTGGCCACTTTTGCCTGATTGGCCAATCTCATTTCCCAATATATTCTCAAAATTGTACTCTAGGTTCTAGTGATATCAAGTGGCTTGCCTTTTCTAGTACCTGTCTCTACATCTGTGCCCTCCTGTTCTTTCTCTGCCTGAAATATTCTACCCATTAATCTCCCAAGAAAGTCTTACCCAGCTTCAAGTCAGGACTTAAATACTACTTCCTAAGTAAAGGCTTAACTGGGTGTCCTGGGTAATCACTTTTCTCTCACCCTTCAGCATAGGGAGGTAAGGCAATCTTCTATTATACTTACTGGTTGTTTGCATATCTTCTTCCTCAATGAATGGAAAGATCCTGGAGGGTGAGTGCTTTGTGTGTCTGCAATTTTGTAACCCTAATGCCAGACAGAGTGCTTTATATACAGTACATACCCTTCAAATATTTACTGGGAGAATGTATTTACTGGGAGAATGAGTATATTCTTTGGTATAAACCATAAAGATTATTTATACTTGGCTATGTGTCTTATTAGACTCCTCATGACTATCCCTTTCAGGTATAATATTCTTGACACAGGTAGCCCATGCCTAAAAACATATTTTTAATTTGGGGGATTTAATCACAATTTTGATCCCAGGCGCATTGTCCAATATGATAGCCGCTAGCCACCTGTGGCTATTTAAACTTAAATCAATACGAATTAAATAAAATTAAAAATTCAGTTTCCTAGTAGCACTAACTACATTTTAAGTGTTCAATAGCCACATGAGGTTGGTGGCTACTGTCTTGGTTGGCACAGAGAGAAAATATTTCTATCATTGCAAAAAGTTCTGTTGGACAGCACTGCCTCAGAGAAACTAGCTATCTTTGGTAACATTTCAAATTCTTTTGCCAATTAAATAATCACATTCAAACTAATTACCCTTGAAAATATGGATGCTAACATAGCCAGGTTATTTAAATGTTATTCTATCTGATACAGCCAACCATTTTACAAATATTTTAAATATATTGAAATGTAATTTTAAATATATTGAAATGTAAAGTATACTCAGCAGAATAAATATTGAGACTAATAAATCAACACAATATCTTAGGCATACCATTTTATTACCTCTCTTTCCTGAGACATCAATAAAATCATAGTAAACAAAATGTTTTAAGTGCTATAACTCCACAAAATAAAGAGAACGGACAAAGACCATCCATAGACAGGCAGAAATCTAAAAAATTCTGGAATACAAAAAAGTGATTAAACGAATTGGAGAAAGCAGCAGCCTATATTATATATAACATATTTTATATATATGATCCTGTATACACACACACACAAACACACACGATCCTGTATATTGTACCTGAAGAGGTAGAAGGCTTCAGTCTTTATGCTTAGAAACACCAGATACAAAGAAGATCAGGAGTAAGCTGTGCAACAAAACAGAAAGGTTTATTAAAAATCTCTATATAGAATTCTCAGTTTGAGAGGGCCCACTGCACACATGGCACAATAAGGAAAAAAATTACCTACATCTATGTCATTGAGACATTTTAGAACATCAGGGTAAAGAGAATATTGAGATAGAAAGGGTCACCTAAAAAGAGAACAAAAAGCACCCTGACAAGAAACTTCTCATCAGCAATGGAGGGTGCTATTATAGAAAGTAGTGGAGCAAGGGTCTCAAAAATGTTTGTCAGTTATGAGGGCAGAATAAAGATATTTATAGACACATATGATTCAGAAAGTTTACCTGCCATACCCTCTCCTTAGGAATTTATTAGAGGATGCTGTCCAGCAAAACAAGGTAGTAGTGTGTAAAACATAGGTTCCTATGGTGGATTAGATGATTGTTCCTTATTGTTCACCTCTCCCCTGTTGTCAACATATACATCCATGCCTTTGCCAAGTGACTTGGTCCTGCCTCCCCCTAGAGTAGGTGAAGTATTTTCTTCTACTCATTTGGTGTTGGGTTGGACATGTGATTTTCTTCACATGATTGCTTCAGCTAGTGGACTCTAAATGGATGCAACATGAACAGAGGCTTTAAATATGCTTATTTGGCTTATCTTGGTCTCTCTTTCTTCTCTCATTTTCCACAAGAAAAGCACGCTGCAGACAGCTGCTGGCACTGAATGAAAGACACATGAAACAGGCTTGAACTCAACCCATAGTCTGAAGCAGGGTAAAGAGTAAATGTTTGTTGTTACCACTGAGATTTCAGGTTGCTTGTTACACAGCATTATGGTTACATAGCATTTTTGTAGCAATCAGTGACTAAGAAATTTTCAGGAACAATCGGTACAATCTACAAGAGCAGTGACATCCTGTCTCAGAATGATAGCTGTGCAGTAGACCTAAAAGCGACTGGTCCACTGTGGAATATGAGGATTAATGGCTTTGGGAGAGGGATCTCCAGGCAGTAAGAAGAATTAGTAGAACAGAAAGCATGATAGAGACCTTCAGAATGTAGTAAAGACAATCGGAAGAGCGCAAAAACAGGAAATCCATTCCACTGGATTCTAGGAGCACAGCAGTCATGACATTGGAAGCTATAGAAGGGTATCTTGATCTTATCTTACTAGCCCTTCAGTGTACTATATTTATATAGGTGTAATTAAGCTCCACTTAAATTTTTTTCTTTTCGAATTAAACAGTAGACAAATCACAAACCAGAATCTAAAGGTTTACAAAAGATTAATATAAAAGTATCACTGAGAGAACTTATAGGAGTGGGGAGGATGGGGGAAGGATGAGAGTTCTAACACCGATTTTACAGAGTGGGATTCAAGGCGGTAGGATAGAAATGGAGATGTAGGTATGTCATGGGAGACTGTGATTGTGGTGGCAACCAAAGGAGGAATGAGAATAGTGCTACCTTCCAAAATTGTGAAAGACCTAAATTCCCATCAGTTGTGACAGAACTCCAATAGCCAATAACTAAAATTGATAATTCAAGAAAGAATGATGTAACATTAATTTAAAGAAGTAGCCACCGGCCAGGCACCATGGCTCACACTTGTAATCCTAGCACTTTGGGAGGCTGAAGTGAGTGGATCACCTGAGGTCAGGAGTTCGAGAGCAGCCTGGCCAACATGGTGAAACCCCGTCTCTACTAAAAATACAAAAATTAGCCGGGCGTGGTGGTGGGCACCTACCTGTAATCCCAGCTACTCAGGAGGCTGAAGCAGGACAATCACTTGAACCCAAGGCACAGAGGTTGCAGTGAGCCAAGATTGCACCATTGCACTCCAGCCTGGGTGACAGAGCGAGACTCCATCTCAAAAAAAAAAAAAAAGTAGCCACCAGTAGAACTAAAAAGCTCTGGTGTATGAAGGAAAGGGCACAGGGGACTATTTTTTGGAGGGGATTGGGTCTGTTGATTTCTGTAGAACTTCTCCCCTTCCCGACAAACACAGAAGTAAAGGAGAAGAGCAGGAGAGGGGAGATATGCCCCAGGAAAAACAGTGCAATCTCTGAAGTTTCACCCAGATATGGGCAGAGGGCCAGCCTGCAGTAGGGCCTATTAGGCTCTTGTCTCCTCAGAGGCTTCTGGAAGTCTTTTAAAGCTTCAGCTCAGCAGTCAATTTGGGAACAATGCTTTTGAAGGTAATGGAGGTGCCAATATCCTCTTTATTTGAACCGCCTGGAGAAAATGCTAGGACAGTTTGCACAACTCCACCCTCTGCTACACGCATTCCTCTTGGCCAGGTGGGCCGTGCACATACAGCAGGGGTGTACTTGCTCAGCTCCCACCCACAGCTGTTTGCATCTAGCACCTGGCTGATCTCTCACACCATCTCACTGAGCTCCACTGAGCTAGGATCTTCATGTTCCATGTAAACTTCAAGGAGTATGCCTGACCTCTCAACATTCATTGTTGTTTGTATCACTCTCTGGGCTGCCCATAACATGAGGTTTGATCATTTCCACTCAGCTGGCAGCTTCATGCCAGTCCTTTTCGGCTGACTTGAAACACATTTCTCTGCTATTGGCACCCTGCAAGCCCTGGCTGTTGCCAGAGTAAGAAACTGAGTTCACACTATGGGACAAAATCTACTGGTCAGGCACCTGTTCAGGTTGCCTAGGGCGAAGGGAGTTTCCTTTGGAGCATATACCTTGAGGGAATTTGGTTCCATCTGGGGCACTACCACTGCTTCTGGTTGTGGGTGGGGGAATAGGCCACAGGGCCACGCTGGGAGGCTGTGTTGAAGGTTGTGATCTTCTCTGCCCTGACTCCTGGTCCTCCTCAGTACGCTGATTTTCTGAGTTGTTACCTAGACTATCCTTAGAATAATGAAAGGTGGGAAAGGCAGGCTTGCTGAAACTCTGCTGCTTTCGGTTGGCAGAGTCGCTATATTGTATCTCGCAGAATGGGGAAGGAATGCAGCTATCGGTGGGATCAGCTGAAGGCAGGGGCTTCAGGGTGATTGTGTAGCCCTCCAGCTCATATCTCTTGTAGCCCAAGAGTAGATAGGTGGCCATCACTTGTACTTCTGGTTCATCAATGAGCCCCGGATCTCTTCCAATGTGTAAGCCATGGAAACCACCAACTCAACCTGCCAGGATCCTTGTAGTCACAGAGTGGCTCAACATAAGGCTTTAATTCATCCTCACTGCCCATGTTCATCCATGGGTTCCTCATAATTTTCTCTAATGTGCCTCTCCTGCTAATTTTTCTCTAAAGTGCCACTCCTGCTAAGGTTGAAGATGAAGAATTTCTTGAGCAGGTTTTCACAGTCCATGGACTACAGAAAGGAATATGGTATATTCTGCTTAGTTCCTGCTCCACCAGCTACTTTAAGTTCTGTCCATCAAAAGGCGGGGCCTACTGACCAGCATAGAAAGGATGCCTCCAAGGTGCCACACATCCGCTGTGGGACCACAGTGCTTTTGGCCCGGGAGAGGTCTACGTTAACGTGGGAAGGACCTGCCACAGAAGGAGTCCAGCTTGTTGTCAAGGTGAACTCATTGCTGAAACCAAAATCTGCTGTCAGGATGATCATGTCAACATCCAGAGCAGGTTTTATGCCTTTAGGTCTGTCCCTGTGGACAACGTCCCATCATTAGTTTAAAATTGGGAAAAGCTGGTAAGAAGATTGATTCAAATGGCCACAAAAGAAAATCAGATCCAAAGTTTGCCTGAAAAATGGATTTTCATAATGGAATCCAAATACCACAATACTAGGCAAAAATGAAAATAAACAGAAACAAATGACAAACTAAAGAAAATGAGAGAAAAAAGAAAATGATAAAAAAGAAAAAATAGAGAAAAAATACGAGAAAATAATGAATAAGTGAGGAAAATAAAAATGAAAGAATTAGAAAAATGAGAAAAAGAAAAACAATAAAAAATGGGAAAAGAAATAAATAATAAAAATGGAAATATTAGAAAAAGAAAAAAATAGTAGAGGAAGAACACCCCACAATACAAAACACACAAAAAACTATTGAGGAAAAAAGCTAACTGGTCAAAGTCCCTCAGGTCACTAAAAACCAGTTTATTAAGCTATAATAAACAAAAATGTCAGCCTAGCTATAGATTTATATAAGCACTTGGAATTCCACAAAAATGGCTCCTTATGAGGTCATAGCAAGAAATAGATCTATTATATCTAGGGATAAAAATATAGTGGTTTTCTCACTTTTGGCCTGGAGAACACTTTAGTCTTAGAAAAAAAAAGGTGAGGAGGGATCTCAAAGAGCTTTTTGTTTATGTGGATTATAGCAATTGCTATTTACCATATTAGAAATTAAGGCCAGGCACATATGGCTCATGCCTGTAATCCCAGCACTTTGGGAGGCCGAAGTAGGTGGATCACTTGAGGCCAGGAGTTTTGAGACCAGCCTGGCCAACATGGTGAAACCCTGTCTCTACTAAAAATACAAAATTTAGCCAGGCATGGTGGTGCACACCTGTAATCCCAGCTACCCGGGAGGCTGAGGCATGAGAATCGCTTGAACCCAGGAGGTGGAGGCTGCATTGAGCTGAGATTATACCACTACACTCCAGCCTGGGCTACAGAGGGAGACTCTGTCTCAAAAAGTAAATAAATAAATAAAAATAAATAAATTAAAACCTGTAAGTGCTTCAGTAGCCTTTTTATTTCTAGTTTGAGAAGCTATAATAACTTTTGGCTTTTAAAGGGCTCATAATATTTACACTTACAATATTTAATTCCCTTTTTAAAAAAATTCTAAATGGTTGGTCTCAAAATGATGCCACAATTTAACTGGCATCATGACACTATATGAAAATGTTCCATCATGTAAAACACAGTATAGAATATTATTAACATCTATAAAAGCTGAGAAGAAGACAGTTTTCATCATTTTTCTTATTTACAGTTTTGTCAAATTTCTTTGGAGTATTTCTCCCTTCCACAGGCCAGATAATTTGCTATGTCCTTTTTGGTATCTTTAAATGCAGAGGTTGCGGCTGTGGATGGGGAAAGCAAGTCTTCTACTCCCTTTTAAGCCAACAATCTATCATGTTGAGTGTCTGTATTATTCACTTTGGGTGGGGGGGTCTGGGACCTGGGCATGGCACCAGCACCCAGAGGAGGGAACTGAGAATGCCTTTCATTTATTCCTTTTTCAAAACTCTGCCTTTTAAAATGTAGGTCTATGTTTCTGATCTATATAATTTCCTTCTCTCTAAAGGATTTCTTTTAACACTTTTTGCCAAGCAAATCTACTGGTGACAAATTCCCTTAAGTTTTGTTTGTCTGTGGAAATCTTTATTTCTCTTTACTTTTGAAGGATAATTTTACTGGATGTAGAATTCTAGGTTGGGTTTTGTTTTTCTTGCTTGCTTGCATAGTTTCTGAAGGGAAGTCTGATTTAATTCTTATCCTTGTTTCTCTACAGATAAGGTGCTTTTGCCCCTTTGGGCTCTCTCAAGACTTTCTCTTTGTCTTTGACTGTCTGCAGTTTGAATATGATATGCCCAGTGTAGATTTTTTAGTATTTGCCTGCATATTCTTCTCTGACCTTCCTGGATCTATGGTTTGGTTTCTGTTATTATATTGCTTTTTATTATGAAACGTTTTATCAGATTTAAGTTTTAAAAATATAACATATACAACTTATATATTTTAAAAATAACTCTGGCACTTTCTCACTCTATAATGCTCTGTAACCTCTTTTCATATTTAGCATTCTTTTGCAGTCTTTTAAATGATCCCTTACACATAAATGTCCACATGAACACCTAATTGCCTTCTTATGTCTTAAAAAAAAGGAGAGTCTATTCAAACTCTCACAGTAATTGAGTTTAAGTCAGCATTTCTATTACAAAACAACTTTTGGCTATTTTGCAACAGCTAGCAACAATAACAACAACAAAAACTCTCCAGGATGAACCTTGACTTAAATTTATTTTAGTTGCAAAAGAGTAGAAGAAAAATTTTGCCGTTTGTTTGTGTCAGTAGATGACATATTCATTAAAATCAAATTATTCTTTTGGTTTTAAAAACAATTCTTTTCAGTGTTTCAAAAGTTAGATGATGGGCATCTCATGGGAGCAGGCATCTGGGTGGGAGACAGGCTCTTATTTAGGTCCATCTAAAAGGAAATCTCCTTCTCTTTGAGCCTTGGTTTCCTGTCTATAAAATATGCATGGTTTTCTCCAACTGCTTTGCAGAGAAAGGAAAGCAAAATCCAAGATTTTTGGAGTCAAACTAGCCTTGAGAGATTATCTTGTCTTTTATGACAAGAAGACAGAGGCAAAAGTGGGTTGAAAATCTTGCTCAAGGTCAAATGTTGGAGGGTCACATAGAATTACTGTATTTACATTTGGCATTGACAGTACAAAGCTAATATTTTTATTTTTATAACCCCAGTGAGTCCTGTGTAAACTCATTATAGCAGTATGAGCTTTGTGGACCACTTTCATTACAATATCATATTTCTAGGACAGAAGTCCCCTGCTGGTATGGAAAATGCTTGCTTTTTAAGTGGGATCAATCCCCATTTCCATAAACTGTCCAATAACTGCATTATCAGTTCCTACATCTTGCCTTTTCTGATGTTGCCAAGTTCTTTGAGCACATCATTATAAGATCTGTAAGCTGAGTCAGGATCTGTGAGCTGAAACTTAAAGTAAGAGTTAGCAAGATGGAAAAGAAAGGTATTCTGGACAAAACAACGCAGTGGATGTAACTCACCACAATGTAAGAGTGGTGTTTGCAACATTAAAGTAATTTGCCATTGGAATCTTTGCCAAGGCCATTCATCTGCGCTTTCTTTCTCAGAGTCACAAAGAGAATCTGGCAGGTGGGTGGGGTGGGATAGGGGAGCATCCTCGATTTCTAATCTTTCTCACATTTCAGTAGAAGTCCTACTGACTCTGCTAAGTGTTTCTGAAATGTGCCCTCTGTGTTGTTGACAAGGCCAAAGTCTTAGTTCAGGTCATCATTTTTTTTGGCTTAGATAACTAGTTACTAGATTACAATCTGCCTCCTAACTAACTCACTGCCCTTACCCAATTTACTCTCCACACTGGGCTGAGTGATCTTTATGCAACACAAATATGATCATGTTTCTCAGAGACTTAACAGCTTTTAACCTAAAGGTGAAGCCCAAATTCCTTAGCATGGCATTTAAAGCAGATTCCTGCTTCTCTCTCTGCATCAGCACTCTTCCCACACCTCTGTGCTCTTGTCCTCTGAGCATGCACACAGTTCCAGTTTAAGGCTCTGCAGAGTAACCAGGTCTTCCATGACACCCTCCTCATCCTCTCTTCTTCCTCACTTGGCTAGTGACAAATTAACCTTTTCCTCACTTCCTCCCTGTTTCACTTTCTTCATTCCATAAATATTTATTGAGGATCTTCTATGTGTCAATCACTGAAGATACATTAATGAACGGGTGAGAGCTCTGCCCTTATAAACCTTATATTTGTGTGTATGTTGGGGGAACAGAAAGCAAATGTAATGTATAATGCTTTCGTCTGAATGTGTCCTCCAAACTTAATTGATAATGTGATAGCATTATGAGGTGAGGTCTTTAAGAGTTGATTAAGTTATGAGGACAAAGCCCTCATGGAATGGGGATTAGTATTATCATAAAAGAGATTTGACAAAGCTGTTTGCCCTTTTTTCAACATTCCATTTCTTCCACCATGTGAGGACACAACATTCCTCCCCACTCTGGTACCATCTTGGAAGCAAACACTGGGTCCTTACTAGACATTGAATACCAGCATCTTGATCTTGACTTTCCAGCCTCCAGAACTGTGAGAAATAAATCTCTGGTGTTTATAAATTACCCAGTCTCAGGTATTTTGTTACAGCAGCACAAATAGACTAAGACACATAAGTAATAGAGCATGTTAGAAGATGACAATCACCATGAAGAAAAATAAACTGTAAGTAGGAGTGGGGAATACAGAAAGAGATGCAGTTTTAAATAGCGGTCAGAGTAGGTTCCACAGAAAAGATGAAGTTAAAGCAAAGAGTTCAATGAGGTGGGTGAGGAAACCATTGTCTTATCTGAAGGAAGGATGTCCAGGAAGAGGGAACAGCCAGTGCAAAGGCCTAGCATGTCCACAAAGCAGCAAGCCAGTTTAGTGCAGCTGGAGCACAGTAAGTAAGGAAAACTCACAGAAGAAGAGACCAGAGAGGTTCCTGGGGGACCTCACTACTGTCAGGCCTTGGTGAAAACTTCAGTTTTAATGCTGTAAGAGGACCACTGGAGGCTTTTGAACAGGAGAGTAACATTATTCGGCTCATGTTTTCAAAGGATCACTGTTGAGAATCGACTGTGTAGTAGAAAGAGAGGAAGTAGGGAGACCAGTTAAAAGGCTATTGTAATAACGTAGGTGAGAAATATGGAGGCCTGGATCAGGGTGGCAGTAGAGGGTGGTGAGGATTGATCAGATTCTGGAAGAGTATTTTTCTGGTTTTGCATTTTAAACAATTTTAAACAAATTATTGTATGGTAAAGTTGACTCTTTTTGGTGTATAGGTCTACAGATATTAATGTGTATATAGATGTATGTAGCCATTCCCACAGTCAAAATAAAAAACAGTTTCCCAAATTCCCAAAACTCGGGCTGCCACTTTGTGGCCACATCCCTTCTTCCAATCCTAACTCTTGTCAAACACTTTGTTTGACAAGTTTTGTATTTTCAAGAATGTCTTATAAATGAAGTCATATAGTATGTAACATTTTGAGCCTGGCTTCTTTCCCTTGATACAGTGCCTCTAAGTTTCATCTAAGTTGATGTGTCAATAGTTTGTTCCTTTTTATCAATGAGTAGTATTCAATTATATGGCTGTACCATAGTTTGTTTATCCATTCACCTGTTACAAGAACAGGTTTTTTTTTTTTTTTCCCCCTGGGCGATTTTGAATACTGTACAGGCTTTTGAGTGAACATACATTTTTGTTTTTCTGAGATAAATACTCAGGAATACAAATGCTGGGCTGTATGATAACTGCATGTTTAACTTCATAAGAAACTGCCAAACTATTTTCCAGAGTGGCTGTACCATTTTGCATTCCCTCCAACAGTGTATGAAAGTTCCAGTTGCGAGGGGAGGAGCCAAGATGGCCGAATAGGAACAGCTCCGGTCTACAGCTCCCAGCGTGAGCGACGCAGAAGACGGTGATTTCTGCATTTCCATCTGAGGTACCGGGTTCATCTCACTAGGGAGTGCCAGACAGTGGGCGCAGGCCAGTGTGTGTGCGCACCGTGCGCGAGCCGAAGCAGGGCGAGGCATTGCCTCACCTGGGAAGCGCAAGGGGTCAGGGAGTTCCCTTTCCGAGTCAAAGAAAGGGGTGACGGACGCACCTGGAAAATCGGGTCACTCCCACCCGAATATTGCGCTTTTCAGACCGGCTTAAGAAACGGCGCACCACGAGACTATATCCCACACCTGGCTCGGAGGGTCCTACGCCCACGGAATCTCGCTGATTGCTAGCACAGCAGTCTGAGATCAAACTGCAAGGCGGCAACGAGGCTGGGGGAGGGGCGCCCGCCATTGCCCAGGCTTGCTTAGGTAAACAAAGCAGCCGGGAAGCTCGAACTGGGTGGAGCCCACCACAGCTCAAGGAGGCCTGCCTGCCTCTGTAGGCTCCACCTCTGGGGGCAGGGCACAGACAAACAAAAAGACAGCAGTAACCTCTGCAGACTTAAGTGTCCCTGTCTGACAGCTTTGAAGAGAGCAGTGGTTCTCCCAGCACGCAGCTGGAGATCTGAGAACGGGCAGACTGCCTCCTCAAGTGGGTCCCTGACTCCTGACCCCCGAGCAGCCTAACTGGGAGGCACCCCCCAGCAGGGGCACACTGACACCTCACACGGCAGGGTATTCCAACAGACCTGCAGCTGAGGGTCCTGTCTGTTAGAAGGAAAACTAACAACCAGAAAGGACATCTACACCGAAAACCCATCTGTACATCACCATCATCAAAGACCAAAAGTAGATAAAACCACAAAGATGGGGAAAAAACAGAACAGAAAAACTGGAAACTCTAAAACGCAGAGCGCCTCTCCTCCTCCAAAGGAACGCAGTTCCTCACCAGCAACAGAACAAAGCTGGATGGAGAATGATTTTGACGAGCTGAGAGAAGAAGGCTTCAGACGATCAAATTACTCTGAGCTACGGGAGGACATTCAAACCAAAGGCAAAGAAGTTGAAAACTTTGAAAAAAATTTAGAAGAATGTATAACTAGAATAACCAATACAGAGAAGTGCTTAAAGGAGCTGATGGAGCTGAAAACCAAGGCTCGAGAACTACGTGAAGAATGCAGAAGCCTCAGGAGCCGATGCGATCAACTGGAAGAAAGGGTATCAGCAATGGAAGATGAAATGAATGAAATGAAGCGAGAAGGGAAGTTTAGAGAAAAAAGAATAAAAAGAAATGAGCAAAGCCTCCAAGAAATATGGGACTATGTGAAAAGACCAAATCTACGTCTGATTGGTGTACCTGAAAGTGATGTGGAGAATGGAACCAAGTTGGAAAACACTCTGCAGGATATTATCCAGGAGAACTTCCCCAATCTAGCAAGGCAGGCCAACGTTCAGATTCAGGAAATACAGAGAACGCCACAAAGATACTCCTCGAGAAGAGCAACTCCAAGACACATAATTGTCAGATTCACCAAAGTTGAAATGAAGGAAAAAATGTTAAGGGCAGCCAGAGAGAAAGGTCGGGTTACCCTCAAAGGAAAGCCCATCAGACTAACAGCGGATCTCTCGGCAGAAACCCTACAAGCCAGAAGAGAGTGGGGGCCAATATTCAACATTCTTAAAGAAAAGAATTTTCAACCCAGAATTTCATATCCAGCCAAACTAAGCTTCATAAGTGAAGGAGAAATAAAATACTTTATAGACAAGCAAATGTTGAGAGATTTTGTCACCACCAGGCCTGCCCTAAAAGAGCTCCTGAAGGAAGCGCTAAACATGGAAAGGAACAACCGGTACCAGCCGCTGCAAAATCATGCCAAAATGTAAAGACCATCGAGACTAGGAAGAAACTGCATCAACTAATGAGCAAAATCACCAGCTAACATCATAATGACAGGATCAAATTCACACATAACAATATTAACTTTAAATATAAATGGACTAAATTCTGCAATTAAAAGACACAGACTGGCAAGTTGGATAAAGAGTCAAGACCCATCAGTGTGCTGTATTCAGGAAACCCATCTCACGTGCAGAGACACACATAGGCTCAAAATAAAAGGATGGAGGAAGATCTACCAAGCCAATGGAAAACAAAAAAAGGCAGGGGTTGCAATCCTAGTCTCTGATAAAACAGACTTTAAACCAACAAAGATCAAAAGAGACAAAGAAGGCCATTACATAATGGTAAAGGGATCAATTCAACAAGAGGAGCTAACTATCCTAAATATTTATGCACCCAATACAGGAGCACCCAGATTCATAAAGCAAGTCCTCAGTGACCTACAAAGAGACTTAGACTCCCACACATTAATAATGGGAGACTTTAACACCCCACTGTCAACATTAGACAGATCAACGAGACAGAAAGTCAACAAGGATACCCAGGAATTGAACTCAGCTCTGCACCAAGCAGACCTAATAGACATCTACAGAACTCTCCACCCCAAATCAACAGAATATACATTTTTTTCAGCACCACACCACACCTATTCCAAAATTGACCACATAGTTGGAAGTAAAGCTCTCCTCAGCAAATGTAAAAGAACAGAAATTATAACAAACTATCTCTCAGACCACAGTGCAATCAAACTAGAACTCAGGATTAAGAATCTCACTCAAAGCCGCTCAACTACATGGAAACTGAACAACCTGCTCCTGAATGACTACTGGGTACATAACGAAATGAAGGCAGAAATAAAGATGTTCTTTGAAACCAACGAGAACAAAGACACCACATACCAGAATCTCTGGGACGCACTCAAAGCAGTGTGTAGAGGGAAATTTATAGCACTAAATGCCTACAAGAGAAAGCAGGAAAGATCCAAAATTGACACCCTAACATCACAATTAAAAGAACTAGAAAAGCAAGAGCAAACACATTCAAAAGCTAGCAGAAGGCAAGAAATAACTAAAATCAGAGCAGAACTGAAGGAAATAGAGACACAAAAAACCCTTCAAAAAATCAATGAATCCAGGAGCTGGTTTTTTGAAAGGATCAACAAAATTGATAGACCGCTAGCAAGACTAATAAAGAAAAAAAGAGAGAAGAATCAAATAGACACAATAAAAAATGATAAAGGGGATATCACCACCGATCCCACAGAAATACAAACTACCATCAGAGAATACTACAAACACCTCTACGCAAATAAACTAGAAAATCTAGAAGAAATGGATACATTCCTCGACACATACACTCTCCCAAGACTAAACCAGGAAGAAGTTGAATCTCTGAATCGACCAATAACAGGCTCTGAAATTGTGGCAATAATCAATAGTTTACCAACCAAAAAGAGTCCAGGACCAGATGGATTCACAGCCGAATTCTACCAGAGGTACAAGGAGGAACTGGTACCATTCCTTCTGAAACTATTCCAATCAATAGAAAAAGAGGGAATCCTCCCTAACTCATTTTATGAGGCCAGCATCATACTGATACCAAAGCCGGGCAGAGACACAACCAAAAAAGAGAATTTTAGACCAATATCCTTGATGAACATTGATGCAAAAATCCTCAATAAAATACTGGCAAACCGAATCCAGCAGCACATCAAAAAGCTTATCCACCATGATCAAGTGGGCTTCATCCCTGGGATGCAAGGCTGGTTCAATATACGCAAATCAATAAATGTAATCCAGCATATAAACAGAGCCAAAGACAAAAACCACATGATTATCTCAATAGATGCAGAAAAAGCCTTTGACAAAATTCAACAACCCTTCATGCTAAAAACTCTCAATAAATTAGGTATTGATGGGACGTATTTCAAAATAATAAGAGCTATCTATGACAAACCCACAGCCAATATCATACTGAATGGGCAAAAACTGGAAGCATTCCCTTTGAAAACCGGCACAAGACAGGGATGCCCTCTCTCACCGCTCCTATTCAACATAGTGTTGGAAGTTCTGGCCAGGGCAATCAGGCAGGAGAAGGAAATAAAGGGTATTCAATTAGGAAAAGAGGAAGTCAAATTGTCTCTGTTTGCAGACGACATGATTGTTTATCTAGAAAACCCCATCGTCTCAGCCCAAAATCTCCTTAAGCTGATAAGCAACTTCAGCAAAGTCTCAGGATACAAAATCAATGTACAAAAATCACAAGCATTCTTATACACCAACAACAGACAAACAGAGAGCCAAATCATGGGTGAACTCCCATTCACAATTGCTTCAAAGAGAATAAAATACCTAGGAATCCAACTTACAAGGGATGTGAAGGACCTCTTCAAGGAGAACTACAAACCACTGCTCACGGAAATAAAAGAGGAGACAAACAAATGGAAGAACATTCCATGCTCATGGGTAGGAAGAATCAATATCGTGAAAATGGCCATACTGCCCAAGGTAATTTACAGATTCAATGCCATCCCCATCAAGCTACCAATGACTTTCTTCACAGAATTGGAAAAAACTACTTTAAAGTTCATATGGAACCAAAAAAGAGCCTGCATTGCCAAGTCAATCCTAAGCCAAAAGAACAAAGCTGGAGGCATCACACTACCTGACTTCAAACTATACTACAAGGCTACAGTAACCAAAACAGCATGGTACTGGTACCAAAACAGAGATATAGATCAATGGAACAGAACAGAGCCCTCAGAAATAATGCCGCATATCTACAACTATCTGATCTTTGACAAACCTGAGAAAAACAAGCAATGGGGAAAGGATTCCCTATTTAATAAATGGTGCTGGGAAAACTGGCTAGCCATATGTAGAAAGCTGAAACTGGATCCCTTCCTTACACCTTATACAAAAATCAATTCAAGATGGATTAAAGATTTAAACGTTAAACCTAAAACCATAAAAACCCTAGAAGAAAACCTAGGCATTACCATTCAGGACATAGGCGTGGGCAAGGACTTCATGTCCAAAACACCAAAAGCAATGGCAACAAAAGACAAAATTGACAAATGGGATCTAATTAAACTAAAGAGCTTCTGCACAGCAAAAGAAACTACCATCAGAGTGAACAGGCAACCTACAACATGGGAGAAAATTTTTGCAACCTACTCATCTGACAAAGGGCTAATATCCAGAATCTACAATGAACTCAAACAAATTTACAAGAAAAAAACAAACAACCCCATCAAAAAGTGGGCGAAGGACATGAACAGACACTTCTCAAAAGAAGACATTTATGCAGCCAAAAAACACATGAAGAAATGCTCATCATCACTGGCCATCAGAGAAATGCAAATCAAAACCACTATGAGATATCATCTCACACCAGTTAGAATGGCAATCATTTAAAAGTCAGGAAACAACAGGTGCTGGAGAGGATGCGGAGAAATAGGAACACTTTTACACTGTTGGTGGGACTGTAAACTAGTTCAACCATTGTGGAAGTCAGTGTGGCGATTCCTCAGGGATCTAGAACTAGAAATACCATTTGACCCAGCCATCCCATTACTGGGTATATACCCAAATGAGTATAAATCATGCTGCTATAAAGACACATGCACACGTATGTTTATTGCAGCACTATTCACAATAGCAAAGACTTGGAACCAACCCAAATGCCCAACAATGATAGACTGGATTAAGAAAATGTGGCACATATACACCATGGAATACTATGCAGCCATAAAAAATGATGAGTTCATATCCTTTGTAGGGACATGGATGAAATTGGAAACCATCATTCTCAGTAAACTATCGCAAGAACAAAAAACCAAACACTGCATATTCTCACTCATAGGTGGGAATTGAACAATGAGATCACATGGACACAGGAAGGGGAATATCACACTCTGGGGACTGTGGTGGGGTCGGGGGAGGGGGGAGGGATAGCATTGGGAGATATACCTAATGCTAGATGACACATTAGTGGGTGCAGTGCACCAGCATGGCACATGTATACATATGTAACTAACCTGCACAATGTGCACATGTACCCTAAAACTTAGAGTATAATAAAAAAAAAAAAAAAAGAATTGTAAAAAAAAAAATTATAAATAAAACAAAGAAGAATAAAAAAAAAAAAAAAAAGAAAGTTCCAGTTGCTTTGCATCCTTATCAGCATTTGGTTTTGTCAGTATTATTTTCGCTATTCTAATAGGTGCATAGTAATGTTTCATTATGGTTTAAATTTGCATTTTCTAATATCGAATAATATTGAATATCTCTTTATGTGCTTATATACCATTTGTATATCATCTTTGTTGAATTGTCTATTGAAATCTTTTGCCCATTTTTCAAAAATCAAGTTTTTCCTTTTACTACAGTTGAGCATTGAGAATTCATCACATAATCTGGATATAAGTTTTTGTCAGACCATTTTTGCGAATATTTTCTCCCAGTCTTCAGCCTGCATGTTCGTCCTCTCAACTTTGCAAAGCAAAAGACTTTTTAAATTAATTTTTTTACTTTTTAGATAATTGTAGATTTACATACAGTTCTAAGAAACTATACAGAAGGATCTCATACACCCTTTTATGTAGTGTGCACCAGTGGTAACATCTTACAGAATATTGGCATAGAAACAGTCAGGATACAGAGCTGTTTCATCTCCATAAGGTTTCCCTTTCAGAGCCACACTCACCTCCCTCCCATTCCAACCTCCTCCTTAACCCTGGCAACCACTAATCTGCTCTCTATTTCTGTAATTTCATTATGTTAGAATGTTAAATAAATAGAATCATACAACAGGTAATCTTTGGGATTTGCTTATTTTCACTCAGCGTAATTCTCTGGTGAGAATTATCAATAGTTTGTTCCTTTTTATTGTTAAGTATATGCCATGATATGGATATACCATCATTTGTTTAACTATTCATCTATTGAAGGACGTAGGGTTTTTTTTTTAATTTTTAGCTATCATGAACAAAGTTACTCTGAGTACTTATGTCCAGGTTTTTATGTGAACATAAGTTTTCATTTCTCTGGGACAGCTAAATGCCCAAGAATGCGACTGCTGTACAGCATAGTGGCTGCATATTTAATTTTATAAGAAACTGCCAAAATGCTTTCCAAACTGGTTGTACTATTTTACATTCTTACCAACAGTATATGGATGATCCAGCCTCTCTGCATACTTGTTAATATTTTATGTTTTCACTTTTTTTTTATTTTAGCCATTCTGGTAGGTATATAGTGATATCTCATT
Organism: Homo sapiens; assembly: GCF_000001405.40. Lineage (NCBI taxonomy): Eukaryota > Metazoa > Chordata > Mammalia > Primates > Hominidae > Homo > Homo sapiens. The sequence continues at coordinate 96,845,472 of NC_000007.14, read as the reverse complement.
GTGCTTTTAATTTGCATTTACTAAATGCCTAATGCTGCTCTGCGTTTTTCCATCTGTATATCCTTTTTGGTGAAATGTCTATTCATTTAAATTTCTCTTTCTCTAATTGGTTTGTTTGTTTTTTTACTGTTGAATTTTGAGAGATTTTAATATATTCTTAATACTGGTTCTTTGACAGATATGTGGTTTGCAAATATTGTCTCTAAGCCTTTAGCTTATAATTTCATCCTTTTAATAGAGTCTTTCATAGAACAACTTTACTTTACTTTGATGAGATTCAATTTATCTATTTTTTTCTTTATGGATCATGCTTTTCATGTCATGTTTAAGGGCTTACTGCTTAACGTCTGGTTAGGAGGACTTCTAAAATTTTTATAGTTTTATATTTTACATTTATGTCTATGGTGAATTTTGAGTTGATTTTTATGTACACTGTGAGGTTTAGGTTAAGGTTCATTTTTGAGCATATAAATATTAAATAATTCAACACAATTTGTTGAACACTGTATTCCTTTTCCATCCAATCATCCTTGTGACCTTGTCAAAAATAATTTATTTGGCTGTGTGTGTCTGTGTGTGTGTATGGGACCTAGTTTTATGTTCTCTATTCTGTTTCATTGATCTATGTGTCTGTGATCAATCTCTTCATTAATACTATACTGTCTTAATTACTGTAGCTATAGAGTAAGTCTTAAAATTAAATAGTGTGATTTTTTTCAGTTTATTCTTCTTTTTCAAAAGTAGATTTGCCTACTCTACTTTCTTTGCCATTCCAAATAAATTTTAGTGTCAGCTTTTCTATATCTACAAAAAGTGTTCTGGAATTTTGACTGGATTTTCATTAAATCTTTAGATTAGTTTGGGGAAAATTGACATCGTTAGTATATGAAGTCTTCCATGTATACATAAAATTTATTATAGCTCCAAGAAAAATGAAATGCCTATGTATAAATCTAAAAAAAACATGAAAAAACCTATATGCTGAAAATTACAAAAAGCTGATTAAAAAAATCAAAGAAGACCTAAATAAATGTAAAAACATACCATGTACATGTATTGGAAGAGTTAATATACTAACAATGTCAGTTCTCCCCAAACTAATGTGGAGGTTTAAGTAAATTTCAGTCAAAATTCTAGAACTTTTTTTAGATATAGAAAAATTGACTCTAAAATTTATTTGAAAAAGCAAAGGAAGCCGAATCCAATTTTGAAAAAAATAAACTGAAGGAATGGCATTACCCAATATGCTGTATATGTATTATTCTAAAGTTTTGGTTTCTAATTGTTCATTGCTAGTATATAAGATACTGATATTTGTGTGTTGAGCTTAAAGTCACTTATAGTTTCAGGAAGTTGTTTTGTTTTGTTTTTAAAATCTTTAGAATTTCTACATAGACAATCATGTCATCTTGGAATAGGAACAATTTTATTTCTTTATTTCTAATGTGTATAAATACACATTTATTTCTTGCCTTATTCCAAGGCATTATGAGTGGTGAAAGTTGATATCCTTGCCTTGTTCCTGATCTTAGTGAGAAAGTATTCAGTCTTTTACCATCAAATATGATATTAGCTGTAGGTTTTTGTAGATGCCCTTAACCATGTTGAGAAAATTCCTTTGTATTCCCTATTTGTTGAAAGATTTTGTCATGAAAGGATGTTGAATTTTGTCACATGCCTTTTCTGTATCTATTGATGTGATCACATGGGTTTTCTTCTTTGGACTGTAAATATGGTGGATCACATTGATTGATTCTTAAACCGGCCTTAAACCAGCCTTGTATTCCCAGTTTAAAACCTACTTGTTCAAACCAGAGGCATCCATCACATTACCTGACTTCAAACTCTGCTGTAAGATGACAGTAACCAAAACATCATGCATGATACTGGTACAAAAACAGACACATAGACGAATGGAACACAATAAAGAACCCAGAAATAAGGCTGCACACCTACAACATTCTGATCTTCAACAGAGTCAACAAAAATAAGCAATGGGGAAAGGACTCCCTATTCAATAAATTTTGCTGGAATAGCTGGCCAGCCATATGCAGAAGAATAAAACTGCCCTCTACTTTTCATCATATACAAAAATTAACTCAAGATGGATTACAGATTAAAGTGTAAGACTCCAACTATAAAAACCCTAGAAGAAAGCCTAGAAAATACCATTCTGGACATTAGCCTTGGCAAACAATTTATGACTAAGTCCTCAAAAACAATTGTGACAAAACCAAAAATTGACAAGTGGTGGGACCTAATTAAACTAAAGAGCTTCTGCACAACAAAAGAGACTGTCAGCAGAGTAAACAGACAACCTACCGAATAAGAGAAAATATTCACAATCTATGCATTTGACAAAGGTCTAATATCCAGAATCCATAAGGTACTTAATTCAACAAGCAAAAAACACATAACCCCATTAACAAGTGGGCAAAGGACATGAACAGACACTTCCCAAAAAAAGACATTTAGGTGGCCAACAAACATGAAAAAATGCTCATCACTAATCATCAGAGACATGCAAATCAAAACCAAGAGATAACCTTTTGCACTAGTCAGAATGACTATTATTAAAAAGTTAAAAAACAACAGATGCTGATAAGGCAGTGGAGAAAAAGGGAATGCTTATACACTGTTGGTGTAAACTAGTTCCACTGTAGAAAGCAGTTTGGAGATTTTTCACAGTACTTAAAACAGAACTATCTTTTGACCAGGCAATCCCCTTACTGGGTATATATCCAAAGGAAAAATAAATCGTTCTACCAAAAAAACACAATCACTTGTATGTCCATTGCAGCACTATTCACCATAGCAAAAACATGGAATCAACCTAGGTACACATTAGCAGTGGATTGGATAAAGATAAGATGGTACATATACACCATGAGATACTACACAGCTGTAAAAAAGAATAAAATCATGTCCTTTGCAGCAACATGGATGCAGCTGGAGGCCATTATCCTAACTGAAAACCAAATACTGCATGTTCTCACTTGTAAGTGGGAGCAAAACATTGAGTACACATGGACATAAAGATGGGAACAATAGACAATAGGGACTTCTTGAGGGGGGAGAGAGGGATGGGGCAAGGGCTGAAACACTGCCTAAGGGTACTATGCTCGATACCTGGCTAACGAGATCAATCACACCCCAAACCTCAGCATCGTGCAATATACCCGTGTGAAAAATCTGCACATGTATGCCCTGAATCTAAAATAAAAGTTGGAATTATTTTTTGAAAACCTACTTTTGTGTGTTGCATTATTATTTTTACCTATTGATGGATTCAATGTTCTAATATTTTGTGAGGATTTTGTGTCTATATTTATGAGAAGCTAACTTTAGCAAGCCATTTACTATTTCTGAGTTTCAGGTTCCTCTGTTCTAAAGTTAATTTTGTTGCCCCTAATTATGTTACAGAGTAATTGTAGAGACAAAATAGGGACCAGCTAAATGATGACATGCTTTGTAATGTGTAAAGCATTACATAAAGGCAAGGAATGAGGAGGGCTTGTTCAGTCTTTGTGTTGTCTCCTCAGCTACATAATCTGTCCCTCCTTGTTGCCTTCTTAGGTGTAGTACCTAAGTGTACTTAGGTGTAGTACTTGCTTTCATGGAAAGGAACCTATGGAAGTGACAATCTGCATGAACTTCTCAGAAAACTTGGCACATTAGGTCAGGTCACCCAATATCTTATGAATTGGTGTAGAGACCTTTGGAACTTTTCCAAGACCAGGAATAATACTGTGGTACCTTATCTGGCTCCCAACAGGGAGGAATGTGGTCAAATGCAACATAGGGCAGTGTCTCTCAAACACCTGCAGTGCAGTCCAGTCCAGTCTTTGCAGCTAGAACTCATTTCTGGATCTTTAGTCAAATGGATTATACAAATTAACAAGAGCCAGGATTTGATTTGAGCCCAAGAAAGAGTTTAATCACCATAGGGGCATGAACACAGGTCAGTGTAATAGTGGGAGCTGCTCACATCAAAAAAATCTCTATATTCCGTTTTTCACCAAAATCGAGGTTTTCAGGAAATCAATACAGACAAATAAACTCTTCTAGGACTTGCACCACTGCAGTTCATGGCCTCTAGTAGCTGCTGCGGCAGCAGCCTTAGCTAATAACACCTCACTACAAGCAGTTTTAAAGAGTGGAATAATATACGTTATATTTACCAGAGTTTGTACATTACTATTGTTCTTTCTCTCTCTAAAATGATTCTAAATTGGTACTTCTATGTCCATGCCAGCCCCTTCATTAATCTAGCTAGGAGGGCTGGTATACAATCTTTGCAACATCATTATCCACAGCATCACCAGGAATTAAAAATTCACTGTCATTGGAAATAAAAATGATCAACAAAATAATGCAAGACATAAATTCTCAAGCTTATGAGATAAGGTAAGAGAAGGTAAAAAATATAAAGTTAAGTTTGCCATAAGGTTCGTTGGGATATGCCTCTTTTGGGGTGAAAATAAACAATCCTAAAGAAAACTGGGTCTTGCAAAAGAAAATTGAATTTAATATTATTATAATTGTTGTTGATTGGGGGAAAATGTGACTTCTTTTATTAGTTTCATCTTGCTAGAAAAAAAACTTTATCTTTTTAGTTTCATGATAAACCTGATTTTATATTTGGCTATGTATAGATAAGGGAATTTTCAGAAGAGGGTATGAATTTTTCCTAACTTCCCTAATTGATTACTAGCTAGAATCTATATCTATGTCTGACTATCTTTCTTTTGAAAGATCTTTTTTATTCTCTTAATGTCCTCCACTTTTTATTAAAGTTTATCTTTTTCCCTTGCAAATTGGCAAAACAGATACAACATCAACAAACTTATCAAAATTATCTTTGAGAAACCAAGACCCAACAGGGAGGCAGAGTGATTGAATTGATTGTGCAGAGTTTGACAGAAGAAGGGATATTTCCAGATACGCCTCATATGAGAATGCCAACCAACATGGCCATCTACCAAACTAATAAATATTTTGCAAAAAATTCCTTTTTTAAGGCCCGTCTTGACACATAGGTAACTTGGTCATTTTTTGGTTATAAAGGGCAGAATGATTTCTTCAGTACCAAAGAGTCTGAAAACTACATACTCTGATGCCAACTCCCTTGTAAAGCAATTGCCATGTTGGAGGAGGGAACCATTATTGTTCACGGGAGCCAGATGTACCTGGTTGGGGGGAGGCTTTGGGATGCCAGGCACAGGATCAGGCTCTTGTTAGGTGTGAAGGGGTTCAAGCAGATCATGACAATTCACAAAGTGGAGAGTGAGCAAGAGGCAGAGTGAGCACAACATTCTTTTTGTACTCTGGAACTACAGAAAATGTGGCTAAATGTGCAACTAAGGTTTTAAAATTCAAGTAAATTGGAAAGAGTTCAAAGGAGAACAACAAGTTGATAAAGGGTTTGTATGTCAGCCTCTAAATAAAGGGTGCAGACTGCTTGGCATGTTCACTTGAAAGGAAAAAAACCTAAAATGAGGCATAACAGCCTCTAAGCACATATAGGGATATTAAACAAGAGAAATCTCAATTACCCTTATAAGTCATTAATGGGATTAAGCTTTAGGAAAGTCAGAAAATGTAGAATATTTGAAAATCATTCTCTTCTACAGACTCAAAAGGCAGAAAAAAGTAATTCCTGTAGTTCTCCAATCAAATTCTCAAAGTTAGAAGCTACACATCTAGTGTTGGATGTTTTCAACACATATGCGATGAAGAATATTTACATTTATGCCTCATGCCTAAATAACCTATTTGAATATATAGGCATTATGTTGATAAAAACCACAATTTGGGGAAAGGAGAAATACAAATTCATTATCCATGGGATTGACTTAAAATCTTAGAAACAGGCATAGATCATTAAAAAAGGAGCCAAGCACATTGATATATTAGTACAAATCAATGAAAAGAAGGTTAAGAAATAAGAGGAAATGAAATAGGATGGAAACCATGGGCTCTTGAGTACTCCCATAAAGGACAAAAGAAGTTTATTCATTGTAGAGAAGAGAATATAAATCACCTTTATAAATTCACTAAGGTGACCTAAAAGTTAATGTTGCAAAAATCTTAGACCTTTGCAAGAGTTCCCAAGCCTTGTGATGGCTGTGAAAAGCATGCTGAGAAAGCTACACTAATCATCTACAGTACTCTGGATTGTAGGGAAAGTCAAGAAAGATGAACAAACCACAATGAAGCTGCCGAAATGAATCTTAGAAGCCAAGCAGAGAGTGCGTAAAAAAATTGATCTTGACAGATGTGTCAATCAGATTGCAAGTATCTAAACAAATGCAAAATGAAACCATAAGAAAGTCACAAAGGAAAAACAAAATCAAAAGGTTTTGAAAACCCTACAGGATGCTATAGAAAGGAAAAGATATTAATACAAACCATTACAAAGGATGAGTCTGTAAAGCTGACCAAGATTACAAAGAGAATCTCTCTGGAGTGATAATGGTGAAAAAGGGAAACAAAGATGCAAGGATATGGGCTCAGGGTGGATAGTCAGAAGACTTTGAGGAAGCTTACCACATGCAGGGAATTAAAGAGAGGTTGGTCGAGAGAAAAGAATAAAACGTTATTAGGGAATGTGTCTCTTTGTGGCAAGTGCTATCTTCTGAATCCAAACAAGTAGATGAGTGAAGGGAAGATTTGCAGTTGGATGAAGAGCCTTTGAAAGGTACATCGCTGAATCGCAGAAATCAGGCCCTGGCAAATGCCTGTTGGGTAACAGAGTTCACTGTCTGTCTCGCTGCACTGTTGTTCCCAGCAGGTGGCTGGCAAATGCTATGTCCAGTCGGGTTCCTGGCCAGCAGGGCAGTCTTGTACACAGCAGGCAAACTTTCAATTACTATATAAAAAAACTGGACGTTAATACTCATGTATTAACCATCTTTGACAGACAGAATAGAAGTTTAGGCCCTTTGGAATAGCAGCGGAGAGTCTCTGGGAAAAGAGCTCAGGAGGACAGTGTATACTCACTGTAACTGAAATTGAAAACAGATAAAACACTAAGAGCCAGGAACAGAGGAAAATATGTGAAGGAATGGGAAGAACTAAGGGCTTGACCGTTTCTTAGGTGCCTCAGTGAAACTAAAGGTAGGTAGATGCTCAGTACAGCAGAAACCACTCAATCAACATTGACACTATCTCAAATGAAAGACTTAGGCATATAAAATCTAATCTGGGATGCTGATGAGTTCTCTTATGGCTAGTCCATGTGCATTTAATATTGTTACAGAAAAAGTATCATAATATAGTTCTTCCTGAAAATAATAGTGGGACAGAATGCGATCCTGATGTATATTTGTAGAATTTCAGTTTTCTTCTGGTACAAGCAACCACTTCTATTTTGCACAAGGAGAAAACAGAAGGAACAGTGCTCAAAGAAAATTTAAGGCAACAAATAGAGAGGGCAGGCATTTCCAGCCTCTTATGTAACTAGGGACTGAATTTTCTGAGGAAGTTGAGAAGAAGCAAACATCTTTAAAAATACTATTAATAGAAAATCCCTGCTTCAAGGGCACTTTGAGCAACTGCAGCTTGAATGACTGAGAAAACCCACCAATAGTCATAAAAGCCCAGACAGAAGAAAGAGTTCAGCAAAACCCAGAGGAAAAGAGAACTCAGATTCAAGAGTAACCCCTTAACCACATCTAGCTAAGAGTTTCACCACTTCCTTGGTGGCGAGGAACACTGAAATGATCAGAATCTCTTTCAGAGTAAAGGGAAAGTAATTATTCATAACCATACAGTGTAGTACATGTGTAGTTCTCATGCTTTAAAAGGACACTTTTGTTGTCTTCACAACGAAGTCACCTATTGCTGCAAATAAATATCTGAACTGGACAGACTGATTATAGCTGTTGAAATTCTAATATGTAAAGGTGGAAGAGCTTACATAGGGGTGGAGTTACAGGTTATGCAGTGACAAACAAACCATGAGTAAACTCACTATCTTGCCAGTGGGAGGATTTTCAAGCAAAGGAGAGCATGGGTTTCTTGGGGCTTTATTTTCACTTTTATCTGTGTTAAAAATCATGTGAGAATAATTTAGAGACACAAAATTTCTCCAATCAGAATAGAGCTTGTAGCACAATTCTGTTGGTTATACCTTTATGTATTTATCTTGTGAGGTCTAATTGACCATTATTCGCCACACCTTTCCTGGAGACAATGATCACAGCCTATTGTCTGTTTTTGTTGTTGTTGTTATTTATTTGTTATTTTGAGATGGACTCTGGCTCTGTTGCCTAGGCTGGAGTGCAGCGGCACGATCTTGGCTCACTGCAACCTCCACCAGGTTCAAGCGATTCTCCTGCAACCTCCATCTCCCTGGTTCAAGGGATTCTCCTGCCTCAGCCTCCCTAGCAGCTGGGATTACAGGGATGCACCACCATGCCAAGATAATTTTTGTATTTTTAGTAGAGACAGGGTTTTGCCATGTTGGCCAGGCTGGTCTCAAACTCCTGACCTGAGGTAATCCGCTTGCCTCGGCCTCCCAAAGTGGTGTGATTACAGGAGTGAGCCACCGCACCTGGCCCACAGCCGGTTATCTTGACTTACACAGTCACAGACTTTATTCTCAGCTATAGACCATACTTGCTATATAGTGGGTTAAAAAAGAATCTAAATATGTGATTTAGTTTATGTATTTGTTAACTAGGTATAAGAAACTGGATATTTCCTAAACTTGGAAAGCTGCAGTGAAGACTAATGGGTATATGTAAAGCACTTTTAAATATAAAATCAGCAACCATAATGGTAACAGAAACGGCAATGTGCCAAAACAAAACTGAAACCAAAAAGAATATTGTAACATTTTATTTCTCAAAACCACAATGGAGAGAAAAATTTCTCTTTTGTTTGCTTAAGGGAAGGGGTGTATTTCACTCTTAAAATCATGAATGTTTTCCCTGAGAGATTGTCCCATGGCTCGTTGATATAAGAGTCACTGAAATGTAATGGCAGTATCATGATTCGATGTGCTTCACTTTTGTACAGTGTTTATCAACTGCAGGTTTCTAGATATACACATTCATAATATCTTGAATATTATAATATTAGGTAACACAGAATCGAATGGCTTTTCTGACTGGTGAATCCATCCTCAACTGGGAACTAAACATTGAAGATCAGATTAGTTGACAATTCTGATCTTCAGCATTCTATCACATTAAGTCATGGTACTATTTATATTCATTCAGCAAACTTTTCATTTTTTGAGTTTTCTCATTTATAAAGTCATCTAAAATTTGTGAAAGGTGATGGGGAAAGCATGTTTTCACAAAAATCAAAATGTTAATTAACAGTCTTCTTTTGTTCCCAAGAAACTTAAGGAGGATCACAAGAACAGATAACATTGAGATAATAGTTTAGTGAGAAACCTGTAACAAAAGGAAAAGACAAGAACGTTAAACAAATCCAAGAATGAAATAGAAGCCAAAACATGTACTATTAAGCCCTATCTTATTGTGAAAGATGGGTTTCAAATTAAGTTTCATGCTTTTCAGTGACCAATGCAAAGAAGTAAATGTCCTCAGTTACATGCACCTCAGGGTCTTTATGGCAGTGTAAATATATTGTCTCAGAGAGGCACAACTATTCCTGATACTAAGACTACAAAAAGTTTCTCAAAGTGTCCTCATGGAAATTGTCCTGAACAACATGCTTACTTTAATCCCAGGGACAAGTTTCACAGGGCTCTTCCTTAAAGCTCCCAATGGAATCAATTTAGTAAAAGCAATTTTGTGGAGAAGATGAAAAGTGAGGGTCAGTTTATTGAAATCTACTTTCTTGGTGCTGTGAAGGTTTACACAAAATTGCTATATAAAGATGTGAATTTTTGCTAATGAAATCTCATAATAATATAACAGCTTCTATATACAAATGGTAAACAAGCATATGGAAAAATGCTCAACATCACTAATTATCATGGAAATGCAAATCAAAACTGCAATGTGATAGCACCTCACTCCTGCAAGAATGGCCATAATCAAAAAAATAAAAAAATAATAGATGTTGAAGCGGATGTGGTAAAAAGGGAACAGTTTTACTTTGTTGGTGGGAATGTAAACTAGTACAACCACTATGGAAAACAGTGTGGAGATTCCTTAAACAACTAAAAGGAGATCTACCATTTGGTCCACTAATCCCACTACTAGGTATCTACCCAGAGGAAAAGAAGTCATTATATGAAAAAGGTACTTGCACATGCATGTTTATCAGCACAATTTGCAATTGCAAATTGCAATTGCAAAAATTCCCATCAATCAAATAATGGATAAAGAAAATGTCGTATGTGTGAGTATATATATATATGTATACACACACACACACACACACACACACACACACACACGCACATGCACCCCATGGAATTACTGCTCAGCCATAAAAAGGAACTAAATAATGGCATTCACAGCAACCTGGATGGAATTGGAGACTATTATTCTAAGTGAAGTAACTCAGGAATGGAAAACCAAACATTGTATGCTCTCACTCATAAGTGGGAGCTAAACTACAAGGACACAAAGGCATAAGAATGATAGAGTGATCTTTGGGGACTGGTGCGGGGGAAGGGTGGAGGTGGTGAGGGATAAAAGACTACACACATTGAATACAGTGTACACTGCTCAGGTGATGGGTGCACCAAAATCTCAGAAATCACCACTACAGAACTTATTCATGTAACCAAACACCACCTGTTCCCCCAAAACCTATTGAAATAAAAAATAAATTAAAAAACAACAAAATAATAATATAACAGCTTCTTATGCATATGAAGTATATTTAACATTCATTTTAAAATAGAAAGTACTATCATTGTCTTCTTGAAAAGCTCAAATATGAGTTTTTGGCTTTTTTCTGTATTGTTTGCTTCTAAAGAATTATTCATAAATGCTTTAAAGGAATAAACATAGCGTTATTGTGACTCTGCTTGATTAAAAATGCCATTCCCTTTTCCCAAATGTAAAGAGAATGAAGTTAGGATAAATAATCTTTGAGATATTTTACTTCAAATACTTAATGGCTTTAATATATGTCACGATAATACCTCGTTTTTAAAGCAAAGAACCTTTCTTATTTTCTCAGAAGCCTCAAAAGGCAAAGGAAAAATCAGTGTATTGATCCCTACAATGGATTCCAATGTTATTCTAGCTTCAGAAGGTGTCCAGTTACAGAGAAACATTTTAGTAATCATAAGGTTGAGACAGACCTTATGTGACCCTATTCATTCCTGACCAACAAATAGTTTTTGTTTAACTTCGAAATAAACCAGACAAACCCTGCAAGGTTACTTGTAATCATGACACCATTCTTAGAATTGCCATGTGCTGGGAACATGCCTTCTCGCTTCCTCCTTCTATCTACAGTGTAAATCTGAAGGACTTTGTTATGGCTCTTATACTTGGCACATCTTAGGCCTATTTAGAACATCAACACCATCAATCACATAATATGGGGCCGACCAGCTGGATGAACCCTGGCTATCATTCAGGGGTTATTTGTCATCTGGGCATGTCTGTTTGGTATATAACACTCCTTCAGTCCCAGAACAATTTTCCCCCTCCAAAAGTATTCTCTTTGATTCAGGAAACACGTGATTAATAAAGGACAAGGGTTTAAAGCCTGAGGTCAAGGCTAAAAGTCTTAACCAAACAAGTGCATTGCTTACTAACGTTTGCATCAGCAGTTAAAAATTCCCTTGAAGAACTCCCACACCGAAGAAACACACATCTATTCTTAAATGCCATAAATTTCAGGGGACTTCAGCAACTATGATCATCTTGAGAGATTTATTTTAAAATAATGTTGTGCATCAGAAATGTTTTGCTGCAGAATAATAACACTGCATCAAGCATTTAAAAGGCTCAGTACAAACATTTACAATTTAATATAAAAAAATTAGGGTTGAAAAGACACAGTTTAACCAATACGATATGTAAAGGAAATTTGTACTATAACATTAGGACAATTTACATTAAAAATAAATTGTTTTCTAAGATGTCTATTTACACTTAAATGGATTTAAAAGCAACACTCCTTCCCTCATATCCTTTGGCTTATTTATATGCCAATCTACAATACTTTATAGTACTTTTCCATTAGATAGTTTTTATTTTATATTTGTTTCCCTTTCTTTCACCAAAAGAAGCTTGTTTCATGTTCATAGAATATTTTCTTCCTTCTAGGCAACTTATAGTTCCACCCTGTAATAGTATTTGCCTAGTATTTATCTGATATTATGAATTGTTGGATGTATGTATAATGACAGAAAAAAAGCAAATTTTAACAACATACATTTAAAAAGTAATTGTTGGTTAAGGTTTTAAATTGTCCTAACATGACTTAACTGGAACTGACTTCATTTCTTAATCTAAAAAAATTGATTTAATAGTGTTTATTTCATTGGAATTATAAAGGGAGTCACAAACTCCCACTGGAATTCTAAACAGAGTTTCTCAGAAGATGATAAATAGATTGTGTTATAGCACTGATAATGTTGCAAGGCCTAAGGAGCTCATGTCAGTTGTTACTTTATCCAACTTGTAGAGACTTCTAAGTTCCTGAACACAGGCCACTTTAGGTAATCAGATTTGCTAGAGTTCATCTTTCTATACCTCCCACCTCTCTGCCAAATACCAAAGGAATAAAAATAGAAGCTCGGTACAAAACACACTGTATTAAAAATAAGTTGTCATTGAAATTCATACAGGCAATGCATTTATCCTGTAGACTGCATTAGAATCATAGCTTTGCAAGCAAAAAGGGGTTTCCATGTCCTCTGGTCAGATTGCTCATCCTACTGCTGTGGAAATTGAGCCTTTAGGAAGGAACTGGCAGAGGTAAGACTAGAACACTGGTCTCCCATGTCCCTGTCCAGTGTTTCCTGTGTTGAGATATAAAGCCCTCTTATGGCTCAACAGTTAGTGCAGAATCTTCGGGTTAATCTGACTTGCTCTAGCTTGGCCATCTGTTGCTCCACTACTTATGCTAATATGTTAACATTATATACTTGACTGTTGATGGGGCCTTCTTGGCACTATACATGCATAATGCTCCCAGTTAACTCAGTTGACCCTGTTAAACAATGACAATGTGTGTGAGGTCCAAGTTTGTTCACATTCATTTTTACAAAAACAGGGTTACTGACCTTGTCATATTTAACAGTGTTGAGTAGACACAGCAATGTAGATCCTGAGGGCAAATAAAGAATTTCCATTGGTCATGTAAGAACTATGTTAATTAGCTTCCCCCTCCATTCTGCTTCCAGACACTGCATAACTCTATAGTTCAGCTAGAAGGCTCACTGAGCCCTAAACTAATAAAACCCAAGAATTTTTATGAATAATAATTTACAAAATGTATTTGAGCATGCACAACTTAGAAATGTGTTCATATGTGTTTCTCTAAGAAACAGTGGCTTTTGCAGAGCAGTGTGCCTGGGGGAAGTTATCACTCTATTTTTGCTGTTGCATCTCTACTGCATAGAAGTGAAACAATGAAGTAGACTGATTTTTTAAAAAAAGACATAAAATGGAGCCAAGTGTGGTGGCATGTGCCTGAGTATAGTCCCAGATACTCAGGGGGCTAAGAAGGAGGATTGCTTGAGCCCAAGGCTGTGGTGCTCTGTGATCATGCCTGTGAATAGCCACTGCACTCCAGGCTGGGCAACATAGCGAGACTCCATCTCTAAAAGAAATAAAAAATGAAAATAGAGTCATCTCTTTATCTATATTCTCTAAGAACCATTTTCTCAGCTTGAGATAAAAAAAATGCTGCCACACAATGACTAAGGAATTATATGTGGGGCTGGTTCACATATCTAAGCACTGGATATGAGCATTCTTACCTTAGTAGAAAAACAAGCTAAGTTAATTTTTCAACAAGCAGTATTACCTTGGTACATCTTGTTCTCTCTTTCCCTCGGGGTCTTATATGAATGAATCAGAAAATTGCTCCCTTATGTGAAGCCTGAGTCTGCACCTGTGTTAAATTCACATGGAACTGAAATTGGGGGTGTGGGGGTGGGGATAAATGTCAGAAAAGCTAATGGGATGATATATCTAAGTTTGAATTCTGAAGTTGACTAGCATCCAACACAAAAAGCACAGATGAGGATATTTTTATGGGCACATTGTGCCACATTTAGAACTGAAATTAAGAATATAATAATGTTGACCAATTGTCCTTGAGTTTATGATTAGAAGCATCTGGCTCTAGATTTTAGGAAACTCAGATAACCAGGTATTCTGAAAATCTTGGCATGCCAAAATTTTTTACTTTACCTTCTTTGGGTCCTGGATCACCTTTCAAGTATTGAAACAATTTCTATGTCTTAGACATTGTAAGAGAGCTCACGAAAGGTAAGCAAGTCATTGAAGCGAAATACAGAAAACAATAAAGAGTTGAAAGAAGAGAAGAGATTAATGACTTCTAGATTTCCAAAAGCAGGCAGAATTGTTGATGTTCTGGACAGGTGAATGGGTGTGGAAGGTGGAGAGAGGATGAGTCAGTGTAAAAGTAAGAGGAATTAAATGAGGAAAACAGATATATATAGAGAGTTGTGTCTATGTTTTAAGTCTGCTCTTCATTCATGAATGGAAGTGGTTGGGGCAAGTCAGTTTCCCTCAAAACGAAGCAGACTTGTGAATGGAATTTCTCATTTGCTTGATTTATTAATGTTTTTAGACAAAATTGGACAGTGTATGAGATGCATTCTGGATGAAGACATCTCTCTGAAAGATTTTGCTATCAGAGGAAAGAAGGAAATGAGAGAGAAGTTTGGGGCTCTAAGACTAAGACACCTCAGTTTTATCAGCTGTGAAGTATACACTGAAGAGGACAATTATTTGCATATTGCAATGGGGGCTGGTTAAAATCCAATCAATTGAATCCAGATGTGAGTTTCTTGTGTGTGTGTGTGTGTGTGTGTGTGTGTGTGTGTGTGTGTGTGTGTGTGTGTTTAATGGAGGGTTGCCAAAACATCTTGGGAGTAGAGACCACAAGCTAATATAAGCCAAAGGATTCACAAAATACAAGGAAAACTTTTGCTTTATAAAAATCCTGCTTTAAGCATGGTGACTGGAATAATAAAATAAAATGGTCTGTGATAAATTAGTTAGTAGATATTTACAAATGGCTGGCCCTGTCTAAACAAAATCTTCCAAACTAACTCTACAAAAAGTGTTCCTGATATGGTGGTATCCAATCACATGTTTAGGGAACACCATAACTGGTAGTTTACGCTCTTTAGGCAGGAGGTAAAAAACTCCAAAAAAGCAATTTATGAGGAACCACCTCCTGGCACAACGGGGTCATGAATGGAATTTTGATAAAATGCCAAAGGTGTGTTTATTTTATTTTAAGTTCTGGGCTACATGTGCAGGATGTGCAGATTTGTTACATAGGTAAACATGTACCATGGTGATTTGCTGCACCTATTAACCCATCACCTAGGTATGAAGCCCAGCACGCATTAGCTATTTCTTCTTATGCTCTCCCTCCCATACCCCACAGACCCCAGTGTGTGTCGTTCCCCTCCGTTTGTCATGTGTTCAGATTGCTCAGCTCCCACTTATAAGTGAGAATATGTGGTGTTTGGTTTTCTGTTCCTATGTTAGTTTGCTGAGGATAATGGCTTCCAGCTTCATCCATGTCCCTTCAAAGGACATCATCTCATTCCTTTTTATGGCTGCATAGTATTCCATGGTGTATTTGTACCACATTTTCTTTATCCAGCTATCATTGATGGGCATTTGGGTTGATTCCATGTCTTTTTATTGTGAATAGTGCTGCAAAGAATACACAAATGCATGTATCTTTATGGTATTAATAGAATGATATATATTCCACAAAGCTGTGTTTTTAGAGGTGTAAATGTCCATAGAGATCTCAGTCCCCTTAAGAAACTAACAATAAAATCTTTTATCTTATAAGTTGATTAATTATAAGAATATTAGGAAATAATTCTGTAGGAGAATTTTGTTGCTCTTGTGCTTTCTTTTGAAATGTGACTAATTTTGATTAGTCAAAACCTAACCTCTTTCTTGGAACCAGTATTCTTGAAATAACTGCTTTGGGTTTAGAGTAACTACCGCTATGATACAAACATTTGTTTTAGTTTATTTTCTAAATGTGTTGAACACTTAAAAATAGCATTGGGAGATATACCTAATGCTAGATGACGAGTTAGTGGGTGCCGCGCACCAGCATGGCACATGTATACATATGTAACTAACCTGCACAATGTGCACATGTACCCTAAAACTTAAAGTATAATTAAAAAAAAAAAAGTAGATAAAAGGAATAATTTCTCCACAACCTCATTCCCTTGGCAAATCAACCTGTTTTCATATTCCTGAGTTCTCATCAAGTCTTTATGCATGGATATTTCCTTTTACAAAGTTACAAGTGTGCTAGAATGAATAAGTGTTTTTGAAATAATAAAGTAATGGAAGTCTTATTGTTTAAATATCATTCAATGTCTTAAAATGATGGAGTTTAGTTTATGTATTTATTAATGTGGCTAATTATTATTTGTTAAGAAAAAATTTTGTTTGTGTTAGACTAGAACCTTTTTCCTGAAATCTTAAATAGAACCAAGAATTTGTTTAAACTAGAGCTTTTCTAGAGCTTTGGCTTTTTCCTGTATTTGTTTTAGATTGCTTCATGTTACTTTAAAAATACACAACCAAACTTGAGAATGAGAAATTCATAAATAGGAAAAACGCTTAATTAGAAGAAATTGGATCCATTTCAACTCCACTGAATTTAATTCAACCCGAAACTTATTTTCTATGTGCTAGGTATTATAAAGGAAATACATCAGATGAGACTTTTCTGTCTGCTAGGGCCTTCTAATGTATTGCATAGACACATTTATGGGTTGCACTTAAGGCAGGGTTTACAGTGGGAACAACCAAAGTTCTTGGAGAACTTCTATACAAGGCCATGGAAAAGCTATTCCAACAGTGAGGGCTTCTTAAAGTAAATGGAACTTTAACTGGGCCTGGAAGAATGGGGGAGCATGGTTTACTTTTGTTTGGATCCTTTGATAAACTTAATCTTATAAACGATAAAGTCCTCTGAAGGCAGTGGATTATGCATGGGTGATTTTAAGCTTCTTTTAATCAATGGGAATGGAGAAAGAACAAACTCTTTTTCAAAACTCATACCATGTATCAGACAGTGAACCAAGTAAGCCTCCATAGGCTAACTGGCAATGAGCAGGGCTGGCTTCATGGGCATATGATCAGCACAGTGGCACAAGACCCTATGCTCAGAAGGACCTTGCACACTGGGTCTAAATGCAGTTAACCTCTCGAGATTCTTAATAATTGTATTGTTTTGTAAGTGAAGTCCAATAAGACAATGGAACATGTGTTGGGGCTTGGAGTCTTGGCTTGCTTGCTATTCCATCTCTCAGTCTCTGACTACTACCTCTACTCCCCGCTCTTCTGGATAGATTCTCAGCCTCCCACTCTCAGCTCTGCCCTGTATATAGAAAATAAAGGCACCCTCTTCCTGGGGTAGCTGCGGAATTGTGTCAGCAGGGGGAGGTCTTTGTTCCATTGTTGCCCTCAGTCCTCGCCGGGGACCTAACCATGAGCTTGAGGAAGGACAGGGACCTGGGAATAAGTGTGGGAAGTGTGAAGAGGGTTAGGGTCAGGCGTGCAGTCCCTGTGGCAAGTCAGCCATAGCCAAGGTGGTATCTGGCAGCACAACGGTGATCCAGGTACCACACTTTTCCCAGAGCAGAGCTTGCAATTTTGGGGGGGTTGACAATTTGCTGTGATTTGAGAGATTGACTTCCCTGCCCCAGCCAGAGGCCCACATTTTCATTTTACACTGGGTATTGCAAATCCTGTGGCGGACCCTGACCGTGAGGCAGGTGTTATTGACTTTCTATTACAGATAGGAAACTGGAGCCCAGAGAAGGGCTGGTAAGTGGCAGAGCAAAGGTGTCTTACTTGAAAGCCCATCCCTTTTCCACTTTGACGTCTGGTACCATCTCCCTTGAGAAACAGTTGGGTGAGGGAAAGGCACCTTGGGATGCTGAGTGCTGTGGGTGTTCTCTCCTCTGGAGTGACCTGGAGGTGACCTATAGCCATCTCTTAACAAGATAGACCTGAGCTTAATTGACTCAAGGTCTCTACAGTTTCTTACGGTGGACAAGTAGGAAAATTTTAAGCTCCAGGCCCACTATTATGACTGAGTTATGACCCCCAAATTCAGAATTTAAAGCCATAATAATCACCAGTACCTCAGAATGTGACTGTGGCTGGAGACAGGTCCTTTAAAGTAATAATTAATTTAAATGAAGGCCATTAGGTTGGGCCTTAATCCCATCTGACTGGTGTCCTTATAAGTAAAGGAAATTTGGACCCACAAAGAGGCACCAGGGGTGCGTGTGCACAGAGGAAAGACTATATCAGGAAATATCCAGAAGACGGCCCTCGACAAGCCAGGGAGAAGGCCGTCAGAAGAAATCAACCCTGTTGGCACCTTGATCTTACACTTCTAGCCTCCAGAACTGTGAGAAAATAAATTTCTGTTGTTTAAGCCTCCACTCTGTGGTATTTTGTTATGGCAGCCCTGGCAAGCTAATGCACCTAATAAGACACTGATAATGTGAATTCATCAATCTTCTGTTGGTCTAAATGGTATGGTAACAGGATTCTACCAAGTACTACACAAATGAGGAATTGTATATAAAAGCCCATTAGATGAGACTTGAAAATTCTGTATGACAGAAATCCTGCAATAGAAAATCGAGAGTGAGAGAAAATGGGATGAGGCAAGAAGAAAAAATGTAGAATACCTTAGGTAAGAGATCATTTAGCTGTTGCTCCTCATCTTTTTTATATAAACAAGTAATATGTAAATAATGCACATTTGTTAAAAAAAAAAAAGCTTACTTCAATTGAGTAAAAAATCTAGGTCTTGCCAGGAGAGGTGGCTCATGCCTGTAATCCCAGCAGTTTGGGAGGCTGAGGCAGGAGGATCACTTGAGCCCAGGAGTTCGAGACAAGACCATTGTAGAGATGAGATCTCTACAATGAAAATTTAAAAAATTAGCCAGGCATGATGACATGCACCTGTGGTCTCAGCTACATAAGAGGCTGAAATGAGAAGATAGCTTGAACCCAGGAGGTCAAGGTGGCAGTGAGTCATGATTGCACCACTGCATTCCAGCCTGAGTGACACAGTGAGACTGTCTAAAAAACAAAACAAAAACAAAAACAAACAAAAGTCTAGGTTTTTCTGTCCCTCTTCATTCCCCATCTCACTTCCCACCTCAGCAGTAAGCACTGATAGGTATATTCCTTTAGATCATTTTACAAATCATTTAAGACTATATGTATAAAATTTCTATATATGCTTAACTTTGCTTATCTCAATTTTAATTATTGAAAGAATGTAATTATATAATATGTATTGTTTTGTGATTTGTTTTTCCATTTAATAATATATATTAGGGATTTTTCTGTATTTGTTATACACTTTTATTTTATGTAATTTATTATGAAATGTGAAAACCATAGTACAGATGCTTTATGATGTATTTAACCATTATGTTACTGATAAACATTTCGGTTGTTTTCAGGTTTTTATGATTACAAAAAATATTACAATAAACATTTTTGTACATATATATGTGTGACATTTAGATTTCTAATCACCATATCTCTTGGTCACTTCCATGGTTCCTCTTTTGCTTCTGGATTCCTTTTGGAATTTATAGCTAGGACTGTCTTTTTTGATCTGAATTAGGTATGTAAAAATAGGCTGAGATGATTTTTCTTTAATATCCATATAACTAGAGTTATGTATGATTTCCTGTTTCCTTGGTAGAGAAAGTTCTTTAATTGTTAAGGCCATGTAGCATGCTGCGCCCAGGGCCAGGAGTATACAGTAGGCCACAAAGGATAGTTTAAGCTGTTGAGTTTAACACATAACCTCTCTGTGGTTTGAGGTAAAGAGACAATAAAGCTGTGAACTAGGGCATGACCCAGTGCCAGAAGACATCTGTGTACCCAGGATGGGGGTGCCAACTCAGAATGACTTTTAGGATTCTCTCTGGGATGGACACGTGTGGTATAGTCTTCAATATGGAGGTGTAGGAATGCCCTGATAAACCCTGAGCATTTCTTCCCAATTTCCATGTTTCATTTCAAGGAGTTCCTGCCCAGTGAATAATGGCACATTTTGTTATGGCTGCATAAAGCAACTACTGAGACTTTCTTAAGAATAGCCAAGTTAGTTTTATAGTGACCTAGCAAATATTGGTTTTTGGTTAAAAAAAAATACCTGGCATGATTTTTTCTAATAGTCAAATGGATGAAGAGGTGGACACATTAAAGAACAATATTTTAAAATTGTAAGCATTTAAAGATGGGTTAAATGTATACTATCACTAGACTTCATTCCTTCATCCTGAAGTCTAAAAAGCAATAATTCTCAATCCCTTCCTATGTTTTCAAACCTTCCAGTGTCTGTTCTCTTTGGCAAAACTTCATGCCTCTTGGCTTCAGGCAGGCAATTTGTCAAGAAAGCTTGCCATTTTGGCTTGCTTCTCTTTTATTTCTTGTTCCCACCATTCATTCAGCCTTCAAAATCCTCTAATTAGCTGTTTACCTTAATTATTCCAGCTAGGACTTCATCTGGTCTCAGGTTCTGCCACTTCTGAGAATCCAAAATGTCTGTGCCTTCCCTCTTGGGAGAATCTTCCTACTTTTCTGAAAAATGCATTCCCACCCGGCTTGCTCTGTGTCTTGTGGCTTCCATAGCCAAGGAGGGAAGAGAAAACTGGCAGTAGTCTTAAACATCTGATTCTGAGCCACATCTATCCTATTTTAGAGAAAATACAATTTCTTACATAGCCTCAGCGGAACCCAGGGTTTCAGCTTAGATCAGAATTTGCAGACTAGTTACTAAGTACAAGACCTCAGCAAAATCTGGGCTTAGTTCACATCTAGAATCTATAAGACATTGGAGGAATAGTGAGTTGGTGCACTTTTTCTTAACCAGACCTCCTTATCTATCATCTCTTTTGGCTCGTGAACATATAACATCAAATTAAACACCATGTAACTTGAGGATGATATCTAGCAGTTTTGAAACAGTTCAGGTCAAGGCACTATCAATCTTATGAAGAATAGGTAGAGATTCCCTGGGTGACCATGCAGCTACACACCAAATAATTAAACATGTGATTTTGAGTCTCCCTAGGCTATTCATGGAAACCAGACTCATTTTACATAGATGTATTTAATGACTAATGAACTAACTCTTAGCACCTTGATAAATAACATTCTTTGTATTTAAATTTTTGCTTATGGACATGTGTTGGTAAAAGATATTGTCACTAGTTAGGCCCCTGATTAACCCCAGAAACTATCTTCCTCGTTAGGTATAATCATTAGGGTTGACACAACCTGATCATCCACCAATTGGAATCTGATAGAAACAGAAGTACCTACCATGAAGCTTTTGAGTGCCTTGGTATTACATTTGAATTTGGAATTGACTAAGCCTTAAGCCTTCCAAATCTCACAAAATAAATTATGAAATGCATCACTTGGACCTCTTCAGGTGACATGGCCCGGGGGTCTTATTTGCCACTTTTAAAACAGAGTTCCCTTCTTGGTCCACTGTGAGACTGTTAAGCTGCAGTAATCTGAAGGGTGGCCTGTCAATCGCACACAGAGGAAAGACTGAAGATCATTTTAAGTATGACGGTTTATTTTACTTGGAAGTTTTGCTCCACTAAGTTCATTAAAAATCCTCATATATTTTTAAATTTATTTAAAATTCAGATTCTCTATTTCTCATTTTATCACCACTTTAATTAGGCATAACAGATTGAAATTAGGTATCATAGAATAACTTTGCATGTTGAGACTAACAATACTGCAATTTATTCTACGTGATGATTCATTCCCTCCCTCGATACTTGTCTGAGTCACCAGGCATAAATGAATATGCAAAGAACAGACCTTCGTACTTCTGGATTTTCAGATTATGAAATAAGAAAATCAGACATCTGTTTCCAAGACTTGTGAACTAACTCTGAGTGTAGAAATCTTTATTTTTTGCCTAATGACTGAAAAGCAGGTTCTGATGTGCTTCTTCAGAAGCACTTCATAAAATAACTGGTGCGTATAAAAAATAAATAAATAAAAGGGTAAAATATGCCACAAACTATTTGCATATGATAATTTCATGAAACATTCCCCTTGAGAAATACCTGAGTAAAATTAATTCACAATCAGTAGAAACCCAGTGGGAATGTGTTCATCGAAATAAATAACCCAAAATTATTCTTGGGCTGTGAAGTTTGTTTACTGCCTTAACTGAAGTGTGTATCAAACATAAGTACATTAGCATTGGCTGTGCACTGGGGCAGTCAGGCACAGACTTCACCTCATGTTTTTCATCCATTCTGCTGTTTATATTTTTTGGCAACAGGTTCAAACCACAAGGGGGTTTTTTCCAATATTTTGTGTGTGTGTGTGTGTGTGTGTGCGCACAGTAATGGGCATAGCACCTTTTCAAGAGGAGCCTCCAAGGTATGGCTAAATTATTGAAAGCTGGATAAGAGTTTGCTAATTTTAAAAATTATTTTAAAACTCAATTCCCTTATAGGCAAAGGGCAATGAGTATTCTCAGTCAAAGAAATAAAGAGTGTTTCTTCCCACTTAGAATTCTCAGGGCTGACTACCACTCTACTCCTGTCCAGCTCTCTGTTGTCACCTCCCAACACTGCTTGGTGGTTGTTGCTGCGATGTTGTTTTACATGTTTAATTGAAATAATACATTGTACACTCTTAGGAGGCACATGTTGGTATCAAAAGATGTTAGAGTTGTTGTCAATACATTTCACCAGTATCAGGAAAAGCTGAGCAGGGTAAGGCACTGGTTACTTTTGGGTCATCCTTGGGAGAACTTCGGTAAAAGATGAGCTGAAGCTGATAACTAAAATAACAATAGACTAGCCGTAGCCTTAATTATGAAGATCAGCGACAATTCTGATTTTTCTGATGCATATGAGATGTCACAGTGGCAGCGAACACATTAATCTTGTTCTTACTTAAGAGCAAATATTCACTGTCCCTAATTGCAAAAGGTACATAACTGCTTATCAGTCATTTTCTTTCCCATGTGTGCTACTTTAGGACTCAGGTAATTCAGATAGTATCTTCAGGATTTGGACTTCTGGAGATAAGGAGGAGTGAGCTGGGTAGTTTTTGGGTTGGCATTGAATTTTTATGTAGGACAGAGAATACTGGGAGTTAGAAAAGAAAGATAGTGACTACACTTTATATATTTCTAAGATTTTTTTTCAGTCATGGTCATTCTGGGTGTTGCTAGCTGTGATAAACATATGTGTAGGCATGGTCTTGTTTATATAAACACCTTGTGCCTGATGTTGGGCTACAAATAACTTGACAGACATTGCTTTGCAATGGTCTTGCAGCTTTGAGGTGGCAGAAACAGGATTTCAACCTAGGTCTGTCTGGATTCTAGAGCCAGTATTTGTAACTATGATACACTTCTTTCCTCATATTCTTCTCAGGCTGCATAAGTCTCCTTGCAGAAATTTTTCACCTTGTTTTTCCCTTTCCCTTTCAAGATTTCCTTCAATGTCCATTCTATATATATATATATATATATATATATATATATATATATATATACACTTTAAGTTCTGGAATACATGTGCAGAACATGCAGGTTTGTTACATAGGTATACCTGTGCCATGGTGGTTTGCTGCACCCATTCATTTAAGTAGTACTTGGTAGAATCCTGTTACCATACCATTTAGGCCAACAGAAGAAAACCTGTCATCTAGGGTTTAAGCACCGTATGCATTAGGTATTTCTCCTAATGCTATCCCCCTCAGCCCCTCACCCCCTGACAGGCCCCAGTGTGTGATGTTCCCTTCCCTGCATCCATGTGTTCTCATTGTTCAACTCCCACTTATGAGTGAGAACATGCAGTGTTTGGTTTTCTGTTGCTGTGTTAGTTGGCTGAGAATGATGGTTTCTAGTTTCATCCATGTCCCTGCAAAGGACATGAACTCATCCTTTTTTATGGCTGCATAGTATTCCATGGTGTATATGTGCTACATTTGCTTCATCCAGTCTATCATTGATGGGCATTTAGGTTGGTTCCAAGTCTTTGCTACTTCAGTGTCCATTCTAACCATACTTGGCCTATATAGAAATGTTGCGGGTTAGGATTCATACCCATAGTGAGACTCATGTGGCTCTTACAGCCAGATGGATGGAGAGAAGGATAAATGGGTGCATGAGTGGCCACACTCATTTTCTTGGAACAGAGTGGCCTAGGAACGTAGGAATAATGCTACATTCATAACATGTACTGACTAGGCATGGTGGATAACAAGTTGCTCCTTCAAGATGTCAATGCCACCAACAATAGGTAGTCCCAATAAAAGCTCCTGAACTAGATAAAACCAGTCTCCAGAAAGATTGTAGCGGTTAATAGGATGGAGTTTGAAGCCAGAATGCCTGGGTTTAAATCCTATACTGATGTGTAATCTTAGGCATGTTATTTACTTTTTTCTGTGCCTTCGTTTCCTAATCTATAAAATGGGCATACTTACCTCATGGGATTGTTGTAAGGAATATGAATATATAGACTCAGTTCCTGGCATATAGTATGTGCTATTAAGTGTTTTCTAGTATTACCAGTAGTATGATGCCTTGTGTTTGATAATTGCTCCTTCTGATATCTGACTGTGGTCCCAACCGACATATAACTCTTGGTATATCCTTAATAGAGCTTTTGGTTTACTTTGTACCCAATTCCCCTTCTATCAGCCCATAACCCACGCATTCCTGAATTTGTAGCTGACTTAAAAATATGTGGTAATGAGTCACTTCTCCATCCCCAAACTAAGAGTAAAAGCTTGGCTTCAAACTATATTCAAGGCTGGCATATTTCTACCCTATGGAAAGTAAAGCCAAAAAAATTTAATAGAGAAAAGAAGGAAAGAAGGAAGGAAAGACAGAGAGAGAAAGAGAGGGAGGGGAGAAGGAAGAGAGGAAGGAAGGAAAAAGAGAAAGCGAAAACAATGTCAGGGCAGTATACCAGGGAGGTAAAGGAGAGAGGAGAGCATAATGCTAAGTTCGGTTTCTGTAACAGTCTTTAATGTAAGATGCTCAGAAACCAGAACCATTTGTAAATGAGACTACCTGTATGTTTCCATGATGGTGTCCTACAAGTTGGCAGAAGAGTTTGAAAGGGAAGCCAACTCTCTGTGATGCAAGATGTTAGTTTTTCTTCTCTGTTATCCCTGCAGATTCTTCCCCAAATCATAAACTTCCATTCAATCTAATAACAAGAACTGGAGATTTTATTGAATAAACCTGACTTCATAAATTTAAGGAGCCATCTGAATTTGCAGTTTGGAAGTGTTGGAAGTATCAGAAAATTTATTCCAGGTGTCTTATTGACATTCAGTTAAATTCAACACTGTAAAATGGCTCTCTAAGGAAATTCCATTAATATATTTTTTGCAAATATGATTGTCCACAGCCTCAATGGATAACTACATTCAGAACAACTGCTTCACTAAATGGTTCTCTTTTCTGTTCATAAAAAAATCTAAGCAGCAAAAATGGAAGAAAAAAATGATGAGGCAATAAATACTTTCTTTTAAGACAATTGCATGACTAGACTTTACACTTAATTTCTATAAGACTGCACAAAGAAGCTTTCTTAGTGAATTCATGTCTCTGTAGTGTAGCTTTACTCAATCATGTAAAAAAGAAACATCATGAATTACACAAGTGAGGGGTGGCATTGAAAATAGAACACATCCTTTCATTAACTTACAAAAATACAATTAGTAATTATTAGTAATTTCCTGGAGAAAGTCCAGAGCTGAATTAAAAATATCACTAACCATAAAGATCTTCAATGGTCCCATAGAGAAAAAAAATATACAGTTATGAGGCTTATGTATTGTACTTGCTTTGGAAACATAAAAGGAGTAATTCATAAAGCAACCACACAACATTTGTAATGTTTTTTACTTCTTTTGCATTCTCTGGGAAATGCAAAGAATGTTTCTTTTTCTAAATAAAATGCCCTGTGGCATTTTGTCTAGAATGAGAATGGTTATGGCTTCGTTCAGAAGTCATGGATAGTCTGCCAAAAATGAGATCATTTTCTAAAAAGGCATATTTTTCAGTTTTGGCATATTCTCTTCTAATGGGCAACATGTTTATGCTGATTCTAGAAAAATGAAAAACAAATCTAAAATATCTGGAATATCTAGGGGCAATCTTACTCTTTATGTCAAATATTATTCAGAATCTTGCCATCTAAATATGTTAAAATTATTTTAAAAGAGGGTTCTATAATCCCATTAAAAAGTGGGCAAATGGCGTGAAGAGACATTTCTCGAAAGAAGATATAAAAATGGCTAACAAACATATGAAAAAAGTGCTCAATATCACTGATCATTCAGGAAATGCAAATTAAAACCACAATGAGATACCACTTTGCCCCAGCCAGAATTATTAAAAAGTCAAAAAACAACAGATGTTGATGTGGACATGTTGGAAAAGTAATGCTTCTACACTGTTTATGGGACTGTAAATTAGTACAACCTATATAGAAAACAGTATGAAGCTTTCTCAAATGACTAAAAGTAGATCTACCATTCAATCCAGCAATCCCACTAGTGGATATCTATCCAAAGGAAAAGAAGTCATTATACAAAAAAGACATCTGCATACATATGTATATCAAAGCACAATTCACAATTGCAAAGATACAGAGTCAACCTAAGTGCCCATCAACTGATGAGTGGATAAAAAAAATGTGGTATATATGCACATGGAATACTACTCAGGCATACAAAAGATCAAAATAATATATTCTGCAGCAACTTGGATGGAACTGGAGGCCATTATGCCAAGTGAAATAACTCAGGAATGGAAAACCAAACACTGAATGTTCTCACTTGTAAGTAGGAGCTAAACTATAAATTATGATTCTGAATAATATTTGACCAAAGAGTAAGATTGGTCCTAGAGATTTATATTAGATATTTTAGATTTGTTTCCATCTTTCTGGAATAACTATGCAAAGGCATACAGAGTGTTATAATGGATATTGGAGACTCAGAAGAGGGGTGGGTGGCAAGGGTCAGGGATGGAAACTTACCTACTGGATGCAATGGACACTGGGTGATGGGTGCATTAAAGGCCCAGACTTCACCACTATATGATTTGTCCATGTAACCAAAAACCACCTGTGCCCCTAAAGCTATTGAAATTTTTTTAAAATCAAAAAACAAACAAACAAAAAGAACAAAAAACTGAAGATAAAATAATAATAAAATTAAAAAGAAGTTGTTAATTTCAATATGCTGGGGCAACAATCCCTGGCAGTTGTGGAGACAGGCTCCAGGTATCAGGTAGATCCTTACCTGTTGATGTTTTGGACTCTTCTTTCTTGCCTCCGGGTTTGGAGAAACACACAGTATCAGCCTTCTGCGTTTGGTGGGGAATGAACTCTTCCTGTGAAACATATGGCTCTTTGAAGACAGGTGTGTTTTGACTGGATAGAAACAGGGTCAGCAGAGCTCTCAGCTGCATCAGGAAGAAAGGGAAGGAGGCCTGGTATGGGGAGCATTTGGGGCAAGACCCCAGAGGATTCTCCTGCTCTCATCATCTGCTTGCTATTTACGTAAAATTTCAACCTGCTTGATGGTTGCCTTCCTTTTTCTGTATTGCCTTTTGGAAAAGCAAGAAACTTAGTGCTGGGAAACTCCTGAATGAACTGTAAAATTCAATCAACTCCTGATTTTTCAAAATGCAGATTGCCTGATTTGCTCTCTCTCAGGTATCAGGCTTTGTTCTCAGTTTATATTCTGATGTCAGCCAGCTTCCCTGATCCATCTCTCCTCTTGGAGGTGGAACACTTAATCTAAGGTTAGACCAGGAGCTGCCAGGAAGTTAAAATGTATAAAAAAAAAAATAGGATATGACAGGATGTCCCCCTGATTCCCTTTCACCCATTCTCATCCTGACCTCTGTGAGATGGGGTCATTTAGTTTTATGATGTGAATTCAGGAAAGCCCATCATGATATGAATCCTGTGAGATGTGAGTCCTATGAGAGCCCATCAGTGTTGGTAAGAAAGCTCCATCTCATAAATCCTTCACTCAGTAATTTGAAGGTTCCAGGACCACTGCCCACAACATTGTGTGGCGTCATCTTCCCCCTTCAGAAAGGAATCAGAAACACTGCTCTTCATGGTCTTGAGTATGTGAGACAGTTGCAGGAAGAGAAAGGGCCTTAACCCAGTGATGGTACAAGGCAGAGGGATAGGAAAGATAAGAGGGGAGGAGACCAGGGAGCCCGGGGTGCGTGGAAGCCTGCCTGAGGCCAGCTTGGTGTGAAACAAAACATAAACAGGTGGGAGGTTTTACATTGTCCGTGAACCTTTGGTGCGTTTGGAATTGGGTAGCAGAAATATTTTCTTTTTGGAAAAGGACTGAACCTTAATGTACCTCTAGGCATTTAGGGGCATTAATGTAGGTACAGATATATTTTCAGCCTGGAATTTGAAATAAAATATTTGGGATTATCTGTTTTACTTGCCTCTGTGGGCAAGGAATTCAATAATTAAAAGTTAAATCTATGCTAAGATATACTATATATAAACTAAACAAAATAAAACAGAGCATTGAAAGGTCATGGATGAGATTCCACAGTCATGGCTGAAAAGGTAGATATCAACAATTGAGCAGGAGCACCTCACTGGTCTAAACACAGCCACTAGCAAATGAACAGGAGAAGAGAGTTAGAGATTGTGTTTAGAACAAAAGCCTTTCTGAAACTGCAAGGGTTTGTTTTCTTTCTTTCTTTCTTTCTTTCTTTCTTTCTTTCTTTCTTTCTTTCTTTCTTTCTCTTCCTTCCTTCCTTCCTTCCTTCCTTCCTTCCTTCCTTCCTTCCTTCCTTCCTTTCTTTCTTTCTTTCTTTCTTTCTTTCTTTCCTTTCTTTCTTTCTTTCCTTTCTTTCTTTCCTTCCTTCCTTCCTTCCTTCTACTAAGGACCAAAATTAAGGTTTCCTTAGAGTAGTTTTACAACTCTGAAAGTACTGATTGTTCTAAAGCCAAACCTTGGTTACTTCCTCTGCAATCATCACATTGAAAGATCAACAGATGCATGTTCAGGAGGAGGAGACATTCTCAGATTGTAGTTAACTTGGATCACAAGAAGGGGTGGGGGCACTGGTGTCCTGGGGCAGCACACTTCAGGAGCTCAGGCACAGTCCCCTTGGGCATGCCCCCCCAGCATGGCTGCATGCCCTGGAGTGAGTAGATCCTTAGTGTCATGAGCAAGGGCTTTTCAGTTTCAGAAATGAGAAGGTAGGTCAGAGAGAGCTTAGCCATTTTCGCATTTCTCTCTGTCTCTGTCTCTGTCTCTCTCTCACACACACACACAGACACACACACACACAAACACACACACACCACATTCACAAATCTGCAGTTGCTTTGAGTGGGGAAAACATTTTATTTTTATCATGTAGACATGGCCAAAATGTTCTCAACCCATTAAAAACTTGGAAGAAGATGTAGCCCCTGCTACAGAAATACCTGTTCTTTTTATTCCTCAATGGAGATAACTGCATACAAGGGTCCTTAAAATGATATGACTGGGATTCAAGTCTCTCCTTAGAATAATTACCTGTTCTGAAGAAAAGGAAGACATGTTACATAAGGAAAGCAACTTCAAGCTTCCTGTGTGGATCGTTATGAAAAAAGTGCCTGAAGAGGACACATCTACTCTAGGTAACGAGAGACTTCAGTTTAAGTTCCAGTTCTACAATGCACTGGCTATGAACGGATTTACAAAAAATCTTTCTTAAACTGTTTCTTTATCTATAAAATGGGCACACAAAAGCCATTTGGCTACTTCCCAAACTTGTCATGAGAATCCAACGTAGAGCACTATACAAGGCACATGAAAGTAAAGCAAAAGTATAGAAAACTACCTAGGGTGAATTAAAAGCAAGTCTGTGCCCAGTTATAGCTTAGTAATACATAAAAATTGTTGAAAAGCAAAACTGACATTTTGCTCTACCACAGTGGGCTGAAACCTTGAATATATACAATGTAGTTCTAGGGAAACGAACTTTATACCTGAAGATAAACATACAAAAAATTTCTCCAAACTGAGTTACTTGTCTACTACCAGTCTACAAAATAGATAAAACCAAGAACTTTTTCTGTGAGTTACTGACTGTCTAATAAAACAACTTTATTCCTGATTTTACAATCCAGATATATATGATAAGCCTCATAGGTACTAATGTAGAAATTCTGTGTTTTTATTACATTATTATACTGTAAATTCTGGGATATATGTGCAGAACGTGCAGGTTTGTTACATAGGTATACATGTGCCATGGTGGTTTGCTGCACCCATCAACCTGTCATCTAGGTTTTAAGCCCCGCGTGCATTAGGTATTTGTCCTAATGCTCTCCCTCCCCACCCCCAACAGGCCCCAGTGTATAATGTTTCCCTCCCTGGGTTCATGTGTTCTCACTGTTCAACTCCCACTTATGAGTGAGAACATGCGGTGTTTGGTTTTCTGTTCCTGTGTTAGTTTGCTGAGAATGATGGTTTCCAGCTTCATCCATGTCCCTGCAAAGGACATGAACCCATTCTTTTTTATGGCTGCATAGTATTCCATGGTGTATATGTGCCACATTTTCTTTATACAATCTATCACTGATGGACATTTGGATTGGTTCCAAGTCTTTGCTATTGTGAATAGTGCCTCAGTAAACATACGTGTGCATGTGTCTTTATAGTAGAATGATTTATAATCCTTTGGGTATATACCCAGTAATGGGATTGCTGAGTCAAATGGTATTTCTGGTTATAGAGCCTTGAGGAATCACCACACTGTCTTCCACAATGATTGAATTAATTAACACTCCCACCAACAGTGTAAAAGTGTTCCTATTTCTCCACCTCCTCTCCAGCATCTGTTGTTTCCTGACTTTTTAATAATCGCTATTCTAAATGGCATGAGACGGCATCTGATTGTGGTTTTGATTTGCATTTCTCTAATGACCAGTGATGATGAGGTTTTTTTCATATGTTTGTTGGCTGCATAAATGTCTTCTTTTGAGAAGTGTCTGTTCGTATCCTTTGCCCACTTTTTGATGGGGTTGTTTTTTTCTTGTACATTTATTTAAGTTCCTTGTACATTCTGGATATTAGACCTTTGTACATTCTGGATATTAGACCTTTGTCAGATGGATAGATTGCAAACATTTTCTCCCATTCTGTAGGTTGCCTGTTTGTTCTGATGATAGTTTCTTTTCCTGTGCAGATGCTCTTTAGTTTAACTAGATCCCATTTGTCAATTTTGGCTTTTGATGCCATTGCTTTTGGTGTTTTAGTCATGAAGTCTTCACCCATGCCTATGTCCCGAATGGTATTGCCTAGGTTTTCTTCTAGTGTTTTTAAGATTTTAGATTTTAGGTGTAAGTCTTTAATCCATCTTGAGTTAATTTTTAGATAAGGTGTGAGGAAGGGATCCAGTTTCAGTTTTCTGCATATGGCTAGCCAGTTTTCCCAGCACCAATTATTAAATAGGGAATCCTTTCCCCATTGCTTGTTTTTGTCAGGTTTGTTGAAGATCAGATGGTTGTAGATGTGTAGTGTTATTTCTGAGGCCTCTGTTCTGTTCCATTGGTCTATATATCTGTTTTGGTACCAGTACCATGCTGTCTTGGTTACTATAGCCTTGTAGTGTAGTTTGAAGTCAGGTAGTGTGATTCCTCCAGCTTTGTTCTTTTTGTTTATGATTGTCTTGGCTATGCGGGCTCTTTTTTGATTCCATATGAAGCTTAAAGTAGTTTTTTCCAGTTCTGTGAAGAAGTCAATGGTAGCTTGATGAGAATAGCATTGAATCTATAAAATACTTTGGTGAGCATGGCCATTTTCATGATATTGATTCTTCCAATCCATAAGCATGGAATGTTTTTCCACTGGTTAATGACCTGTCTTATTTCCTTGAGGAGTGGTTTGTAGTTCTCCTTGAAGATCTCCTTCATAACCTTTGTGAGTTGCATTCCTAGGTATTTCATTCTCTTTGTAGACATTGTGAATGAGAGTTCACTCATGATTTGGCTCTCTGTCTATTATTGGTGTATAGGAATGCTTATGATTTTTGCACATTGATTTTGTATCCTGAGACTTTGTTGAAGTTGCTTATCAGCTTAAGGAGTTTTTGGGCTGAGACGATGGGATTTTCTAAATATACAATCATGTCATCTGCAAACAGAGACAACGTGACTTCCTCTCTTCCTATTTGAATACCCTTTATTTCTTTCTCTTGCCTGATTGCCCTGGCCAGAACTTCCAATACTATGTTGAAAAGGAGTGGTGAGAGAGGGCATCCTTGTCTTGTGCCGGTTTTCAAAGGGAATGCTTCCAGTTTTTGCCCATTCAGTATGATATTGGCTATGAGTTTGCCATAAATAGCTCTTATTATTTTGAGATATGGTCCATCAATACCTAGTTTATTCAGTGTTTTTAGCATGAAGGGGTGTTGAATTTTGTCGAAGGCCTTTTCTGCATGTATTGAGATAATCATGTGGTTTTTGTCACTGGTTCTGTTTATGTGATGGATTACATTTATTGATTTGCGTATGTTGAACCAGCCTTGCATCTCAGGGATGAAACCAACTTGATCATGTTGGATAAGCTTTTTGATATGCTGCTGGATTTGGTTTGCCAGTATTTTATTGAGGATTTTCGCATCAATGTTTGTGAGGGATATTGGCCTGAAATTTTCTCTTTTTGTTGTGTCTCTGCCAGGTTTTGGTATCAGGATGATGCTGGCCTCATAAATGAGTTAGGGAGGGGTCACTCTTTTTCTATTGTTTGGAATAGTTTCAGAAGGAATGGTACCAACTCCTCTTTGTACCTCTGGTAGAATTTAGCTGTGAGTCCATCTGGTCCTAGGCTTTTTTTTTGGTTGGTAGGCTATTAATTACTGCCTCAATTCCAGAACTTCTTATTGGTCAATACAGGGATTTGACTTCTTCCTGGTTCGGTCTTGGGAGGGTGTATGTGTCCAGGAATTTATTTCTTCTAGATTTTCTAGTTTATTTGTGTAGAGGTGTTTATAGTATTCTCTGATACTAGTTTGTATTTCTGTGTGATCAGTTGTGATACCCCTTTTATTTTTTTTATTATGTCTATTTGATTCTTCTTTCTTTTCTTCTTTATTAGTCTGGCTAATGGTGTGTCTGTTTTGTTAATCTTTTCAAAAAACCACCTCCTGGATTCATTGATTTTTTGAAGAGTTTTCGTGTCTCTATCTCCTTCAGTTCTGCCCTCATCTTAGTTATTTCTTGTCTTCTGCTATCTTTTGATTTTGTTTGCTCTTGCTTGTGTAGTTCTTTTAATTGTGATGTTAGGGTGTCGATTTTAGATCTATGTATCCTTTTAATTCAGTGATCCAGTCCTTGAGAAATGTCCCCAGCTGAAGTAAGGAAGCCATCCTTTGTACCCTCTGCATTGACCACCAATAGGTGGGCTTCCCCTGGAAAGCAAGCATGGTTCAAAGTAAAGCAGCTCCCTTGTGTGGAGGAAAATCCCCAGGGAGAAACACAGCTGTGGCGCATCAGCAGGCAAGGCTTCTGGCAGCTGAGCAAACTTATGCTTTAGTGCTAGAGTGGGATTCAGGAGGCACATCGCAGCGACCGCTGTAAACAGTTCCCCAAAAGTTGGATTACTGATGAAAGTATGAGTTTATATTGCAATATAGGTTAGCAAATTATGTTTCTTAAATGTTGTATAATTTGTACTTCCATCAGCAACGTATGAGAATGTCTGTTTCCCTGAATACTCCCCAGCACTTGGTATTATTGCTTTTCCAAATATTTAATGATTACATACTCTTGTTAATTTAAACATTTCCGATTATTGCTAAGTTTGAATATCTCTTTATTGGTGATACTTACTTTTGCCTTGGTAATATTTTTGTGCATGTATGTGTGTGCCCTGTACTCATTTTTCTGCTGTGTTGTTTCTTTGTATATAAATACCATTAATTGATTGTGAATTATGGGAGAGTTTCTTAAAATCTGTTCTCCATTTTGTTGCCTGGGCACACGGCTAGAGCACAATCCCCAGTCACTTTTGCAGTTAAGTGTGATTATATAACTAAGTTCTGAACAGTGGGTTTTCAGCGTAGATGTCTTTGTTATGCCTCCTAGTTGCCTTTTATCGTCTTTTTCACTGGACACAGATACTAATGGCTATGGTGGAGCTTTGAGATAGTAGGAGGCTGGGTCCCTGAATCACCATGTGGGGTAGCTGTCTGCAAACTGTGAACCCCTGCTCTGGACTATTAGATGAACAAGAAATAAACCTCTTTTATATTTGAGTTACTATACATTTTTGGGATGTACTATTTGTTTTAGCAGTTTAGCCCACACTAATACAGCTGTATTGTCTAATTTCTTCTTAGTCCATCATATTTATTTGACCACATATCATGGTGTATTTAAAGGCTCCCTAGAGAAAAATGCACAGGCAACGGAATTTGAAAAGGGAGGCCGGAGAAGCAGGAGGGACAATAGGATAGTGCAACATTGTAGAAGCCAAAGAAAAAAGTATTTCAGGAAATAAGCCACGATCAGTCATGTATCATACTGTTGAGAGGCTAGGCAGGGGCTAAAAAATGCTTGATGATTGGTTCAGTGCAAAGATGACTCTGGAGCCAGGATTCCAGGACAGAAGTATTGGAAAGCTTTCCTGTGATGAAGGCACCTTAATATCTGGGAAGTGAATGCTCTAATAAATGTCTGTCTTCTGCTAATGAACTTGCCAAATGTGTAAAAAGTCTGGAAGTTTCCCACCCATGCCCTTGAAGAGCAGTAAAAGCACTGTTCAATCTGAAGTATTGATCCACACATCTCTGCAGGCCTAGATATCTGGGTGATTCCAGCTCATTCCACTAGAATTCATCTGCAGGCAGG
The DNA here is from genome assembly GCF_000001405.40 of Homo sapiens. Classification (NCBI taxonomy): domain Eukaryota; kingdom Metazoa; phylum Chordata; class Mammalia; order Primates; family Hominidae; genus Homo; species Homo sapiens. Next base: position 96,810,386 of record NC_000007.14, on the reverse strand, counting down.
TCCTATGAACCACCATTAATACTCTTAGAGAGCCGCGTTGGCCATTCACAGCTGAACTAATGGTGCCCTTCGCAGAAGGCACAACATTCATGAGCAGTAAGTTCTTGCCTACTACTCCCCACTGTCTGAACATGACATATCGACTTTCAATTTTTCACCTACACTTTATTCAACTCTCTTGTTTTCTCAGGTAAGACTCTAAAAATTACTTCTAGGAACAGAACATTCTGGGTTACTGAATCTCAGGACACAAACAAATTATCTTGCTTACAAGAAAAAACATGGTAAAACTTTATTGCACATCCCAGTTAATGGGTTAAAATAAGAGAAAACATATTTTGTTGGTTTCTTCCTCTTTTGTTTTTTTTGAGACAGAGTTTTACTCTGTCACCCAGGCTGGAGTGCAGTGGTGCAATCTCGGCTCACTGCAGCCTTGACCTCCCGGGCTCAGGTGATTCTCTCACCTCAGCCTCCAGAGTAGCTGGGACTACAGGCACACACCACCATGCCCAGCTAATTTTTTGTATTTTTAATAGAGACAAGGTGTCGCCATGTTGCCCAGACTGGTCTCGAACTCCTGGACTCAAGCAATCCACCCACCTTGGCCTCCCAGAGTGCTGGGATTACAGGCGTGAGCCACTGCGCCTGGCAAAGAAAATATATTTTGATTAATCTTTTAAATTAAATGACCATAGAGATAATTTATCCACCATAAAAGTGAGAGATGAAAAGAGATTCAGACATGTCAAAAGACATCAATACATGTACTTATTAAAAGTATATGGTGCTGTGCTTTAAAAACCTGGAACTGAAGGTGACTTTTCTAATTACCTATGACATGTGAAGTCAGTTGTCCCTAATACATTCAGAATGACACATTACGAATGAATAGATATTAGAGCTTTCTGCTCTGCTGCTTATAGAAACATCTGATGAAGGACAAGCACTTGGATATGTCACCTATGTCTTAAGAAAAGAAAATGAAAAGATAGTTGGAAAAGGTAGAGTCATTCTATGCTTCATGTTTTTAGTAATTCTGAGCATGAAATTATTTTTTGAAGAAAATTTCTTGTTTCTTATTTTAAAATATGTAACAAGTTTAAGCTACAGAGTTAAGAAGCTTCAGTCTTACTTGATTCAAAACGCTTATTAGTTCCTGGCAATTAAACAGCATACGCACTATCCATTTTAAGGTAATTTATCTCTAGTTTCTTCTTAGGAAAATATTTAGAAAGCCATATAGAATTTAGTAGTAGAAATGAAAATAGGGTCTATTATTTTATTTCTGCCTGCCCATTATATACTATTGAGGCTTTAAAGCATCTTTTTTTTCATAATCAATTTTATAAATTACTCCTATTCATTAGCAAACAGATTAAGGGAATATTCACATTTTGAACAATGGAAATTCTCCAGAATTCTAAGACACTCATTTATTCCATATCATTTTGAATGGGTTACATACAAAGTTGTTTTGTTTTTGCACCTACAGTATGAAAACATAGAGATCCTTAATGTTATCAATGATCAATGTGTAAACAAAAATTTATGTTTCCAGATTTTATGGCTGTCCTGCACATTTAAGTAGACCTTTGTGTCTGCTGAGTAGAATGTCATGGAAGGGGAACCCATGATAGCCTGCTGAGTCTAGATCTCACACATGTATTATGTTGATAAATAACTACCATCCTCGGAAATCCACTGCACTTAGTCTCTCCTTCTCTTGCGGTGATTGCCACACTCTACTTTGTTTTCTTGTTACTGCCGAATGTTTTCTCTCCCTCTCTGGAGCATGAGTTCTTCCAGACAAGCCTGTTTTTCAGTCTTTGCTGCATCCCCCAAGTGTCCTGCTTGTAGTTGGCTGTCAGCACAATTTTGCGGAATAAATGACTTCCAAGTGATGTAAAGCATGTTCCACTTGGGTTTTTTTTTTTTTTTTTAAAGTTAACCTGGCTGGGCGTGGTGGTTCACGCCTGTAATCCCAGCACTTTGAGAGGCTGAGGCAGGCTGATCACAAGGTCAGGAGTTCGAGACCAGCCTGGCCAGCATGGTGAAACCCCGTCTCTACTAAAAATACAAAAAAATTAGCCGGGCATGGTGGCACATGCCTGTAGTCCCAGCTACTCCGGAGGCTGAGGCAGGAGAATAACTTGAACCTAGCAGGCAGAGGTTGCAGTGAGCCAAGATTGCACCACTGTACTCCAGCCTTGGTGACAGAGCGAGACTCCATCTCAAAAAAATAAAAAATAAAAAATAAAAAAATTAACCCATGCAAAATAGTTTTGGATATGAATAATTTCCAATGATTTCCCTAACAGATGTAGTAAAACACTGTTTCCAGCCCTAATTAATTAGACCAGGAGCAAGGCAGAAAACCCTGGTAAATAATTAGGCATTATTAGCTTCATCAACAGAGTGGAGGGAAGTTTACTTAGAACTGTAGGGAAACTTAACTCATGGAGCTGATTTTTGTCAATTTCCACATTGGTCTTTAGAAAAATCATGAGCAGAGTCGCACAGTATGCAGAGCTACTCTTCATGATTTGTGGTATTTTCCCTAAATTCTTTGCTAAAATATTAGTGGTGTTATACACAAACATAACAAAAATGCAGTCTGTTTTAATTTAGTATAATTCCTTCACATTTTTCTGCTCTCTTCTTGGTCAAAATATATCTCTGTCTCTATCTCTATCTCCACGTACTTGACTTTGTAAGCTCTCTTCCATGCCCAAATCCAGCATAGTTCCCTGTACTTTCTGAAGGACTTCTATAAATACTGCAACTAGTTGATTAACTATGTAAGAAGGCTTCTCAGATGTTGCTAGTCTCAAGTTTTACTCCCCTTATGCCTTAAATGCTGATTGTAGCACCACCTTTTGTAGAATAGAATCACGTGTGATGATGTTTTGAGAGAGACGGATACTATAATAAGGTTCTTTCTAGCACTTCTTATAAATAAATGCCATTGGCTGGGTGATAGCATTTGGTTCTATGTCCCTACCCAAATCTCATCTCGAATTATAATCCCCATGTGTCAAAGGAGAGACCCATAATGCCCACGTGTCAAGGAAAGGAGGTGACTGGATCATTGGGGCAGTTTCTCCCATGCTGTTCTGATAGTGAGTGAATTCTCATGAGATCTGATGGTTTTATAAGGGGCCCTTCCCCCTTCACTTTCTCCTCTCTCTCCTGCTACCATGTAAGATGTGCCTGCTTCCCCTTCCACCATGATTGTAAGTTTCCTGAGGCCTCCACAGCCATGCAGAACTGTGAGTCAATGAAACCTCTTTCCTTTATAAATTACTCAGTCTTGGCAGTATTTTTTTAGCAGTGTGAAAGCGGTTTAATGAAATGTGTCCTAATAAAGATGTTGCCATTTTATTCCATGACAAATTATGGTATAGTAAAGCTTTGGTTTTTTCATCATAAAGCCATTGGGATTCTTCCTGTATGACTGAAACATTGTTGTGTTGGTGGCCTTAAAACTACTTTTCTTCTGTTGTGTTTATTACATTTATAAGTTGTAAGGACACTCCATGGAATTCCAAGCTGTATGAATTTAGAGGTGAGCCTCCAGGAAGATAATTGATCACCAGTGGCTGTGAACCATTCTTTTGTGCATCTTTAACAGCTCAAAAGCTCATAGTCTCAGGCCTGAATGGAAGCTTGAAGGTTGAGTCACCCCACCTGATGCTTGAATAATCCAATTTTCACTTAACAGTCCCATCTTTCAAATATTTAAAGACATCATCATGTCATGCCTCCCCTCCCCAGAAACTCCTCCAAATCAGACTAAGCTAAAATTACATTATGGTCGATTAAAATGGTCGATTTTCCTTCATGTGATACAGTTTTAAACCTCTTCACCCATCTGATTGGATTTGGATTTGAATGCTAGCCCCATTAATTTATTATATATGTAAAGCTAGACATGTTTTAAAAATGTTTTGAACCTCAGCATTTTTTAACCTGTAAAATGGGGATAATAATACTAATAGGACTGTTAGGATGATTAACTCAAATAATCAATGCACATAGCTGGTACTTAGTAAGTACTCACTTCCTTCCCATTTTTAAAGTGATTTGTAGAATGCTTGTGTTCCATGAAGAAAGGTCTTGTGATTAAATAGTCAGAAAAATAAATAGAGTTAAGCAAGTTACTTAGATTTTCTAATTACAAGATTTCCAGAGCTTTTAACAGGATGACATGCTTTGTGAATCTCCAAATAAATATGGTTTGAAGCATTTCCCTAGTTTATTTGACCACAAAACCCTTTTTGAGTAGAACACAGAATAACATTTTGTGTTTCTCTGAATACAGTGTGAGAAGGGTTGTCCTAGTGGGATCTTTGGATGTGTTGCTTTGCCCCCTGGGCTTGTCTGGAAGTATGATTGTCCCTCTGGGTCCTAGGAGTGGCCCATGCAGGGAAATTTATTCTGAGCAAACACAAAGAGGGCAAATATTTTCCCTCTGCTTCAAGTAAGAAAATAGAGTCAGCAATGAGGCTTAGGTCTTTTTGTTTCATCTATGATGCTGAGGTATAGTCTTCAGGTTTGGGAAACTCTGAGGAATTACTGTAATGAAAATACTATGATAAATAAACTACTAGGAAGGAGGAAAAACTGAAGACATTATGTAGTGGGCTGGGCAGAATCCAGCATGCTGTCCCCTTTCATGAAATTAAATATTTCTGTTTATATGATGGAAAAATCTGTGCTGATTCATTCTCATTAAGGTTCTAGCAAGTTCATCAGAGAAAGTTTATAGAGACCTTGGGGAAAACTCAACAGGGGGGAGTTTCCTGTTAGGGGCTGGGGGTGGGGAGCGAGTATTTTCCCTTTATTGGGGTTTGCTTTGTTAATTGGTGTTTGAAGAAACCCCATTTCTTTCATAGTTGAAGCTAAGCAGAATTAATGTTAATTAAAAAATCATGTTAGCATTCCCAGAGCACATTCAAGCCATTAGTTGGGAAAAGCCTTGTCCAAAACACTTCTCTCATGGCTTTGTTTGTATGGGGAACTGACCGGTGAGGAGTTTCACCAGGACAAGAGAGGGAGCTGCCAGTTTATTTCTGGAACATAGAAGGATGTGTTTCAAAAGACACTCAAAATAAAGAACACACCAAAATGTACCGAAAGTGGTTTGGTTTTCTGTTTTTTTAAAGCAAGGATGGAGCCATGCTTGAAACCTGTAAAACAGGATGCTGTACTCGAGTGTGTGTTGGGTGGAAATGGGTAAGGAAGGGTGAGCCTTGGCCTGTGATTGTCAGTATTCTAAAAAATGTACAGTTTTTAAACTTCACTGTTTGAAGCAGACTATCTTTCTTTGCCTGTAGAAATCTGTACGGTGGTCTTTCCATTTAATCTTCTTTAAGGATTATTTTACTTCACACAGAGAGGACTTCAATAAATAGATACATTGCCATCTAATCCCTGAGGTCTGTGTATTTCCTTCGGGTATAATTAATTTCGGTGGCTCACTAGACCTAAACAACCACCTTAGACAGTACTGGGGGGAAAAGCAAAATCCTGAATATATTTTTCTGCGCATTCTGGAGCCCACTGATTATTTTTTTTAGGTATGAGTTACATATTATAGGATGAGAATGTGTAATATTGAGTTACATTTAGGTAGAAGTCAACTGTCACTAACAGCCATTCTGAAACGTGAAATGACTTTCCAACTCAATGAAAATAATCATTTGATTATTCATTAATGTATTCCTCATTTCATTTTAAAAACATCTGAAGAGGCTTATAACGAAGATTACATAGAAAATCAGTCTGATGGTGTAAACCCAGAAATTGCAAATGGGATCTGCAGAAAGAGGTGGTAGCAAACGTGCTAATGTGGCAGGCTAGTGCGGATGTTCCAACTGAGCATCCATTTTGATTCTGAGCTTCCTGAAAGGCAGAATTAGAAGGGAAACATTCTTGAATTATTTCCATTAGAATTGAAGAAACACAAACAAATTCTTATTTGAACACAAGTTTTTCTGGCACTAAATTCTAAAGGAAAGAAATCTCTTCACATGTGCTTTTTTAAAGCATGTGATTTCTCTTTTGAAAATTATTTTTAGGCACACAAATGATTTATGAATACATTTAAACAACACAGAAGTATGTAGATTAAGAAGTTCAGGTTCTCCTTTACCCTTTCAACTTCACCCTCCCACCTGGAGTCTGGTGTGTGACATCTCTGAACTTTTTCTAAGACCCCCTTTATTTCCTAGCGCTTGCCCCATGTGTACCAAATACATCATATACAGTGATCATATAGATGGATTATTCTTCAGCTTACTTTTATTTATTTATCTATGCTTTGATGATCATCCATATCAATATAAATAGTGCTATTTTGTTTTGTAAAACTCCTATATGGATGTTCTAAGATTTACCAAAACATTCTCCTATGTTTGAGTTATTTGCAATTTTTCTTCCTTCGTTTGTTTTTTTGAGACAGGGTTTGGCTCTGTTGCCCAGGCTGGGGTGCAGTGGCATGAACATAGCTCACTGCAGCCTTGACCTCCTGGGCTCAAGCGATCCTCCCAACTCAGCCTCCCAAGTAGCTGAGGCTGGCTAACTTTTAAATTTTTTGTAGAAACCGGGGTCTTGCCATGTTTCCCAGAATGGTCTCAAACTCCTAGGCTCAAGTGATTCTCCCACCTTGGCCTCCCAAAGTGCTGGGATCACAGGTGTGAGCCACAGTACCCAGCCACAATTTTTGAATATTACAAATAATGCCATAATAAACACCATGTGCATGTGTTTAAAAATTTTTGTTTGGTGGATGTGATAGACACTTAGAAGTAGGAAAACAGGGTCAGAAGGTATATGCATAACAAAAATGACAAAGGAAGACTTTGTGATTAAGGGCAATGAGTTCTCAAAATCAGTAATTCTCGAATTTTTGGTATGGGTGTGTTCCTGTAGGTGTCATGCTCTTTGGAGAACCTTCTTACCTACTGCTGAAGATAATTCTATCATATGAACACTTTTCCTATCATACCAGATGACATTTGACGTAGGCAATAAGATAAAGAATCATAATTTCACATCTCAAAGAAGCCAACCTGGCCCACCAGGATCAGCTGCTCCTAAGGATTTTTGTTTTCAATATCTTGTGACTCGTTCATTTTGTTCTTGACTATCAGCATTTATGAGCAGATAAATAACACCTGTAAATAAATAAGAAAATACTTGAAAAAAATACTTGAGTATTTTTTTCATTCAGAGCGAAAAAGATATCTGTCGCTGGATTTTAGAAGTAGAAAAATCTAAGTTTGGCACGTTGCAAAGGGAATCATTTGAGAAAGAGTGCTCTAGATTAAGTCAATTACAAAATAAGAAATGAGTTGTTATATATAATACCACCACTGAAAGACCCATGTTAAATTTTTAGCCAATGTCCCTTCAAAAAGATATGATATTCAAAAGGACTTTATAACAAATTTTAGGTGAATTCCAGACTGACATATCTTTAAGATTTTATTAATTATTTACATAGTTCTGAAATTTACATCCTGCTTCCAAATGAGTTCATTTGAATATACACAAGCAAGTTTTGCTTCTGTTTGAATAAACTCATGTCTTTGGCTGATATTTCTGACATTTTTTTTATATTGTCTGAGAAGTAGAATGACTCCTTCCAGACAGGGATCTAAACAATTCTAAAGAAATACTGAGGAAACAGAGAGCAGCAGAAGCAAACTATAGTGTGTTTAACAATTCTGAGGTTGTTCCTGGTACAACTTGCGCATAAAGGAAACAGAACTTCAGTCTTAAGGTAAACATTGGCATCTATCAAATGCACACATCTTATCCTCTCTGAATTTGATACCTTCTGAAAGGGAAGATTCAATGTGATTTGTAATGTGCAGAAGGCTTTGAGATTAAAGGCGTTCAACAATTCCACTTATCTAGTTCCCCTCTTTCAGCCCCCTTTTACCAGCTTCCAAGATTAACCTCATTCCTTAATTATTGTGGTCATACTTTGAATAAAAGAGGAGAAAATGCAATGGCAGCCAATCACTTCAGAATTATAGACTTTACAAAAGAGACAAAGGATGGGTATCCCCAGCAAGCATGTTTATTTACAATACCCATAACTATAGAATACCTCCAAAAATATGCCCTTGGTCTTTTTGTTTTCTAAGCAGGCATGTAGTTGATTAGATGCTTTTAAGGATTTTAAATGTTAATACATATGAACATGTCTGTCATCCTTTATCCTATTTATATTTCCACATGATATTTGCAGAGATTTTGACTTGGGGGATTTGAGGTGGGGAAATTCTGATGCAGGGTCATTGACTTAGATAGTACCTTCATTCTCAGATCTCTGATTTCTTATAGAAATCATTCTCCTCATCTGGCCAGTCTTTGAAGACCAGAATCCAGTGATGATCACCAAGAATGAAAAAGAGAGAATTGTGTCGCTAACTCGCTCTCTTCCCAGTTTTCCTTGGATTTGCACTCTCACTTAGTAATTTGAACCCTATGGCATGGCATTGCATTCCTGAAAACTGACTTTTATGTCTGCATGCTTTTACTAATATTACTTATTTCTGGGCACAATGGTGCATGCTTGTAGTTCAAGCTACTCGGGAGGCTGAAGGAGAATGATTGCTTGAGCCCAGGAGTTCAAGGCTAGCCTGGGCAACGTTGCAAGAACCTGTCTCTTAAAAAAATTGCCTATGATTACCCCCTTCCCCCAGCTCATACTGATCCATCTATATAGGCAAAAGCTGGTCTGGGCTTTATTCTGGATTTGTTTTGAATTCTAGATCATGTTTTCCACCACAACCATAGCACCAAGATTGATAGGGATCCTAGCATATCTCTTACATCTCCTTATGAAACCGACTCTATGACCATTTAGCAAATTCCAAAGTTTCCTCATTTATATAGTGGAGTTACTACTGACACTCCTCAGAGATGTGTTGTGAGGATTAAATGAGGTAATATACACAAAGAACTTAGCATAATTCTGTAAACAAGGGTCAATATCCCATAGTTATCTGAGAGGAAAAAAAGCCAGATACAAAACAACTCCTGAAGTTCATTGAGGCAGACTTTCAATGAAAGCTCATTTGCTCTTCTCTCTCCCCTCCTTGGGTTTTAATTCTTCTTACGTAATATAAAAGTAGGAAAATGAGGTTACAAAAAGACTAACAGTTCTCAACACTATCACCATCTAATGCTCCCCAGTTTGTAAGATGAATGATGTACATTAAGCATCTACACCAAACAACCTCTGGGAGGCACACAAACTAGCTGGAATCCAGTGTGAGAGTGAAAAAGCAAAGCTACCTTTGGACACGGTACAGTTATTGTGGTTAGAATGACATTAGGAATGATGCAATAGGCTGGCCTCCCTCCATCAATTTATAAAGGATCCCTTTGATGTTATCTTAATTTACTTTCAGGACCTGGCCTAATACATTGTACATATTCACATGGTTTTTTGCTAGCCTCCGGCAGAACAAGCAGTACAAGACAGGCTGGAGAAGTATTTACCCAACCAGTTAAAAGTCCAGTTTCTAAGACACAGCATCAGCCTGCTGGGCATCCAATTAGATCCCAAAAGATCTCTACCCTCCAATGACTTAAGGCCTAAAGTGGTGCAGCACATTCTGGACTCATTGATTAACTCAAACAGTTTTTGTCCTACTTCTCCATTATGACGGCATTCCTCAGCATCAGAATTACAACTTTTTTTGGTAGTCCAAGGCTGGCAACATCCGAAGACCTTTAAATAACCTGTTTGCCTCTGGCTCATTCCTTCTCCACCTTATTCTTGGTAAATGTTGATAGTTCTAACATTATAGCATGGGCAGTCTTACCACTTAATCTAACCCAGTTTAAATCTTGTAAGTTCTTTTTTAATCATACATTCTTGAATAATAGAAAAATGACCAGGAAAAAGGCATTTTTGGCAACTGAGATCATATTAGAAGCTGATATGAACCATTCCATGTTTACGTCCACCAAATAGCTTAATAGTCTGTCTAGTGGGTGTTGAATATGCTGCTCCTCAACCTTGCGTAATTGTACTTTTAGATCCTGTACCTCTCAAGCTTCTGCAATCAATAATTTTGTGTCTTTCGTAAGTTCTACTATCTAGGACAATGTGAGTAGCACAGATGAGGCAGAGAATGGAGAAAAGATTCCAAGGGCTTCTTGGATCAGGAATAGGTCTGTAAGATGCTGTAAGATCAGGGGACAACTTCATTCTATAATCTATCCAAAGGCAGTGTTTAAAGGACTGAACTATTTACTCAGCACATTCATTTGACAAATAGTTCTGGAGAGTTTATAATATACAGGATACCATATTAAAAACTGAAGATGAATGAGCAAAACCTGACCTAAGTCCTCATCTTGATATATCATAGAGTCAGGAACACATATATTAATCAAATACAACTTACACTTGTAAATGCAGAATTGTGGTAAGGGCTTCAAAGTAAAGGTATATGGGACAATGAGAATTCAGATCTTCTTCAATTTCTATCAGACATCTAGTGACAACAGACCACCATCATCACAGACTTTTTATTATCAAAATGGCTTCTTTTCAGTTACCCCGAACTAGCTAATTCAATGATACTTCTCTTTTGGGTGTTTAAACAGGTTTTTGTTTGTTTGTTGCTTTTTTTTTTTTTTTTTTTTTTTTTGAGGTATGGTCTCATTCTGTTGCCCAGGCTGGAGTGCAGTGGTACAATCACAGCTTACTGTAGCCTCGACCTCCTTGGCTCAAGCAATCCTCCCACCTCAGCCTCCTGAGTAGCTGGACCACAGGTGCACACCACCACACATGGCTAGTTTTTTAATGTTTTAAATTTATTATTATTATTATTTTGAGACGGAGTTTCACTCTTGTTACCCAGGCTGCAGTCCAATGGTGGAATCTTGGCTCACTGCAACCTCTGCCTCCTGGGTTCAAGCGATTCTCCTGTCTCAGCCTCCTGAGTAGCTGGGATTACAGGCGCCGGCCACCACACCCAGCTAATTTTTGTATTTGTAGTAGAAGTGGAGTTTCACCATGTTGGCCGGGCTGATCTTGAACTCCTGACCTCAGGTGATCCACCTGCCTCAGCCTCCCAAAGTGCTGGGATTACAGGTGTGAGCCACAGCGCCTGGTCTAGTTTTTTAATTTTTTTGTAGAGATGAGGTCTCACTCTGTTGCCCAGGCTGGTCTTAAACTCCTGGACTCAAGCTATTCTCCAACCTCAGGCCCTTAAGGTGCTGAGATCACAGGTGTGAGTCACCGTGCATGGACTAAACAGGTTTTAATGCATTCACTAAATAGTTTATTTCGCACCATGCTATGCGTGATCTCAGGTAACCATAATTACTTGAATATTTATAAGAACATCTTCTATTTTTACGAAGGTGTGTATTCCTTGGTATGATAGGGTTGTGCAATAAAATATTCTGGTAGAATGAGGAGAGTCCCAACTTATAGACCCATTTTGAAAAACTAAAACAAAACTGCATTAATCTGTTCCTGCATTGCTATAAAGAAATGTCTGAGACTGGGAGATTTATTAAAAAAAGAGGTTTAATTGGCTCATGGTTCCACAGGCTGTACAGGAAGCATGGCTGAGGAGGCCTCGGGAAACTTTCAATCATGGCAGAAGGCGAAGGGGAAGCAGGCATGTCTTATATGACTGGAGCAGGAGGAAAGTGGAGAGGTGTGACACACTTTTAAACAACCAGATCTCGTGAGAACTCACTCAATATCATGAGAACAGCACCCAGGCGGATGGTGTTAAACCATTAGAAACTGCCCCCAGGATCAATCACCTCTCACCAGGCCCCACCTCCAACACTGAGGATTACAATTGAACATGAGATTTGGGTAAAAATATAGATCTAAACCATATCCAAACCCAACTGATTTCTGCCAGAGCAAGTAGATAAACCAAATATCTTCCGCCCCAATGCCCACTAGTGTTACCTCTTGACAACAGAATAACTATTATTACTTTCTTCCTTAGGTTAATTTGATAAACCAATATCATCTCTCCCTCCAAGAAAAATATTCTCTCCCTAAATGCTTCCCTACCCCTACACTTCTCCACCTCTTATTGCCCTTTTAGGAAACCAAGTTCATGGATTGAATTTCAGTTATTCTTCCAGATGACAAATACATTTATTTATTTCCTTGTTTTCCCATTAATTCATTCAACACCTGAAGGCTTATTATACATTTGATATTTTGCCAGTGGCTAAGTTCTAAGTAAGACTTAGAACTTCTCTCAAGGATTTCATCATCTCGGTGACACAAACCCTTACAAAATTTTATCAAGCAGCAGGGTGGACCTTAATAAAAATGTGTATAAAGCATAGAGGTGATAGAATAGCAGCAGTAAGTGGTAGTAGGTGTTAGGAAGATTTCTTGGTGAGGGAGAAGGAATGTAAATACTCCAGGAAGCCAAAGGGTACATTTAGGGAGGGACTTACTAGGCAAAGGCACACCAGCATCTGCAAAGACTTAGGCCTGAAATAGCACAGTGAACTACGGATGAAGAATTAAGTCCAAGGAACAAGTGCACCAGAAGACACTGGAGAGAAGGAAGCAAGGGCCAAATTATGGGGAGTTCTATTTGTCATGTGACCAGCCCAGAAGTTACTGTGTAGGCAAAGGGGAAACCATGGAAGGGCTTTAAGCAGGAGAGTAAAACATCGACACTTGTATATTTAAAGGATCATTTTGGTGGCAACTGGAGAATGAATTGGGAGTGAGGAAGGCTACAAACAAGGTCCAGTTACCCTGCTGTCAGAATCCCAGGCAGGAAACGGTAAGCCTGAACTAAGGCAGCGGCCAAAGGAATGCAGAAAGAAGGTACATTTCAGCCGGGCACGGTGGCTTATGCCTGTAATCCCAGCACTTTGGGAGGCCAAGGCGGGTGGATCACGAGGTCAGGAGATCGAGACCATCCTTGCCAACATAGTGAAACCTCGTCTCTACTAAAAATACAAAAATTAGCTGGGCATGGTGGCGCGTGTCTGTAGTTCCAGCTACTAGGGAGGCTGAGGAAGGAGAATCGCTTGAACCCAGGAGGCAGAGGTTGCAGTGAGCCGAGACTGCGTCGTTGCACTCCAGCCTGGGTGATAGAGTGAGACCCTGCCTCAAAAATAAAAAAATAAAAAAAATAAAGAAGGTACATTTGAGAAAAGTTTACAGAATCAAGAAAACTTGGCAACTGATTGGATGTGGGAGATGAGGAAGAAAGAGAAAATTAGGTCTACCCTTGTGTTTGGGAGAAAGGTGGATGTTAGTTTTAAAACACAAAAGGTACCTCTGAGAGAACCTTGACAATCAGAAACCAGGTGTAATTTTCTATCTAATAACTTAATAACTTTCCTTCTACATGATCTTACAGCTGGGTGGACCCACGATAGACTCCTTATCGCCCAGACCAGCACCTAGTTCAAGCTTTCAACTTGACTGCATACTGGCAGCTTTAAAAAAATACTAATACCTGCATCTGTACCCAATTTATGCAGGTGCAATCTAGACATTGGTGTTCATTAAGGTCTCAGTGACTGTAAAATGCCATCACTGCTCCAGAGGTTTCCCTAGATTTAAAACACCTACTACTTACTTAAATGCTTACTCTTCTAATTGGCCAAACACCATACCCTTCTCTTACTCTAGTAAGCTATAAAAGAATTTGAAGTGCAGGTATTTGTGGGCCCTTGGCTCTGAAGGAGAAAAATTTTGGCCCTTAGAACCCAGAAAAGATGTGTTCCAGAAGGCCAGGCCTGAACTCTCTGGTCATGCTAGACTCTCTGAGGACCAGCGCTCTCACCAAACCTGGCTCCACTAGGGGATGCGTGGCCTGGTGGGATCGAGGGTTGAGGCTTGAGGGGAGTGTCATGCCAGGGACATGGATTGAGGATACGGACTGTGAAAATCTGCTTCTCAGTTGACTCATAAACCTGGCAACCACACAGCTGAAAGTCCTTCAGACAGCAAGGCATGTTGGGTTCCTAGTGCTGCCATAACGAAGTACCCACAATCTGGTTGGTTTAAAACAGCAGAAATTTATTCCCTTACAGTTCTGTAGTCTAGAGGTTCAATATCATGGTTTTGGAAATGCCATGTGTCCTCACCAGGTTCTAGGGATGAATCTTTCTTTGCTCTTCTCAGCTTCTGGTGATTGCTGGCCGGGAGTGTTCTTTGAAGCCACATATTCCAGCCTCTGCCTCCATCTTCACGTGAACTTTATCCTTGGGTATATCAGTGTGTCCAAGTTTCACGCTTCTTCTTATAAGGATACCTTAAAAGCCCTAATCCATTATTACCTCATCTTAAGTTAATTACATCAGCAAATACCCTATTTCCAAATACAGTCACATTCAGAGGTACTGGGGTTTAGGACTTGAACGTATTCTAGGGAACAAAATTTACCCACAATACAAAAAGACTACTTGTGCTATCTGTTTTCTGGGAGAAATTCCTCCTGCTGCCTCTCACTGACATCTTGACTTTCCAGGTTTTGACCTCAGCTTGCTGATTACATAATTGTCTGTCCTGCCATCCCTCAAACCCCCACCAGCACCTCCGTATCTCAGATCAAAAGAGCCACAGATTTTTTTCAGAAGTAGAAATAATATTATAGAGGACATCTTCTGTGTATATGTATTTATAATAGATGCATTTTATGAATGGGGAGAGTTCTGGGACTCTTTTCCCCCAAGTCTGTCTACTCCAGAAACGAGTCTCTAACTTTATTCTTATTTTAACTTCTGACCTGAACATACCACAGATATCTCTGACTCAAATTCTGTCCCGGTTGACCACCTCTCTCTCCTTTTCTACTTTGTCTTCTCACTTTTCCTTCTGTTTGGTTGCTTTTCACCAATACACCAGCTTCACTTCTGAACCGGCAAAGCTTCTTAAACCCTAAGGTGGGAAGTCTTGGCCCACCTTAAACTCTGACTTAAACCCTATTTTTTCCATAATGAATGTAAGCAGCAAGTCACAAAGATAAAAATTAAACCATATCTCCTTTCCTATTTGGTGACCCTTTATGCTATCAGCTTACTTTTCTGCACAGATATAAAAACGTACCTCGAGGATGTAGATCCATCCCATAATTTGTATTGTCACTTTCCTTGAGTCCAGATAGGATCCCTCCAAACCAATCCCACTTCTTCCTTGATCTGAGGCCCTGTCCTCCAGTTGCTGTGTAGAATCTGGTTGGAGAACTTGGTACTGACTACATGAAAGGCAGCCTTCTATTTTTATATTTGTTCTTTTGCATTAGAAATCCTAAGGGATTGTTTGTTCATGTCTCACTGGGCCCATAACTGAAACCCTACTGGGAGATTTCCCCATGTTTACTGACCATTAGATTCACTGCTGTCTATTTCTGGCCCTGAGGTAATTTTTTTCTGTGAACTTGAACAAATAACCTCTATTTTCCTTTCCTTATAAAATGATATACTTATTGCCTATGCATGTTTTTGGGCTTAACAAGGTTGTTACCAAATGATTACATATGAAGCTGAATCATAAAACATTTTATGCTTATTTTTATTGGCTGTACTACAGTACACTTCAATTCAGAAGCCATTTATTTATTTATTGCTCACCGACAATGTACCTAGCATGGTGCTACATGTTATTGGTAGTCTATGACTTGTTAGGAAAATAGTAACGTTCAGTACGTACCTGACTGATCAACATGTAAGATATGGCCCCTGGTTTCAAGTAATCAACAACTTCTATGGTCAGTAGTACTTTGTATTTTGAGGAAAAAGTAATTAGTTAAATAAAATGTTATCAGACAAGTGTAGGCATTCGCAATGGTAAGAGCTAAGAAAAGGAGAAGGGACTTAATATGTATTCAATATTTTACCTACATTATTCAACTTTGTCCTCACCACAAGCTTGTAAGGTATCATCCCCATTGCCAGAAAAAGAAACTGAGGCTCAGAGTGGTTTGGTGACTTGCCCAAGTTTACACCTAGTAAGTGGGGAATGAAAGTTTAATGGCAAATGCATTTAATGTACGTCAGTTTAACTATAAAGTTGGTGCTTTCATTGCTACACTAGTTTGCTAAGGCCAGATGCCAAACCCTAGGGCATGATTCCTTTGTTCAGTTCTCTTTATTGCTGTTGAATTAGAAGTCTTCAGATTCTTCTGCCAAAACATGACCTGTCTCTGGGAGGAAGAGCTTAGCGTGCCTACAGTGTGATGATCCACCTTCTTAGCTGTCCAGTGAAATCTTCTTTTCTCATTTTACAGACTGCCTTTTGCCTGTGTTATCCACTCCAGTCATTATCTCTATGCTGCTTCTTCCCATGGCTCCCTTCTTGACATTTCTACCTGGAGAGGTTTCAAAGCTAACAAATCCCAAATCAAACTCATTATCTTCTCACCTTTCCTCCTTTCACTCTAAGGTTGGGGAAACCTTGCTTCTTCTCCATCTTCCATATTACTGTCTAGGTCAGTGTCATCATCAGCCAAAGTTGTTCAAGATAGGAACCTCTTCTAGTCCCACAGTCATCAAGTCCCATAGAGTCTTCCTGGATACCTCCCACTCCTGCCCCTTCCACATCACTGCTGTCATCACATTCCAGGCTCTCATGACCTGTCACTGGGAAAATTATAAGAGCATGGGTCTCCCTAGCTGTGTTCTCATTCATTCTCCCCTCTTACTTTACCCCCTCACATCCCTGACACACACACACACACACGTGCGCATGTGTGCACGCGCATGCACGTTTGGATGGGAGAACACAGCCTGAGTCAACTCCAATCGGTTTCATCAGCCATTCCCTCTACCCTGACAGCTCTAGACTCCAGTGAAGTCTCTCACTCTTTCTACAAACTGTCTTTGTAGCCTCCAATAAATATTCCTGTTTTTCCCCCAACTAAACTACATATCCTCAGAAAATGAACTTGAGTGTAACTACCAGGTGAAGTCTTCTTGACTCCTCTTGACTCTTTGAGACAGAGTTAGTTCCATCTTCCTCTGTTTTCTCTCCCACCTCATACACCTCATGCCCCTATTAACACTTTTAACATATTATGGCCATTTTTATTGTACTTATGATGCCCCTATAATCTGAGTGCTTCTTAACAGGAGGGCCATTTCATTTGCATCCTCTTTATCGTGAAGTATTTTAGCTATTCATAAAAGTATAGCGAATAATATAATGAACACCAATGGATCCACCTTCTGGTTTTGTCATATAAAAAGATGTTTTTTAATAACAGAATACTACAGTTGGATTGAAGACCTCTGTGTACCTTTTCCCATTCCATTCCCTCTCTTGCCAGAAGTATCCACTACCCTGGATGTGCTGTCACTTCACCCATGTGTGTTTTGACATTTATTACATACAGATGTATCCATAAACAATAATGCAGGGTTTTTTTTAGAAGTTTTTAAAAGTGATAATGATATCATCCTGTGTGTATCCTCCTGCAATTGAAGTTTTCTTTTTGTTCACTATTGTGTTTTTGGAATTTAGCCACATAGGTAGATGTGGCACTCATTCATTAATTTTAACTACTGCATAATATTTTTTATGAGCATAAGCCCAATTTATCTCTTCTTTCATAGGTTGATAAGCCTTTTCTGATTTTGCATGTCCATGCTTCCTTGAGCAGCTATGAGGGTTTCTCTAGGGTATACAAGCTGTGAGTGAAAGGTATGTCTTTCACCTCAAGACATACCGTCACCTTGTTTCTTGCAGGGCTTATACTTATTGATACTCCTACCAGCAGTGTAGAGCATTCCCGTTGCTCACTATTACCCCAATTGCTTAGCAAGAGTCTAGCACACAAGAGATGCATTATACCTCCTAACGGTAACTGAAGGAATGAGTGAACAGTGCTTGAATTTATAAAAAGTGAGCCAAAAGAAGCAGAAATACAAGTACTTTTACTGAAATCACCAACAATAGGAAGTCTAGACCCGTGCTATTTAAATGTAAGTTAGTTAAATCAAATTAAGTTAAAGATTCAGTTCCTTAGCTCATGAGCCACATTTCATATGCTCAGTAGCCACTTGTGGTTAGTGGCTCCTGGCTGCCATACTGCACAGCACAGATGTAGACCATCTCCACCATGGCAGAAAGTCTCAGTGGACTATGCTGGTCTAGACCTTTCTCACTTCCTCCCTTTGCCCTCTTCCCACCTACCTTAAGCACTTAATATTTTCCCAGTGCCTTCTAGATGCCTAGAATTCCCACCAAGTGTGCTTTCCTCGGCTGGAATTCATAATTCATGGCTCCTCATCTGATTTTCTTTAAAAAATGGTAGTAAAACATGCATAACATAAAACTTAACATTTTAACCATTTTAAGTGCATAGCTCAGTGGCATTAAGTAAAATCACCTTGTGCAACCATTATCGCCATTCATCTCTAGAACATTTTCCTCTTCCAAACTGAAACTCTGTTCCAATTAAACACTAATTCTCCATGCTGCCATCCTCCAACCCCTGACAACTACCATCCAACTTCCTGTCCCTATGAATGTGATTCCTGTGGGTACCTCATATCAGTGGAATCATACAATATTGTCCTTTTGTATCTGGCTTAGCATAATGTCATCAAGGTTCATTCGTGTTGTACCATGCATCAGAATTTCATTCTTTTTAAGGCTGAATAGTATTCCATTGTATGTGTACACCACTCCTCATCGGATTTTATATTTTCTTTTCCACTCAGGTACCAGCTGGGTGACTGCCCAGCCAAATGAATGCAATCCATAGCATTGACAAAGGGTACAGGCTTAACTCAATGGCCCCCAGATAATAACATTACAGTGTGGAGTGCTGGGCAGAACGATGGGACAGGAATGAGGATTTCTGGGTTCTGGTTCCCAGACTGCTGGGCTACAGCGGGTGGCTTTCCAAAGTTACCTTAACTTTCAAGCATCAGTTTCCTTATCTAATCAAAAAAATAAAAAAATAAAAAATAAAAAAAGGCCTTTCTGTTATTCTAAAATTCTGTGGTTTTTGGAGGACTCTTCAGTGCATTGACTCAAAATCAATAAGGAAAGTGGATATGAAGGCATTATAGCAAAATGAGTAAGGGAAATATTTTAGGAAAGAGTGCTGTCTAAAACTTTCCAATTCTATACACACACAAAAAGGAGGCAGCTTACACTATGTGTAAGGCCATATGCATTAGACATTTCTATACCTAATGTCTCCCTGTCTAGAGTCAAGGGCAGGGTCTTGGAAAATTCTTACCTATTTTACTTAACTTTCAACTTTCTGTTAGGCCTCTGGGATATTCTAAATCTTCTTTGATTTTGTTTGTTTTGTTTTTCCAACTTAGTTTCATAGAATATTTCAAAATAGGAACTAAATTCAACATTTTTTATATTGATTATTGATTTTCTTCTATATTATTATTATTCTCTAGTTTATTTCCTTTTACATTTTGCATTTATAAATGATTCTCTAATTTTTACCCTGTTGAAATGCATTGGTTTCCAAGTACAATTAAGAACTGCCCCAGAAGATAAATAGTAGAGATGTGGACAAAAAAGGCAGAGATTGATTATACTCCTCCTGCTGTAATCTGGCTGGGGAATGACATGGAAAGGAGGGAAAGAACTTTGATGGCCTCATATTCCCACTTTTCCTAGATTTCGTCCCCGGTCTTTATATATACCTGTATTACCATTGTATTTCTGACTACTCCTTACATGGATTCTAGGCAAAATAAACCAACATATATATTTTGTATTATGGCCACATTTTATGTATGTGCTTTGAGGATTTAGCCAGGTGCATGCATATGGCCCTAATTCATTAATTTTAACTGCTGCATGGTGTTATGTTATGAACATAGTGCAATTTATTTATGTGTTCTTCTTTGATGGTTAGGCTGTTTTCAATTTGTCATTGTATATTTCTCCATGAACACATACGAGGGTGCTCTCAAAACCTTATGCTTGACCCAGGTTTAGGAAATTTGCTTGCCGTGTTTTTTGGGACAAAATTTCTATGAACTCCAAAGAGTTCCTTCATTCAACAGATAAAAACCGAGTATCTATAGTGTACAGAGATAAGGAAAAGCAAAGATAAAATCCCCATTCTCAAGAAAGGACCATTGGAATGGGATAATAATCAAATAATAGAATAAAGAAATATAACATTGCAAGAGTAATGAATAATTTGAAGGAAAGGTCCATCATCTGTAAGAGCATAGAACAGGGAGAACCTGCTTGACTCAGGGTATCAGTGTTGGTTTTCCCATAGTCATACTTGGTCTGAAAGGGGAAAGAGGAATGAGTAAGACTTGGCCTAATAAGAAATATGAGGTCTGGGCTGGGCTGGGCTGAAAGCCTCAGAAGCAGAGGGAACAGCAAGCAGACAGGCCTTGAGCTGGAGGAGGAAGTAGATGATTTAGAGAGAAGGCCCATGTGGCTGGAACAAAGAGTGATGGAAAGGAACATGTGAGAAAAACTTGAGAACTAGAACTAGATGGGTTAGAGAATGCAGGACATTTGACTTACACCCTAAAATGAGGGAATGCTATGAGCTGATTTTAAGCTAGGAAGATATACTAGCAGATTTGGGTTTCAAAACAACAAACTCACTGTCTCCTGTATGGTGAAGCCTTTGTGGGGATCTTGGTTCCAGTTTATGCTGAATCTGTGTGGCTGGAGATAAACCTCTTGTAGTCACTGGCAGGACTCACCCATTCCCTTGAAGAAAGATCTGAAATGAGGGAACGCTTTTAAGTAGGAGGATCATCTTTTATGACAGGATGCACAGCAGAGAGAGAAGAGGGTTGATATCATCCATAAAGTGGTGAGAATCTTTAGCAAAAGAGAGGTCAAAGTAAGGAAGAGTCTATTCACAGAAGAGAAAAAGGGTGGGGAGAGAGGAAGTAGAAGCTGAGAGCCCAACTCCACGAGAAGCCTCTTAGTCATGCTGGTGGGTATAGAGATCAGACTATCAGGATAAACCAGGCAAAACACAGGGATAAGGCAGTAGCGGAGACTTCAGTTAAAATCTGGAGGGAAAACATAGTTCTCTAGGCTGTCCAAAGTGGACCAAATAGCCCACAAATTGCACAACACAGCAACTAAAATCCTATAGTCTCTGGGAGGCCTGAGTGTCCCTACACTCAGCCCATAATTAATCCTCCTCCTTCTTAGAAAATCAAAGTCATGACCTGTGACTTGTGGTACCAACATTGTCATGGCTCCTGCTGAGTAACTCGTGGGCACCACTCCATGCTCCCCAGGCTCCAGCCCCTGTCTCAGCTCGAAAAACATACTTGACAACACTATCATGACTCTTGAAGAGCCAACTTTTACTTCCCCTATTATTTAACAATATGTTTTCCCTTCTCATGCTTTGAGTAGATGTTTAGTTTCTAAGACAAGGGGCAAAAAAGAATTCTGAGTTTCGTTTTGCAGTGGGGAAATGCTTTACAACCAAGGGTGAGGGAAGAACTTTTCTGGAAAACAATGATTTTTATTTGGCTGTTTCAAAAAGTGTGTATTATCATAAGAAAGACTTAGATGCTAACAAAAATACAGTCTCAGAGAAGAGCCTGATTGAAGCATAATTGATTATGTTGGACAATTACAAATGCCCTTATTAAATAATTGCATTTAAACCACATGATAGTTTTATAACTGATTTATAAAAACAAAACTGTAAAAGTTTAAGTGACATAATTGTTCTCAGTATCACTACAATTTTCAAATGAAGCAATTTAGACTTAGAAGCAATTTTACTTTTCATTGTGATGTTATTTTGGTGTCAGACTGCAAGCTTTTGTTCCACTCCAGAGTTCTAGGAATGATGATTAACCCTTCTCTCTCCTTGGCTGAGACAATGATACATTTTTCTAATGTACTAGTCCTTCACATTTTGCTGCAGACTCAGCAGGTTCTGCAAAGAATGGTTTTCAGGCCTCCACTTATTTATATGGTTTCTATTTAATTAGAATGAAGTAGTTTCTGCAGGCGTGTGGGTAATGTAAATCTTTCTTAGATTAGGTATATATGTGAACTCACAATAAAAATGGCACATAAAAATGGTACAAACAATATCCTCTTGTGTTTGAGGGTATTGATAAATAATGTTAAGTCTTTGCACAGTTTTCTTTCAAAATTGAGTCCACCCTGGAAACAATGTGGCAAATGGCCTGGTATCTCAGGCACATCTCCATAGAATGTTAATCAAAGGTCTATATTTTCAGGTATATGAATAAAAGATCTTCGAACATTCAGTGGATAAAAGCCAAAGCCATTAACATTCCTATATTTAGTTTCTGTGAATTAAATGGTTTTATGCAACTACTGTCTCTATATCACACACGAAACTCGCAAGGCATGTTTTACACTGGTAATAAGAGCTTAACCTGCTGTATTTCATTTCAGTCTTGCTGATAGCATTTATCAGCAAAATCTGGCTAAAAACACAATATGCAACTTAAACCTGATCATAACTAGGCTGCAGAGGAGGAAAGTGGGGGATTATCTGGAGACTGGGAGCACAAATATAAGATTGTATTGTCATTGTGTGCTATAGGCCTTTTGGCAAACTGTAGTGTAAGCCCCAGCTGACAGGCCTTTTCACAACTGACAGAGGAAAATATGAAACTTAAATTCTTCATGACAGATAAATCTGCCGAATGAAAGGAAGACCAATAGGATAACAGTGGGACAAAAAAATATTGCTTCTGGGTAACTCCCTTAAATCTACCTCTTTTGTAAATATACAAAATAGGCATTCAACGAATATCTTCTAAACTCCTACCTATCAACTTTGCTAAGCAAGCTGTTAAATTGGAATGATAAAATAAGCATCTTTTCTTCAGCAGATGAATACAAAGTCTTATAAAACAGGGGTGGCAGATTAAATTTAATATGTGGGTATGAAAGACGTTTCCTGGATGACTATCAACTGGAGTGGATTTCTTGAACCAAGTTGACATGTTAATATTGTAGAGGGCTTATTAATTGAGATATTAAATGTACCTAATCCATCATGATTGGGTTCTTTGTCAAATTAAAAAAAAGTATGACTGTAAGTAATTGCTCTTTTCTGTCAGTGGGCCTTGAGTCCCTGAAATGTAACCAGAGACTATTTCTTAGGATTAGTATCATTGGCCTTTCCACTGCCAATACATACCTTTTACCCTTGTCAAAGGCACTAGGGCCTCCAGGGGTCTAGGGTTCTTTGCTTCTCCCCTGCTGGTTTGGCATTGGCATTCTTTTCATCCTGGGAACATTTCATTCTGGTTGGCTCTACCAATTGTATCCAATTCCAGTGGCAGCCTATGGAAAACTACCTCAAACTATGAGAGGCCAGATTGAACTGAAAAAGTAGTTTCTTGTTGTCTAATGTTTTTTTAAAAAACTCTTCTAACTATTTACTATTAACCTCCCTGCTCTTCTGGCATCTCCTGGAGCAGCATACTTCTGCGGGGAAAGGAGAGATTCGTATGGGCTCCTTAAACAGGCTGCCTCTTTTATTTGTGAACGGCTGGACTGCCTTGGCAAGCCCCAGGTCAAGTTGATAGACTCTGTCTTGTTGATAAAGCAAATTTCAGGACCCAAGAGCAGATCTGCCTTGAACTGTCACGTTCCCTGGTTGCCATGGCAATTCCTGGCTAATCTCCAGCACAAAAATCAAAATGAGAAAGAGAAAGAGAGAGAGAGAGAGAAAGAGAATGAATGGGAGGAAGGAAAGATGAAACAGATAAGAGTTCTTGGGGTCGTTTTTTTTGTTTTGTTTTGTTTTCTGAGACTTCATGTTCCCACCAGTGTGGGTTCTTTCCCCAGCCAGCCAGTCCCAGAATGTTTGGCGGCAGGACAAGGCCAGAGTCTCAGGCCATGGGAATCTCTGACCAAGTTGCAGGGAGGAAGAAGAAAGGCAGTTAGAGAGTTAGAGACTATGAAAAGGAGGTGGAGGAGGAGGGGAGCCAGCCTGGAGTCTGAGAGAAGAATCCAGGCGCCACGGTGTAACAGCTGCCTCAGGTATGCTAGCCAGTTTCAGCTCGTTCCCAGCTCTTTCTGGCAAGCCCCAGGCTCAGGCCTGTGTGTGCGCGCGCACACACACACACATGCACATACACATACGTGTGCCCGTACATGCACGATTGAGTTGTATCTGTTGGGAAGAAGTTGCTAGGCTGTCCGCAACAGTGTCTTTCAGATATTTGCTGAAGAGCTGGGCTTGCTGGGCACCACTTTTCATAATTGTGGTGAAATTGCCTAAGACCTTGGTAAATAACAAAATCTACTCAAATACAAAGGGATTTAACTTACTCTAAAGATTATTTTGTTTTGTCTGCTGGATTAAAATTGCTTCTAAAGTTATTAGAGAAACTTAACATTAGCACTTGCCTTTCTATAAAGAAACAAACCACACACACACAAAGGTGCAGCATTATACGGTAATTATCCAAAATGCTACCGCTTGGAATAATAAGGATGCTGTGTGTTTACATAGCATCTTTCTTTTCCAAATAAATTAAATAGATACACCACCCGCATCCCATTATCCCTATAAATAGTCTTCTATGAGCCATGCGGGTGGCAAGGAAGATTATCTGCATTATATAGGAGGAGTGACTGAAGCACAGAGAAGCTTTCAAGATCACACGGTAAGGAAACAGCAATTCTAGATTTGTTATGTAAAACACTAACTTGGAAGAGTTTTGCTGTTTAAATAAAATATATATTCTTTTCCATCTTGATTCTGTAAAAGCAATTTGCAGAGTCGTTCCTCTTTAGGGACTCTTCCCTGACACCTTCCTCGTGTATAGTCTTTACCTTAGCACTTATCAGTGTCTTGTAATACTTCATTGATTTGCCTGCCTTTTTCCTGAGATTATACTCTTCTTGAGGGCTGGGATTTACTCGTCTTTGTATCTCCAGTGCTTGTAACATGGTTGATGCTTCTTAAATGTCTGTTGCTTGAATGAATGAATGAAAGAAAAAAGAATGAATGAATTTTCGGACAGTCTTCTAAGAATTTCTGACGAAGTAACAATAAGTGCAAATTTGGACTTTAAATATGTCTCATTTCATTTTATCTTTGCTGTGACAAATATGTCCACCTTACAAACCATCTTTTAAGAATCCAGTGAATACATTTATAGCTAATTCTTTCCCTGCCTGGGATGTTGGGTCTATTGTTTGGAACAATAAACTTAAACTTGTGGAAATACTAGGGCTCCAGGTAGTCTATTGTAATTATTTTCCTCATAGCCTTCTTTATATACGGGAAAGCATTTAGGTGTGGAGGTTCTGGGAAGTGTTAATATATGGTTATTACGCTGTACCCAAAACCCTTTCTTGTATGCATTGAATCTTAAAGCCAGACTATTATTTGTAGGGAGGAGGTGTAGACCTCAAAATAACAATAGGAACAATGATTGCTCTTCAAGGAGACTACAAATTTAACTTTCTTTTATACATTTTTCAGTGATCAATACAAAAAAAGGCAAGGTAATATATGTTAATCTTTACTAGATGTACTTTATGTATCCCCTTACGTTGGAAGCCTAGCAGGAGTAGAATGTCACAACAGACATTTACTGAAATACCTGGGGAAATGTAACAAAAAGTGTTAGAGGAAAATGGTCTTTCAGCTAAATTACCTAATATATTTGCTAATGGTATCTGATTTAAAAGCCATAAAAATACCAAGTTAAAAGCACATTAGAAGATGTGTTATATTTATAAGTGTTTGTCACCTTGGCAACAAAAGCTATATTCCAAATCTAACACTAGCTATGATGGGCCAAGACCTTTTAAAATTGGTAAATACTTCTTTATGGCAATGATCTGCTTTCAGCTACTGAATGCTAGAACTAGAAAAGGCAAGTTCTTCATTGCTTAGCAATTTTTTTCCCAGCTTTCTACTATGGGTAAGCTTTTTTTTTTTTTATTAGTTACTATGGTTTATTCGTAACGAGAAATATAATGCATTTTCAAATAAAGTATCAGTCTTAATTATTCCCTTCTTACACTGAGAAATCTAGGTATAATAGCAGATTCCTAAAGATAGCATTTATTTATCAGCCTACACTTCAATCTATCAACCATAGCACTAATCTTGGTTCATGGAGGAAACACTACAGGTGTATGCTAGAAAATCAACTGTATGCTACAAATATCTATCCTCCTAAGCAGCTAGATGGAATATGTTCAGTTTAATAGGAGGTCATACATGAGGAAAGTTTTCACAAACTTTTACCTCCCCAGTGAGCTGCATGAGGACTGAAAATTTTCCTTCAGCATGTCCCACTACAATTCTGCTCATGCTGTTACATCTAGTAAAGATGAACAGTTTGGTGTGGGAACCCATGCTTGAAAAGGTAGATTTTAGGTAGACCTCAAAGAGGTTTAGATTTGGACTCTTACTGTTCTTTCCTCATTTTCTAAGCTACAATCTGATTTTTCAAATTCTATAAAAAATGCTTGGGTCATGTACCAGTCAAAGATTATAATTCCAAGAGTCTAACTAGATTCCCATGTGGTTGAACCAATTTTCAGAAGTAAACCATGGAAAAGGTCTGGGTAAACACACATTCTCTGTGGGCTGTGGCTGTTCACTGGGCGCCTAGACAAGTTGTCTCTGCAGCCAGCTTGGGAAAACCCAAGCCCAACTCGTGATCTGTAATCATGCTCAGCAGGTTCTCAGATACAGGGGCAACTTGGAGGGCCTAAGATCATCATTTCCAAGTAACCTTCTCACACAAGGAAAGTATGTCTCTCTTTTACCTAAAAAAATCAACAAAAATTCCCTACCACATAGGCCATACTAAAAGTTGCCACAAAGTACATCTTAGCTTCCATTGTATTTTCTCAGAAATAAGGTTTTCTTAGTGAGTATTAAAAATAAGCTTCAGTCTACGAGACAGGGAAATTAATGTCATACAAGGAGAATGTTCTAGAAGAGTATAGGATAAGCCTCTGCCCAGAACTAATAAATTAAGGTAGTAGCTTTGAGTTCAAATATAAACCATGTGAACAAGGCTGGCATCATGTATTCAAACATAGTTAAACCAGGTTTACCTTCCATTGACTGAAGGCAAAGAATCACATGGATTGACTTGTATTCTAGTACTTAAACACACAGTTTTCATGTGATTGATAAATGCAACTTACCTCTTAAGAATGTTCTGGCTACATCATGTTACCACTAAGTCCTTTGTTTAACTCCTAATTAATCAACTACCCAGTCACAATCTGTTGGAAATTTTTAAAAATGCTGTTTATTTTTGTCTCAATATGACTTTTATTTTTATTTTATTTTATTTTATTTTATTTTATTTTATTTTATTTTATTTTATTTTATTTTATTTTACTTTGAGATGGAGTCTCACTGTCACCCAGGCTGGAGTGTAGTGGTGCAATCTCGGCTCACCGCAACCTCTGCCACCCTGGTTCAAGCAATTCTCCTGCCTCAGCCTTCTGAGTAGCTGGGATTATAGGCGCCTGCGACTGTGCTTGACTAATTTTTGTGGTTTTAGTAGAGATGGGGTTTCATCATCTTGACCAGGGTGGTCTTGAACTCCTGACCTTGTGATCCACCTGCCTTGGCCTCCCAAAGTGTTGATATTACAGGCGTGAGCCACTGCACCCGGCCTCAATATGACTTTTAAATAGCATAGATGGAAAATTACAGCATCATCTTTAAAAATCATTATATAACGTATTATTTAAAGTATTAACTCCATAATCTCATTTCACTATCCAGAAAATATGAGCAAAAGGCTAACTGTGGCCTGAATTTCACCACATATAAAGACACAGGGTACTTCATAAAAACTACCTTGAGTGAAAAATAAAACATGCAGTATCAATAAATTGTTTTTCTAAGAGAATAAAGGGCTCATGGGGAAAGAGATTGATTATTTTTCAACTTTATACCTTCTGCATAGGAGGCAAGTAAAAAATATTTGTAGAAATTGAAAATAAATTTCAGTAAGTCTATTTTATATATTCTTCATGATATGCACAAGGTTAAGGAATGGCCGTCCACATAAATATGTAGCCAAGAGAAAAGGTTAAAGGTAAGAGTAAAATAAAAGAACATGATTCACTTCCATTTTGTTGAAACTTACCTGTAGATATATTTGCCTTACATACCTGAAAGATGAGCAGAAATTAGACAAAGAGATGGAGCCACAGTAGCATAACTAAAGGCAGAAAGTGAGAATTAGCATGGCAGGAACTTTCAGGAGACTTGCCTTGTTGAGTGAAAGTTGTAGGTTTAGAGGTAGGAAATGTGGTTAGGTCAGGTGGGGCCAGTTGTAGACCAGGAAAGGAAGCTAACATTTGCTGAGTGCCAGGACTTGCACAGAGGTTCCCTGGGGTCACTCCTCATGACAACATGGTGATGTAGGTGTGATTATCCTTACTTACAGATTGAAGAGAGTCTTAGAAAGTTTACATGACTGACTCAGTGGCTTTCTGCAAGGATGTGGCAAACATGAGACATAG
Organism: Homo sapiens; assembly: GCF_000001405.40. NCBI lineage: Eukaryota > Metazoa > Chordata > Mammalia > Primates > Hominidae > Homo > Homo sapiens. Next base: position 96,781,918 of record NC_000007.14, on the reverse strand, counting down.
TCCAATGTTCTTTTAAACACACTATATTGTATTAAAAACCAGGAAGAGAGATGTAGAGATTAACTTACATGGAAAGCAACAACATATAAACCAAGTCCAGAGAGGTGGAATCTAAATAAAAAATTTAAAAACACAAATGGCCTAATATGAGCGCTGTTTTGGGAATTTTCCATGTGTAAAATGAGCAATATCATTACATAATTATGTTCTTATTCTGAACAGGACCAACAGATTAATTTCCAGTTACAAATTTCAAAGTAGTACCGATTAAGACTTCATTGCTTAGGATATTACTGTTCATCATTCCAGAAAATCCTAGGTCCAATTTGGAAAACATAAAATATTCTAAAAGCAGGTCTAGTGCAGGAATTTAGACATTGTCTTTTATTGGAGACCTGACAAATCTGCCACTATACTCTTCCCTCTGTGGTTTACAGGCTGCTTCCCCATATATGATACTAGCATCCTATTCAGAAGCTGATTGTTGTGTTTTGGTTTATGCTTCATATGGCAACAGCCTTGAGCCACTTCTAAGAGAGGATAATAATGACAAATTTGAAAATTTCTCCCCAAGAAAGGAGGCTGTGGTGAAAATAAGAAACGGCATTTAAGCAACTACCATTAAAGGCACCTTAATTTTCTGTTGACAAACACGAATTCCCAAATTATTTGCAGGGAGGTTTCAGGGCTGACTGCCATAAAGCCTGTCTAGGACAATGTTTTCTGGTTCTACAGAAGTGCTAATGAAATCTTCATTCTTCCATTGATTACTTTCAGTGGGAGTCGTTATGTCTTAAAAACCACGGCACTCTTGAGGTCGATGGCTCCCCAGCTCCTCTCACATTCTTACAGAGTCCCTTGACCCCCTCACTTGGACCAGGCTCTCCTAATCTCAAACACCAATGTAGACAATGTAGACTTGAGACAGGAGTGCTGGAAGGAGCTCTGTGCTTTAAGGAGCATTGACTCCACACGTAGTACATCCATTCTTTCAGCAGAAACAGCCTTGTTTTTAGGCCCCATTTCTGCAAACTGGAATTTTATCTTGCTCAGGAGGCTTAATCTCCACTAACTTAACTTTAATGAACATATTTTTTGTCTTAGATGCCGTCTGTCACTTTAGCTTTCTAGAGCATTGTAGGCTTGTAGTTATTAGATAGATACGTAGTCACTCTTAAGAGTGAAGCTCAGTCATACTCTTCTTAATTTGTCCTTCCTGGACTCCTGTTATATTCAAGGTTTGGAACTTTGCTGGTGCTTAATGCCTGCCTTTCTGCCTGTCTGGATTTTCAGTTTTGTTTTGCCAGACTTCTTTATACAATTTGTATCATTTTATACAATACCCTCATTTTACAAGCAAGAAAATAAAAATATAAGAAAGCTGGGAGATTTGCTTAAGGCTTCAGCGCTAATTACTGGACCTCAGGTCTACTAACTTTGAAGCCTATATGCTTTTACATAGTTGGGCTAAGGTTATTAGATGCCTCCTTTTTTTTTTTTTTTGAGACGGAGTCTTGCTCTGTCGCCCAGGCTGGAGTGCAGTGGTGCTATCTCGGCCCACTGCAAGCTCCGCCTCCCGGGTTCACGCCGTTCTCCTGCCTCAGCCTCCGGAGTAGCTGGGACTACAGGCGCCTGCCACCGCGCCCGGCTAATTTTTTTGTATTTTTTAGTAGAGACGGGGTCTCACCGTGGTCTCGATCTCCTGACCTCATGATCCGCCCGCCTCGGCCTCCCAAAGTGCTGGGATTACAGGCGTGAGCCACCGCGCCCGGCCTGGATGCCTCTTTTAAAGAGATTTTTCCCTGGGGTGGTGTGGGGAAGGGACCAATGTCCTGAATATACCTGTTTTATTCTTAGCTGTGCAGATAACACAAGCCTTCTGGCCTGGAGGTGTTCATAACAGAGCTGTGTCATAGACAAATGCAATAGGCATCATTTTTTTGTTACTCTCCAGTGACATAACTTTTATTTTAAATATATTTTATTTACCCTTATTTGGGGGAAATTCTCCAAGTTTATGGACACTCTTGTTTCTCTAATATATCCTTGACATGTATCTTAAGCACCATCCTTCTATTATAATCAACTAGAAATTACATTGCTTTACCAAAGAATCTTAACAAAAATCTCTCTCCCTTTTCCATGATATCAGTCTCTTTTCTTTTCCTTCTTTTCTCTTGCATGTTTCTCCTCTCTCTCTCTTTTTTTGTTCTCTCTTTCTATAAAAAAGCCAATCTGCCAGAAGTTTCAAGGTATCAGGTTTATTGAGGAACAATTTACATACAACAAAATGCATTCTTTCTAGGTATAGTGTTGCATTTGACTGGTCCGTTTTGTGGTTCCAGGTTAGATTTTTTCACGATTCCTGTAAGTGGAATCATACAGTGTACAACTCTTTCCATCTGACTTCTTTTACTCAGGATAGTGTGTTTGAGGCTCATCTATGTCGTTCCACATGTGAGTTCCCTGATATGTGTAGACTTCCACTGTGTGGATATGCCTCCATTTATTTAACCATTGATGGACATTTGAATTGTTTCCAGTTTTTTGAATTTGTGAATAAAGCGGCTATAAATATTTGTATTCAAAAAGAGAGATTATTCCCCTTTATTTGAATTTTTATCTACTATGTCAAGAAATATTTGAGAGAGAAAATTGTCCCCCAACGTTTAAAAAAGGTTAAAATGAAAAGCAAAATACCTACCCCTTTTCAAGAATATTAGCCTATGGGTGGGTGGTTTTCTTTAGTTTTAAGAAACACTTTTTTTTAAAACATGAGCTTGTTTTATCAATCATTCTATTTTCAAACTGTTATTATGATAGACCTCTATTTTATTAAGATAGTTTCTTTTCCTACAGTATAAAAAGTAAGAAACTAATTTGCATTTCAAACACTTGTTTTTTTGCTATTCTGGTCTGTGAATTCTAGCTGAGACTTTGCCCATCTTTACTTCTCCACCTCTGTGTCTTAAACCTTGTAATATATAACAGTCTTTTCCAAGGAAACATTTTTTTTCCCATCAGTTTCTTTCCTAGGCCCTTAAATATCAATAGAGCCTTTTGCCAATCCATTATACTTTAAGACACCTTATATTACATTAAAACACAATTAATTCCTCGGGATTTAAAAAATCAATAGTTATTTTGGTGTTTTAAATGTCCACAGGCATGGAAACTAGAGCTGCCCTGTGCTCTGCAAGGGTTTTTATCGAACAGAATTTATAGTAAGCTCAGCAACAAAGCCCTGTTGTGGAGTGTTACCTGATGGGACATAGAACTAAGTGACCGTGAGATCTGAAATAATGAGAGTCTGTTGAGTTTCATGCTTCCCAGCCTTCTGCCTTCTTTAGGAATGGTAGCAGGTCTTTTTTCTGAGGCACTTACCTGGCCACCCACGCATACAGGCCTGGTCTACACACTGTATCTTAGTCTTTAACTGCATTCCATTACATCCCATTCATTCAGATGTGACTCTGCTGCCCCATGTGGAGTACCTGGAAGGGCGAATCTCTGAGACACCTGACCTTTTTATCTGACTAGACCTCTGAGTATTTCAGGAACTAACTACAGTCAAAGTCAATGGTGCTTTTTTATTTTTTATTTTTGTGTCTTTTTAAAGAATTTCCTACCCAGGCCTGCCCAGAAGGCTTAAAGATATTTTACTGTTTTGTCTTCTCAGGGTTTTAAAATTTTGAAGTTTTGCCATTGATGGCCAAATCACTAAACCGTTTAGAATGGTGTGTATATGTGTGTGTGAATAAAGTAGGGCTTTTTTTCCCCCAGAAGGATAACTAGTTTTCTCAGCATATTGAAGTAACTTGTTCAATCTTTCCCCTCTGATCCTTATTGCCAGACTTGCTATATACAAAATTTCCATATTGCGTGAGTCTCTTCCTGGACACTCCATTCTTTTCTATTGGTTTCCTAAATGTGCTAATATCATTTTACCTTATTTATCATTACTTTAGAATAAACTGACATCTAGTAAAGTATGTCCCCTCATCTGGTTCTACTATCTCTTCTGTCATACTTGGCTATTCCTAATTCATTTTTCTTGCAAACATATTTTAGAATCAGCTTTTCAATGTCAAGAAAACTGTCTGCTGTAACTATATTAATAGCAGACAGAAATATAAGAAAATTTCAACTACTTTGTAAAATTCAAATTGTTTTGTAACCCATAACTTATCTATGTCTTACAAATTTTATAGCTCCTGTAGTCTTGACTACCTAACAATATACCTGTTGTTGATGATATAGAAGAAATTCAAGCACAAAATTATTTGAGCACTCTTGTACTATATTGCTTTTATTTGCATATTTCTAACTGGCTCATATGTCCTTTTCTAGATCATTTATAAATTTGTATCAGTTATGGTTCTCTATTAGGATTCAATTCAAAAAAGAGACCACTTTAGGTATTATTAGCAGGAAAATTTTTTTATTTTTTTTTTAACTTTTGTTTTCTTTGAGGCAGAGTTTCACTCTGTGGCCCTGGCTGGAGTGCAGTGGCATGATCTTGGCTCACGGCAACCTCCACCTCCCAGGTTCAAGCAATTCTCCTGCCTCAGCTTCCCAAGTAGCTAGGATTACAAGTATGCACCACCACACCTGGCTAATTTTTATATTTTTAGTAGAGATGGGGTTTCGCCATGTTGGCCAGGCTGGTCTCAAACTCCTGCCCTCAAGTGATCCACGGCCTCGGCCTCCTGAAATTCTGGGGTTACAGGCATGAGCCACCATGCTGGGCCACTAGCAGGAAGAATTTAATACAGAGAATGAGTGCTTATGAAATCACTAGATGTGTTAAAGGATCAGGCTGTAGTCTGGGTCTCTAAAAGCGATTGCAAAATGATACAGAACCCATCCACCAGCTACTGCCACTGAGGCACTAGGAGAGCTGTGCCTGAGTCAAGAACCTGCCACCTCTCTGCTGCCACTGCTTCTGGGTACCAAAGGAGGTACAAGGCAGGGATTAGGATAACAAATCAAGTAATCTGAATGAGTAAAGCCTGCCACAAGTGCTTTTACTCATCACCAAGGAAGCCTTAGTGTGGACACTGGGACATTGCTGCAGAGAGATCTCAGGTTTTCACAGCCATGTTTATCAGCAGACACAGCCAAAAAGGGACAGGAAAATGGCCTTGCCTCACTTCAGGCTTCTAAATCTTATACTAATGTGATGAATTGATGGAACTTAATTTGCATCTAGAACCCTAGGTGCAAGGAAATATGAGAAATGAGGGTGTTGGCTTCCAAGTTGCCCACAGCCCATCCACATTATCCAGCATGTGGTTTTTTTTTTGTTTTGGTTTGTGGTTTTTTTTTTTTTTTTTTTTGCTTGCAAGCAACTGAAGTTTACCATGTTCAACATAAGCAAAAAAGCAATTTATTGGCTGGGCGTGGTGGCTCACACCTGTAATCCCAGCACTTTGGGAGGCCAAGGTGGGCAGATCACAAGGTCAAGGAGATTGAGACCATCCGGGCCAACATGGTGAAACCCCATCTCTACTAAAAATACAAAAATTAGCTGGGCATGGTGCTGCTTGGGAGGCTGAGGCAGGAGAATTGCTTGAACCCGGGAGGTGGAGGTTGCAGTGAGCCAAGATTGCGCCCCTGCACTCCATCCTGGCAACGGAGAGAGCCTCCGAAAAAAAAAAAAAAGCAATTTATTGGGAAGAGAGAGCAGTTACATAACCAAAGAGAGAGCATTCAAGTCTTAGAAAAGGTGGAAAGCAAGGCAGGTCTGAGAACTTAGGTAATGGAACCTAAGAACTAACTCTCTCTCCCATTCTCTACCATTGTATGGCTCAGCTCTAACTGCTTCATGTCTGTTCACAGGATTCCATACCTGGGTGGTTAACACTTAAGATATAAATTTCTAGGAGGAAGAATCTCATTGCCTCAGTTAGGGTCAAATGATCACTTCAGTGGTGGTGATAGTGGTGGGAAGGTAGACTCCCAGTTGACAATTTCCTCAGAATCTCCTACAGTCCAGAAGTAGCACATTTACAAAAAAAGAAAATAAAGGAAAGAAAGAAAGAGAAAGAAAAAAGGAAAAGAAAGAAGAAAGAAAGAAGGAAAGAGAAAGAAAAGAAAGAAAGAAAGAGAGAAAGAAAGAAAGAAGGAAAGTAAGTGAGTACTGGGCAGGAAAAATATACCAGTTGTCTCTTCCAGTGGGCCAGTCTGATAAGTGGCATTGCCTCAAAGTCATATACCTGTTGAAATAGATTCTTATACCACAAAGCTTTTGTAAAACACATTGAGGGTTTACATTGAAAATGTAAATGTAAAAGTCAAAATTATAGACTTGAATATTTTAGTGTTGATCTTTTAGTTATATAGGTAAGTTTTGCTACATGTTTGAAATATTTCATTTTGTAGATATAGAAAATGAGATCCTTCAAGGAGCATAAAGGGTTTCCTTTGTATAAAGTCACACAAATTGGTATAGAACCAGATACAGAGGCCGCTCTTCTGGAAATGTTCCTATACATGCCGTAACGGTTAAAGTGCTCTTTGTCTTTAACTGGCTTTGTTATATAGGAGGTATATTTTGGGTTCTCATCCATATATAGCATTTATGCACAGTACATTTCAGAGAGCAACCTGACTTACACCTACCTGCCTTATCTCATGTTCGCATCTGTAAGGCCCCTGAGCTGTCACGGTGACAGCATGATTCAAAATTAATGACACATGGAAATTCACAGGCCCCCAGAAAAGAAACTTTCTCCCACACTGCTCAGGAAATTTAAAAAAAAGGAAACTTCATGCCAATATACTGAAAAGAAAGTTGCTGCCAACTATAGGATTGTGACCCACTACGAAATGTGTACCGTAGACTTACCGTGTTACCGGCAAGAATCTTCCCAGATAAATTATAATGAAGCCCCCAGCTGCAGAAACAACCACATCTTGAAGGGTTGAAACCATTACCAGTATGAGTTTCTCATTTACTTGGCTGTGAGTTGGGGAATAACTGAAGGGGATTGTTAGTCTCTGGGTGCCTCAGTCTCTTGCCTGTCTTTCTCACTCTATTCTCCCTTCTTCTCTCTCCCTATCATGATGGAGTGACTGCTCAGTTCTTTCTCCTAGTAATATCATGCACACTCTCACTAGGGTGTCATAGTTCTCTTTCCTACTAACTCCGAGAGGAAAGTGGGGGATGAGCACCTGAGGAGCTTGTGAGGTGGAGTTTGCCCTCTTGCACCTCTGCGTTTGCGCTAAGAACATTCCCCTGGTAGCTGCCTGGTCTGAGGAGGATGGGGAACAGAGCCTCCTGGCTGACTTGCAGACCTGCATCTTGAGGCAGAGAAGCCCAGTAGATCCCAGTCAGTCCAGGGTAACTGACCTCTAGCTAGTCTGCATATCATACATATGCATGAGGAGCCTCCCAGAGATCCATAGAGCTGACCCATAGATGCGTGATAAATGCCTGCTTCTTCTTGTATGCTGCTGAGAGCTTGTGATTGTTTGTTGTTTGGTGTTACTGCAGCAGTGGCTAAGCAATTCACTTCTAATTCCCCTTCTCCTCTCTCCCCTTGTCTCTTGCTCCATCATCCTCATCATTGAGAAGCTTCCATCCTCAGCCAGTGCTGGTCCCTTAGGTTAATTACCTGCCTGCTAAATAGTAAGCCCCAAGTAATCCACTTTCAAAGTTTATTACAACAAAGGAAAGGAGTCCACATAAAAGGACATAAGCAGACAATGCTTTGACGACGTTAGCAATGCCTCTTTAAGAGGCATTTCGGAAGTGTGTTCATATTCACTGGTGTATGTCACTATCAATTTGAGTAATTGTCACTGTAACACCATATATTATGAATTGAAGCACAGAAATAAATGGTGTTGAGGGTAACTCTATCTCGCAAGCCATTCATCATCCCATAGCATGGGATTTCTTCAGGAGAAAATAAACAGCGAGAGGAATCTCAATTCTACTCCACCCCCACTCCCCATCCCCAGCTCCCACCCCCACAAAATATATAACATCTTTTCTTCCTTAGTCTCCTGTTTGCCTTTTTCTTTTCATTTTTCCCAGCCTGTCTATTATGGAGTGATATACTAGGCATAGAATCACCATTCCTTTTTCTTCTTTACTGTGTAAATGTCAGTGGAAAGTATGCCAAGTTCCAGACACAATATAATCATAATACTACCACTGTGTTTCTGGATTAATTAATCATAATGAATGAAATTTTTCTTGATTCTGTATGCCAAGCCTGGAAGCATAATTCAATTTCATCTTTGACTTCTGTAGCCTGAAGCAACCACTTAAACTCAGCTGTCATAAGGCTTTTGGAGGGAGATCAAAAAACACTAAATAGGAAAAAAAATCCAACTTGCTAAAAGCCATAAACGAAGCAGAAAATATTCTTTTAATATACCAAAAGAAAGGCATCTACATATATATTAAAAGAAGGGCACAATAAAATATTGCTATTTTCCAAATATGATTATAAAATGTGATGACACTGCCTTTCAAAATCTTTGTTTTCTCCTCCCAAACCATCTGAAAATAGTATTAGACATGAGCAAAACACACATTGGAACAGTGAATGGGAACACTGAAAGTCTCCGTGAAAACTAAACTAATTTGGAACCTATCATAACTTGTTTTCAGCTTTAGAACCACTAAATCATTATGAAAACACCTAAGTTACTCTTTTTGAAATCGTATAATGGTAACATGGACTTTCTGTTGTGTTTGTTTCTAATCTAGATCCTATCCCCTTGGGGGCCCTTTATATATGAAGTTGAATTGCTTGTGGTTTAATTTAGAATCTATGACATTCATTGTTTTCATTCACTGTGGAAATAAAGATGACCATAAGGAAAAATATCATTCTTCTGTAATCTTAGCACTCAGAGATATCCCCAGCTAATATTTTGATGTATAGAATTTTATTCTTTGTTCCCTGTTTGTGTGTGTCTAGCATATGTGTAACAAAATGATAAATACACAATGTATCTACCTTTAACAAGATAGCAGAAACATCCTTTCTTGTCATAATGTTCAACTCTCTCTTTTGAATGGTTATATATTTCAATAATTTTCATAGGATCCAAAACTGAGATAGGTCCAGAGCAGCCATATTTATGATATTGATGGACATCTAGCAGAGAAGAGGATACTACAATGGCTTCAGAGATTAGTTCAGTTTGTGCTTGCATTTTGATTGAGAATGTATCTTGACTCTTCAGCATTCTTTGAATGACACCTACACCATCTTAAACTTCATGTTCATTCACTGTGATTACAAGCCGCTGGGCACTAGAAATTAGTAAGACTGGTGTTTCTGGGAAAATGGTTCCTTCCACTCTGAGGATGCTTTTGCTATATCCTCTGATGAGGGTATTTCTGTATTCTTTGCCACTTTGCTGCTGACACAAGTTAGACACGACCTTCATTATGACTCAAAGCATCCACACGATCCCAGGCATCCATTCCATTGTGACATGACAGGAGCCTAGTTATTGAAATGAACATCTTCATGCTTCTTAGTGGCAAAGATCTGGAAAGAGGCAGTAATAAAGCCGCTGACAGTACATGCAAAACATATTGAACAGTCAACACCTTCTATTCACATGCAGAATCATTCCTGGGCGGACTTACTAGGGAAGAGACAAGAGGGAGTGCATGCAAGTTTAAATCTGCAACAAAAGATATGATGCAGAAGGAGATGAGCAAGATGGGATGGGAATAATTATTCAATCAGAGCGATGAAAAAATAACACAAAAGCCACAGGAATCTGTTGAGGTTGAAGGGGAAAAATGTGAAAGAACCAAATGAATTGCTTTACAAGAAAGGGCCACAATTCAGAGATTACAGGTGCTTTGGTGGTAACTGGGGATCCCCAATAAAGCAAATCCACTTAATCTTTGATTAGCACCTCTAACCACAATGAAGCCGTGGTGGATTTGATTTTAGGTTGGATATTCAACTTCAGGACAAGTTTTAGTTTTAAATTTTTACCCAATAAATATTTTTAATAATCATTTTTTAAAAACAGTATTAACCCTGCCCAAACCCATTCTCCACTGATGCTGGCACACAGGGCACCGAATGTAGTAGACATTTACTCATACTTTTTAGAAATGAAAAATAAACATGAGGCTAATCATAGCCACATATGTGTCCAATTTTCCAAGAAAAAAAAATTTCTACTGGTTTATAAATTGGGAGACAACCATTGTGATGACATTTCCCACGCATCAAACCCAGAGTAGCTGTGAACTAATTTATTGTCCATTGATGTTGCAATTTTCAGTATACAGAATCCAGTGGAAATCTGGAACTGATTCCCAGTTATACCCACCTTATGACTCCATGTGAAACTCTAAAACAAGCCCCACACTGAGGACTAGAAAGTCTTTCTTTGCCTCAGAATGAGATTATTTACTTACACTGAGGTTTCAATCTGTTTCCAGCAGAAAATAGCAGCCAATAGCACTTTTACAGGCATTTCTGAGAGACTGCATCCATAACTGAATGGAAAACTTGGGACCCTATTTTACCCCACAGTGAATGCCTGGTAGCAACTCTGGTTCCGTGGTCCCACCAGACTCAGCAACAAGGTCTCCCAACAGAAATGTACTCTGGTCTCATGCATAGTTTCAGGGGCTGCATCTTCCCCATGAATAAACCTACAGGGGGCTCTGTCTTTGGAACATCCAGCCGATTGGACTTTTTATTTGATTTCGGTTGAAATGGAATTTCACTATTTTCAGTTCTGCAAGGACAGGTGCCATAGTATAGGTTTTCCAGCCACAATGGTTGATGTGGGCTGACTTACAATGTACTCATTGTGGTTACACAAGATTTACGTGCCATGCCTTCCTTTTAACATCCCTTTCTCAGCCCATCCTGGGAAAAGAAATGCTTGCTAGATTCTAGATAAGTCACTCTTTACTGTTTCTGTCAGATGTCATTCACTGGGGGACAGTAATGTGCCTTATGGAGATAAGGTGAATTGCCTGTTTCATGGCACGAATCTGAAAGCATCCTTGAATTCAATTCAACAGTCTGACCGCCAGACAGCTCTTGAAATCATGTAAGAGGAAAAGAAAGAATGGGATTCTTATCTGGGAAGTGCCATACTGTAAAACTATAAGCATGATGTGCTGACGGACCGATGGGATGGTAGATTACATTAACACATGAAAAACAGAAACAGATTTGTTAGAGGGAAGGAAAATCACCTTATTCATTAAATTTGCCTACTTTTATGCTTTCTACTTTTTTAATAGAATTTTTTCCACTTTTTTAAAAGAAGTAAATGGTTTTATCCCAAACAAAACTGTAAAACAGTTGAATTGATCTCTGTCATTCACCCTTTATCTACCAAACCACTCTCCCTGATCAGAGAAGCCACTAGTCCACATCATGTTCTCTGTGTCTCTCCAACTTTATCTATCTTCCTCTGAGTTAAACATGACCTGAGGGAAGAATCTGATACCTTCATTCATGCTGGAGGTAGCACTCTACTAGAATGTGAGCTTCACTGGGGCAGAGTTTGGTTTTTTGTCTGTTTTGTTAATTGGCACACCATGAGCAGCTAGAACAGTGCCTGACACATAGTAGATATTCAATAAATACTTGTTTTTGAATGATAAAGCTCAATGCTTTTTCTGACATGAAGGTAAACACACTTTTAAAATTATATGTATTATATGTCCTCCTGTTGGGGGTGTAGGGAGAGGTCACTTATACCATCATTTGACCATTTGTCGTTCCGTTTTTTGAAGAAAGAATTCATAGGATAATTATTGAGCAAAACCTCTGCTCCCTCCTCCACTTACCCCTTATTTATTGTTATCTCTCTAAGAGGAGAGAGGCAGTCAAATAAATAAGTTTCTGTCCAGAGCAAATTTTCAGAGATTGAGGCAAAGGTTGAAGTGCTATCCTCATTACTCCCTAAAATATCCATATATTGGATGCAGTTCGTATTTATAGGACAGAAAAAGAAGCTACTGAGAACCAGAGTAGAGAGAGGTGAGGAGGCTGAACATCTGAGAAGCAAGTCAACTCCAATTTTAGAGAAGATACCTGCAGGTTTAATATAAGTGTCTGTTAAGCTTCAGTACATAACGTCTTACAGAATATTGTGATTTTGTCAGTGTATTAGTCAGGGTACTCCAGAGAGACAGAACTAATAGGATATATAGAGAGATAAATACAGAGATGAGAGGAGATTTATTATGGGAATTGGCTCACATCATTATGGAGGCTGAGAAGTCCCACAATAGGCCATCAGCAAACTGGAGAACCAGGGAAGCTGGTAGCATGGTTCAATCTAAGTTGAAAGATCTCAGACAGAGGGAATCCCATTGTATAATTTTCTGTATTAGTCTGTTCTCACACTGCTATAAAGAACTACCTGAGGCTGAGTAATTTATGAAGAAAAGAGGTTTAATTGACTTACAGTTCTGCAGGCTGTACAGGAAGCATGGCTAGGAGGTCTCAGGAAACGTATGGCAGAAGGCGAAGGGGAAGCAAGCACATCTTACCATGATGGAGCAAGAGAGGTGAAGGGGGAAGGGCTACACACTTTCAAATAACCATGTCTCAAGAGAACTCACTCACTATCACAAGCACAGCAAAGGGGAAACCCACCCCTGTGATCCAATCACCTTCCACCAGGTCCCTCCCCCAACAGTGGGAAGTGGAATTCAACATGAGATTTGGGTGGGGACACAGAGCTAAACAATATCACTGTCTGCCCAAGGCTGAAGGCCTGAGGAACCCAGGGGCCTACTGGTGCAAGTCCAGGAGTTCAAAGGCCAGAAAACCTAGAGTTCTAACATCCAAGGGCAGAGAAGGGTGTCCCAGCTAAAGAAGAAATTGAGAGAGAGAGAGAGAGAGCAAATTCACCTTTCCTCTGCCTTTTTGCTATATGTGGGCCGTTAGCCATTTGGACGATGCCTGCCCACACTGGACCATGCCTGCTTACATCTTACTCAGCCCACAGATTCAAATGCCAATCTTCTGGAAATACTCAGAAATAATACTTTATCAGCTATCTGGGTATCCCTTAATCCAATCAAGTTGACATCTAAAATTAAGCATCACAGTCAGTCAGCTGAGTGACTTTTTTAACCCTAGGGAGAGACAGAGATGGGAGAGGTAAAAAGCAACACCATCTGCTTGATAAATTCTGATCTTTTTTATTCTTAATCTAATTTTTTAAGAACATTGCCCTCATATCTGAAAATTCCCGAAACCATACCTCAGTTCTCTTTCTACAGAAATACCATCCAATTGAACTTTCTAGATTCTCTCGATTTTAAAGAATGAAGAAGGCAAGCTTCTTAGGTTGTTCATAGTTTGGGGATCAGGAACCATGGCTTTTTCGTCTTAGCATTTTCCCTTACCCATAAGAGAAACTCAATAAATGTCTGACAGATTAATTACAATCCTTTCCATTTAGTTACAAGGCCTCTTGCACCGCCAATGATTTATTGAACCATTTTATCAATCATCCCCATTTGACTTAATTTTACAACCTTAATACATTTATTCATCATAAAGGCAGCTAATGTTTGGGGAATCTAGAACAAAAACTATCTATCTCTGCCAGATACAGAAGGGACTGGAAATCAGACGTTTGCAGTTACAAACAAATACACACCTCTTGGTGTGCAAATTCATTTACACTTGGCAAATCATTGCTTCTTGTTTGTTGACTAAAAGCTCTTTAAAAGGCTCAAATAGCTTCTTTGGTATCAACTAACTTGAAAAAACACCATTCTGATTCTTTAAATTTAAATAAATAAAAAACAGATGGGTTAAATTTCTCTTAAAACACAAATGGTTTTTAAAATGAGAGAAAAAGGTGCTTAGCAAAAGACAGCTTGGGCTTTATTGAACCCAGAGCTTTTCAAAAATAGTTTATGCTACTTAATGAGCCCAAACCATGGTTATTTAAAATATAATTTTTAAAGGTGAAGTCTAAAAAAAGATATTTAATAAAAATACTCTAATTCTAACTTTCTATAAAATACTGCTAATAAACAGTTTTACTTTGAAAGAGTTCATATTCTTTACTTAATGGATTCTACAGACATATAATTTTTTGAAATTGTAACCCAAGAAAACTACATATGACCTAATATCTCCAGACCTCTTTTTGTTTTCTTTCTTCCTTTCTTGTGAGCTTCAGATTATCTTCAGCCTCCTCAAAGCATGGTGACATGCATTATTATGGGGAAAGTTCCCAAATAATCTTGACACTTTATGAAACTGTCCTTAAGGAGCTATTAGCTGTTATGGTTTGTTGTCTTTTATCATTTCTTTTTTCAAAGAAGACATTTAATTAATCCAAATTGCTCTGAGGATACCATCCAGTTTTCCTTATCCTTCCCTACCTCTCTCTTTCTCATCCTGTTTTTTTGTTCCCTAACCAAAAAGTCTCAGAATGCATTATCTAGGAATATATGCGTGATATTAATTTCTTAGATTCATCATTACTCAGGGAGAGAAATGCCTCTAGTTTCTATGGTCAGTGCCATTTCCAATCATTCATTTGTCCAGGCATAATTAATTAATTAAGTGTGTATGATTCAGTGTTGTGCTAGGCTGATTGGTTGTATAAAGATAGATATGGTCATTCAGTTGCTCACAGGGCTTAACTAGTAAAATTTGAATGGACTGTAGGTTCTCAAAAGCAGCCCAAAAAAAGGTTAATTTGAAGGTAGACTCAGAGTTCTAGCCTCTTCCACCTACCAACGACACCCTCTCCTTTACCTTGCCCTGCCTTTCATCCTCCCAGTTAAGGCTGCCATTGAGGAGAAAAGAAGCCTGTGTGTGTGTGTGTGTGTGTGTGTGTGTGTGTGTGTGTGTGTCATGTACCTCTAGGAGTGGCCAACATAATCCTTATTTATCAGACAGCATATCTATCTATCTATCTATCTATCTATCTATCTATCTATCTATCATCTATCTATCTATCATCTCTCTCTCTCTCTCTCTCTCTCTCTCTCTCTCTCTCTCTGTATGTGTATGTTGGGCAGGGGTGGGGGAGGCTTAGCTTAAGTTATGCTGCAATAACAAACAACTCTAAAATCTCAGTGCTATCAGAAACAAACAAACAAAAGCACCTGTCACTGGCTGCCTATGACTCTGAACCCTATTGGCTTCCTTCTGGGACCCAAATGAAGGAAAGATCCCCATCTGGGACATTACACAGTCTTATGGAAGAGGGAAAAGAGAGAGGGCTGTGCCACATGGTGACTCTTAAACTTTGTGCTCACAAATGGCCTGCATCATTCTCATCCATGTTTCAGTGGCCAGAGTAACTTACCAGGCCAAGTTGACATCAACCTACATAGGGAGGAAATCAATGGACTAGTGATATATCTGCCACACCATTTGTAGACCCAGTTATGACATCAGAGTAAAAATGTGATTTATGGTATATTCTAGGTCTATTTTTCAAAGGGTTGGCTAATCTATATCTAAAGTTCCTATGAAAATCTCCTTTCAGGGTTGACTGAATGAAGTGCTATTGAGCTGGTACCTGGATACCTTTGTTCAGGGAAAGATTTCTTCTGGTGTAGCTGCTTTCCTACTAGTGTCTCAATTGTTTCTCAATGCAATGTTGTGGTGTGAGATTTTCTATTTGTCATCTATAGAAACTTATATCAGCACTAATTTTTCTCTTAAGAAGCTTACATTTAACTAATATCGTAATAAAACCCTACACTCAAAAAAACCTCTGCTTTTCCAATTTTTCCAATTTAAATTTTCTCTTTGAGAATCATTATTATGCCCAAGCTGAACTTACTTTATGTTTACATTATTTTTTAGATATTTCTGTGAGGTTCTTTTTCTAAAGCAATGAAAAATATTCTTTTTTTCTTTTCCCATAACTCAACAGGCTTTAACTGATTTTGTTCATTTGCCTTGAAAAAAAAAATCATCTTTTGGCTTAAACCAAGCATGGAAAATTTTAGCCCCAAAGGAACATTCTGGAAGACAGTTGTATAAACAAAAGAAAAAAGGTCTTGGATTAGAAAAGCTTTTTTCACATTTACTACAACAATACCAGCTAATTTAGGGTCACAAAATAAATATAGAGGATATTAGTTTGTTCTCAGTGATAATAAAAATAGCTAGCAATTTATGTAATGATAATAATAATAAAGTGGCTAAATTTTATTTCGTATTATGTGCCAATACTGGGCACATTATATCATTTAATCCTCACATCAATCATATGAGGTAAGTACCATTATTATCCCTATTTTACCAAAAACAATACCAAATGAAACAAGAATTGGGGTTTTGAAAGGTTAAGAAATGCAACCAGATAACGAAGTTAGTAAATGGCTAAGTCGGTCTAACTGATTCTAGAATCTAAAACCAAACACTGTTCCAGTCGTTCTCAAATGCTACCTCTGGAGCAGCAGCAGCAGCAGCTGGGAACTTGTCAGAAATCCACATTGTGAGCCTCCCCTCAACTGACCTAGCAATCAGGAACTCTAAGGGTTGGGCCTAGTAATCTGTGTTTTAACAAGATCAGCCTTCCAGGTAATTCTGCAGGTTTGATAAGCATTGTATTATCCCATGTTTGTTTTGGCAATTTTTTTTTGCTAAAACTGCTGTCTTTCCTCTTTTTCTCTTTTTACTTTTTATTAAAGTATAGCATACATTTAGTACAGAGTGTAAACTACACTATCTTTTGATTTTGATTTGTCTAGGAATTTCTGTTTACTTGCCCATTATTGTGGATGTTATGTTGCTTAATGCTGGATTTTGTTGTCTTTCTTCAAAGAGTGTTGAATTAGATCTGAGGGTTATTATTTGCATTTTAGTGTAATTCTTATGAGACTGGTTTTTAAGGGTTAGAGTACGTCTAGAGTAGCCATTAATGTAGGAATAGTTTAGCCCTACTTCAAGAAATGTGATCCTTCTGTGATCTCTAGTGAATGTCCTGATCAACCAATGAGGAATCTCCAGTTTGGCTGCTGGGAACTCAAACAATACCAAGTACTGTGTGAATTCTGAGCAGTTTAGCTCATGGATCTTGATCAGTTTTTTTTTTTTCTTTCTTGAGTGTGGAGAGTTCTTACTCTATGGATGTAGGTCTTAGTATTCCTCAAAACCCCAAGGGGAACCCTATGGAAATTCTTGAAACTCTTTTTCTATTTAGCTGCCTCTTTTCTGAAACTCTTCCAAGTAACATCCCACCACCTCAGATTCCCTGAACTCTCATCTCTGTCTCCTCAGCAAAGCTGCTGTGTTCTTTCTGACATCTTTCCTCCTGTTCTGCAATTTAGAATGGGCCTCAAAGCAGTCAGTTGAGGTGACCAGTTTATTTTCCTTCTCTTGGGGACCACAGATCTGCACTGCCTGTTGTCCAGTGCCTGAAAAAAAATGTATTGTGTCTAGATTTCCATGTGCTTTAGGAAATCTAGCTCCTGTTACTCCATTGTGAGCAGTAGTAAAATTTCACCACATTTTTTTTAATTGACAAGCTGATTCTAAAACTTATTGTAAAAGCAAAAAATATAGATTAATAAATAGAATGTCGAAAAAGAAGAACAAAGTTGGAGGATTTCCTCTACCTCATTTCAAAATGTACTATAAAGCTACAATATGGTATTAGCCTAAGAATAGATTATGTGTTCTCAATAGAAGTGGTAGCACTCCCAAGGGGATGGAAACTGGTTCTTGGAGGGGAAAACACATATTCTTTTCATGTATGAAGCACATATATACATATAGCACATAAACAGATATGTATCTCTAATATCAAAATTCATGGAGGGATGGCGAAAAGACAGTCATATCAACAACTGTTGCTGGGAAAACTGGATATCCACATGCAAAAGAATGAAGCTGGGTCCTTATGTAACACCACACACAAAAATTAACTCAAAATGGATCTGTGACCTAAATATAAGATCTCAAACTCTAAAACTCTTAGACAAAAATGTAGGACAAAATTTTGTAACCCTGAATTTGGCAACGATTTCTTGGATGTGACACCAAAGGCACAGGCAACAAAAGTAAAAATAGACAAATTGGACTTCATGAAAACTTAAAAAATTTGTACATCAAAGACATTAACAATTGACTAAAAACACAACCTACAGGATGGGAAAAAATATTTTCAAATTATGTGTCTGATAAAAGATAAATAGCCAGAACACAGAGACTATTAAATCTCAACAATAAAAAATAAACAACTCAATTAAAAAATGGACAAAGTACATAAATAGATGTTTCTCCAAAGAGGATATACAAATGAGCCAAAATCACATGAAGAGATATTCAACATCACTAATCATAAGGGAAATGCAAATCAAAACTACAATGAGATATCATCTCACATCCATTAGGATGGCTATGATTAAAAAAAAAACAGAAGATAACAAGTGTAAGCAAGCATGTGGAGAAACTGGAATGCATTATTGATGGGAATGTAAAATGGTACAGCCACTGTGGAAAACAATATAGCGGCTAGCAGCTCCTCAAAAAAAATAAAAATAGAATTATCAGCTAAGTGCAGTAGTGTGTACCTGTAGTCCCAAATACTCAGCAGTCTGAGGTGAGAGGATATCTTGAGGTCAGGAGTTCCAGGCTGTAGTGCTCTGTGATCACACCTGTGATTAGTCACTGCACTCCAGCCTGGGCAACATAGACTGAGTCTCTAAAAAATAAAAAACATTAAAAAAATAGATCTAGCAATTCAACTTCTGTGTATATACTCAAAAGAACTGAAAGTGGAGTCTGGAAGAGATACTTGTACATGCATATGCATAGCAGCATTATTCACAGTAGCTAAAATGTGGAAGCAACAGATGATGGATAAGCAAAATGTGGTTTAAACATACAATGGAATATAGTCCCAACTCAAAAAGGAAGGAAATATGCTACAACATGGGTAAACCTCAAGGGCATTATGCTAAGTGAAATAAGCCAGTCACAAAAAGACAATCACTATGTGATTCCACTTGTATGAGGTAGTTGGAGTAGTGAAAATCATAGAGGCAGAAATTAGGATGGTGGTTGCTGGGGGATAGTGAGAGGGGAAAATGGGTAGTTTTGTTTAATGGATATAGAGTTTTAGTTTTGCAAGATTAAAATATTTCTGGAGATGGGTGGTAGTGATGGTATTATAGGTTATACAATATTAATATATTTAATTATGGCTAAGATAATAAATTTTATGTTATGTGTATTTTACCACAATAAAAAACATTGGAAAAAAAGTTAATGGAGGAGGGGGCAATTAGGAATAAAAATGTCTAGAAAAGCTCCTCAGGAGAGTGATAATAAGAGAAGTTGAGATATACTAGAATAGGCAGTTAGATAAATGGAACAGAACCAAGAGTCTAGAAATAGACTCACACATAGCAGTCAATTGAGTTTTGTCAAACCAACTATGAGGAAAATATTTTTAACAAATAATGATATAACAACTTGATATTCAAAAGGAAGAAAATAAACCTCAACATCTATCTTGCTCCACTCACAAAAATATACTCACAATGGATCATAGTTCAAAATATGAAACCCCTCCCAAAGCTTCCCTAGGATAATGCCGGAGAATATCTTCACAAGCTTGGGAAGATAAAAACAAAGATTTTTTTTTAGAACTCAAAAGTACTAACTATTTGGGAGGAGAGATTATTGTGGCGGACAGGAGGCAGCACTAGATTGCAACTCTGACTCAGGCAGACACAGCAGTGTGCGGAGGATCACATAGTGAATTTTAGCCCCAAAACGACTGCAAGAACAAACCAAGAATCCAGAGAGTACCCACAGACCTTCTGAAGGAAGCAGACTGCTCCTGTAGGACCCAGGAGACACCCCAAATACTCTGGGAGGTGGGTAGCCTGGAGCAAATTCTCAAGCCCTGCTGGCCCACTGCCTGGAAACAGACTCAGTGCTGTTGTGGGGAATGGTAGGAGTGAGACCGGCCATTTGGATTGTATGGGAGCTGAGTGAGGTCTGTGACTGCCAGCTTTCTCCCCACTTCCCTGACAACCTGCATGACTCAGCAGAGGCAGCCATAATCCTCCTAGGTACACAACTCCAATGACCTGGGACCTCAGACCCATCCCCCACAGCAACCGCAGCAAGACCCACCCAAAGAGAGTCTGAGCTCAGACATGCCTTGCCCTGCTCCCACCTGATGGGCCTTTCCTACCCACCCTCATAGCTGGAGACAAGGGGCATATACTCTTGCTGGTTCTAGGGCTCCGCCCACCGCCATTTCCTCTCCGTACTACCACAGTTGATGCTCTCTGGAAAGTGCCACCTCCTAGCAGGAGGCCAACCAGTACAAAAATAGAACATTAAACCACCAAAGCTAAGAACCTTCACAGAGTCCATTTCACCATTCTCCTACCTCCACTGGAACAGGTGCTGGTATCCATGGCTGAGAGACCCACAGATGGTTCACATCATAGGACTCTGTGCAGCCAACCCCTAGTACCAGCCTGGAGCCTGGTAGACTTGCTGGGTGGCCAGACCCAGAAGAGAGATAACAATCACTGCGGCTCGGCTCTCAGGAAGCCACATCCATAGGAAAAGGGGGAGAATACTACATCAAGAGAACATCCCATAGGACAAAAGAATCTGAACAACAGTCTTCAGCCCTAGATCTTCCCATGACAGAGCCTACCCAAATGGGAAGGAACCAGAAAACTAACTCTGGTAATATGACAAAACAAAGCTCCTTAACACCCCCCCAAAAATCACACTAGCTCACCAGCAATGGATCCAAACCAAGAAGAAATCCCTGGTTTACCTGAAAAAGAATTCAGGAGGCTAGTCATTAAGCTAATCAGAGAGGCACCAGAGAAAGGTGAAGCCCAATGCAAGGAAATCCAAAAAACAATACAAGAAGTGAAGGGAGAAGTATTCAGGAAATGGATAGCATAAAGAAAAAACAATCAAAACTTCACGCAACATTGGACATGCTTAGAGAAATGGAAAATTCTCTGGAAAGTCTCAGCAATAGAATTCAACAAGTAGAAGAAAAAATTCAGAGCTCAAAGACAAGGTCTTCGAATTAACCCAATACAACAAAGACAAACAAAAAAGAATAAGAAAATATGAACAAAGCCTCCAAGAAGTCTGGGATTACGTTATATGACCAAACCTAAGAATAATTGGTGTTCCTGAGGAAGAAGAGAAATCTGAAAGTTTGGAAAACATATTTGGGAAAAGAATTGAGGAAAACTTCGCCAGCCTTGCGAGAGACTTAGACATCCAAATACAAGAAGCACAAAGAACATCTGGGAAATTCATTGCAAAAAGATCATCACCAAGATTCATTGTCAGCAGGTTATCTAAAGTTAAGATGGAGGCAAGAATCTTAAGAGCTGTGAGACAACAGCACCAGGTAACCTGTAAAGGAAAACCTATCAGGTTAACAGCAGCTTTCTCAGCAGAAACCCTACAAGCCAGAAGGGATTGGGGCCCTATCTTCATCCTCCTTAAACACAACAATTATCAGCCAAGAATTTTGTATCCAGTGAAACTCAGCATCATCATATATGAAGGAAAGGTAAAGTCTTTTTCAGACAAACAAATCTTAGAGAATTGACCACTAACAAGCCACTACTACAAGAACTGCTAAAAGGAGCTCTAAATTTTGCAACAAATCCTGGAAACACATCAAAACAGAACCTCTTTAAAGCATAAATCACACAGGACCTACAAAACAAAAATACAAGTTAAAAAGTAAAAACAAAACAAAAAAACAACATACACAGGCAAAAAATAGCAAAATGAATGGAATGGTACCTCACATCTCAATACTAACATTGAATGTAAATGGCCTAAATGCTTCACTTAAAAGATATAGAACTGGAGAATGGATAAGAACTCACCAACCATTTGCTGCCTTCAGGAGACTCACATAAACTTAAAGGGGTGGAAAAAGGTATTTCGTGCAAATGGACGCCAAAAGCGAGCAGGGGTAGCTATTCTTATATCAGAAAAAGCAAACTTTAAAGCAATAGCAGTTAAAAGAGACAAAGAGGGACATTATATAATGGTAAAAGGCCTTGTCCAATAGGAAAATATCACAATCCTAAACATATATGCACCTAATACTGGGAGCCTTCAAATTTATAAAACAATTACTACTAGACCTAAGAAATGAGTCCCCCAATAATAGTGGGGGACTTCAACACTCCACTGACAGCACTAAGCACTAGACAGGTCATCAAGACAGAAAGTCAACAAAGAAACAATGGATTTAAACTATACCTTGGAACAAATGGGCTTAACAGATATATACAGAACATTTCATCCAATAACTGCAGCACACACACTCTATTCAACAGCACATGAAACTTTCTCCAAGATAGAGCATAAAATAGGCCACAAAATGAGCCTCAATAAATTTAAGAAAATTGAAATTATATCAAGCACTCTCTCAGACCACAGTGGAATAAAACTGGAAATCAACTCCAAAAGGAATCTTCAAAACCATACAAATACATGGAAATTAAATAACCTGCTCCTAAATGAGCATTGGGTCAAAAATGAAATCAAGATGGAAATTTAAAAATGCTTCAAACTAAATGACAATGACCCAACCTATAAAAAACTCTGGGATATAGCAAAGTCAGTGCTAAGAGGAAAGTTCATAGTCCTAAATGCCTACATCAAAAATACTGAAAGAGCACAAACTGAGATTCTAAGGTCATACCTCAAGGAGCTAGAGAAACAATAACAAACCAAACCCAAACCCAGCAGAAGAAAGGAAATAACGAAGATCTGGGCAGAACTAAATGATATTGAAACAAACAAACAAACAAAAAAATAGAAAAGATAAATGAAACAAAAAGGTGGTTATTTGAAAAGATAAATAAAATTGATAGGCCATTAGCAAGATTAACCAAGAAAAGAAGGAAGAACATCCAAATAACCTCACTAAGAAATGAATCAGGAGATATTACAACTGACACCACTGAAATACAAAAGATCATTCAAGGCTACTATGAACACCTTTACGCAAATAAACTAGAAAATCTAGGAAAGATGGATAACCTGGAAAATACAACCCTTCTAACTTAAATCAGGAAGAATTAGATGCCCTGAACAGACCAATAACAAGCAGTGAGATTGAAATTGTAACTAAATAATTGCCAACCAAAAGAAAGTCCAGGACCAGGCAGATTCACAGCAGAATTCTACCAGACATTCAAAGAAGAATTGGTACCAATGCTGTTGACACTATTCCACAAGATAGAGAAAGAGGGAACCCTCTCTAATTCATTCTATGAAGCCAGCATCACCCTAATACCCAAATCAGGAAAGGACATAACCAATCAAGGAAACTACAGACTGATATCCCTGATGAACATAGACGCTAAAATCCTTAACAAAATACTAGCTAACCGAATCCAACAACATATCAAAAAGATAATCCACCACGATCAAGTGAGTTTAATACCAGGGATGCAGGGATGGTTTAACATACGCAAGTCAATAAATGTGATACACCACATAAACAGAATTAAAAACCAAAATCACATGATCATCTCAGTAGATGCAGAAAAAGCATTTGACAAAATCTAGCATACTTTATGATTAAAACTCTCAGCAAAATTGGCATACAAGGAACATAATACCTCAATGTAATAAAAGCCATCTATGACAAACCCACAGCCAACATAATACCAAATGGGGAAAAGTTGAAAGCATTCCCTCTGAGAATTGGAACAAGACAAAGACGCCCACTCTCACCACTCCTCTTTGACATAGTACTGGAAGTCCTAGACAGAGCAATCAGACAAGAGAAAGAAATAAAGGGCATCCAAATCAGTAAAGAGGAAGTCAAACTGTCACTGTTTGCTGATGATAAGATTGTTTACCTAGAAAACACTAAAGACTCCCCCAGAATGCTCCTAGAACTGATAAAAGAATTCAGCAAAGTTTCCAGATACAAGATTAATGTACACAAATCAGTAGCTTTTCCATACACCACACTGACTGAGTGGAGAATCAAATCAAGAACTCAACCCCCTTTACAATAGCTGCAAAAAGCAAAATTCTTAGCAATATACCTAACCAAGGTGGTGAAAGACCTCTACAAGGAAAACTAAGAAACACTGCCGAAAGAAATCATAGATGACACAAACAAATGGAAACACATCCCATGCTCGTGGATGGGTAGAATCAATATTGTCAAAATGACCACACTGCCAAAAGCAATTTACAAATTCAATGCAATCCCTATCAAATACCACCATCATTCTTCACAGAATTAGAAATAACAATTCTATACTTCATATGGAGCCAAAAAAGAGCCTACATAGCCAAAGCAAGACTGAGCCAAAAGAACAAATCTGGAGGCATCACATTACCTGATTTCAAACTATATTATAAGGTCATAGTCACCAAAACAGCATGGTATTGGTATAAAAATAGGCACATAGACCAATGGAAAAAAAATAGAGAACAAAGAAGTAAACCCACTTACTTACAGCCAACTGATCTTCGACAAAGCAAACAAAAACATAAAGTAGGGAAAGGACACCCTTTTCAACAAATGGTGCTGAGATAATGGGCTAGCCACATGTAGGAGAATGAAACTGGATCCTTATCTCTCACCTTATACAAAAATCAACGATGGATTAAGGACTTAAATTTAAGACCTGAAACTATAAAAATTCTAGAAGATAACATTGGAAAAACCCTTCTAGACATTGGTTTAAGCAAGGATTTCATGAACAATAACCCAAAAGCAAATGCAATAAAAACAAAGATAAATAGCTGGAGCTTAATTAAGCTAAAGAGCCTTTGCATGGGAAAAAAAGCACTCAGCAGAGTAAACAGACAACCCAGAGTGGGAAAAAATCTTCACAATCTATACATCTGACAAAGGACCAATAACCAGAATCTACAACTAACTCAAACAAATCAATTAGAAAAAAACAAACAATCCCATCAAAAAGTGGGCTAAGGACATGAATAGACAATCTCAAAGGAAGATATACAAATGGCCAACAAACATGAAAAAATTTTCAACATCACTAATGATCAGGGAACTGCAAATCAAAACCACAATGTGATAACCACCTTACTCCTGCAAGAATGGTCATAATTAAAAAATCAAAAAACAGTAGATGTTGGCATGGATGTGATGATCAGGGAACACTTCTACATTGTGGGAGGGAATGTAAACTAGTACAGCCCTTATGGAAAGCTGTGTGGAGATTCCTTAAAGAACTGAAAGTAGAACTACCAGTTGATTCAGCAATCCCACTACTGGGTATTTACCAGAGGAAAAGAAGTCATTATATGAAAAAGATACTTGCACATGCATGTTTATAGCAGCACAATTCATAATTGCAAAATGATGGAACCAACCCAAATGCCCATCAATCAACGAGTGGATAAAGAAACTGTGGTATGTATATATATATATATATATATATATATACACACACACACACACACACACACACACACACACACACACACACACACACAAACAATGGAATACCCTCCTCAGTTTTTGAGCTGATGCCACTGCCTCCCCAGGAAATCCTCAGCCAATGACTAAGTATGGCAGGGTACTAAGGTATGGCCGCTTCTGCCCAGTAGGGACTCCTTTAACCAATTATCCCTGCTCTGGAGCTCCCTGTTGAGTCAGCCAAGACTTTGTTGGATAGTGATCATGGTCTGCAGCGCTTCCTGCTGAATTCTGCTTCCCCAGGGTACTTTCTTTCGCAGAGGTCAGAACCACAATTCCGTCTGCAAGCTTTCCCTGTGCAATTCTGCTTCTTCCCTCCTTTACCTTTCACAAGCACACCTTCTCCATCCCTGTCCCCAGTTAGCCACGCATGCTCCAATCGACCTCAGCATCTGCTTCTTGGAGGACACAACTGAAAACTTCACAATATGTTTGAAGAAATTAGAATCTTTTCCTCGGTGACCCTTGCTGTCATTCCCACCAAATCTTAACATTCCTCTCATAGTCAGAAGTGAACTTTCTCTTCTTTGGGAAGTGAAAGCTCTCCCCTTCTTAAGTATTTGTATCCAGCCACAGCACATCCTACCTCTATTCTGGGGGCTTCTGTGTGAGACTCTGCCTCTTTTTCCAGAGGGGTGTTCTGAAGGGTTCTTATGCTGAGATTACAAATCTCATCCAATGTCTTCTCTTGCACATGAATCCTCTTCCCAAAGACCACATTGTATTTTATCCATGAGTCAGTTTACCACTGCATAGCCTCCAAATTAATATATCTGCTCATTATGCTGCAAACCACTCTCTTGTTGGCTGGGAACACTGTTGAGTTCTTAATCTTTCATTGTAGGAAGGCTTTATTAAAAAAAAAAAAAGCACACACACACACAAAACAAAATAACCTGCCAATTCTTCATGCTTGGTTTGAGTTGCAAGGCTGATATTAGGAAAGAAGAAAACATACTATTTTTCTCTTCAGGAGTTCTTTTTTTAATGGAATATGTTGTTTAAAGGCTTTTGTCCAAGTCTTTGGGGTCTATAGTAGAAAAGCATTTCTTGATTTTTCATCTCTCATTGGTTTTCTGAAAATGTGGAGACATATAGTGGTTCTTATTTAGACTCTAACAACATTGCCAAGCTCTCCTTCCATTTCTGTGTGGTCTTTTCAGGAAAGGGTAATTGCCCTGTGGCTTCCCCACTACCATTCATTCATCCAACAAATATTTATTCAACACCTACCATGTGCCAGGCATTTCAATGTATACTTCATTTTATTAGACAAAATAAAACTAAAGAGCAAAATTAAAGCAAAGCAGAATCATCATGTGAATTTTAAAGCTTTGAATATAAGAGATTTTTGTTTTATTTTACAGCAATAGGTCAATGGGAGGTTGTATAAAGTGGGTGGTAGGGAAAGGGAGTAGTTGATTAGATAATCTGTTGTTCTCATATAGCTTTGTCATGTAGTAGAGGCATCTGCACCAAGTTGCATCTCAAACTTCACCTGTCCAAAGCGAGCTTTTGCTATGTACCTCCCAAGCCTCCCTCTTCACAAAAATCCCCCATTTTAGTCAATTTCAATCCCATTATTTCAGTTGCTAGGGTAAAAATTCTTGGAGTTTCCCTCAACTCCTCTTTTTTTACATTCATATTCAATCCTTCAGGAAATTCTATTGACTCCCTTTTAAAAAACTATCCAGAATCCAACCAGTGCTCGACATATTTCCAACACTCTAGTCCAAACCACCGCCGTTTCTCACCTGGGTTACTGCAATACTCTTCTCTATTAGTCAGGATTCTAACACAGAACCATCAGGATACACATATAGATATACGAGAGAGGATTTATTAGGGGAACTGGCTAATGTCATTATGGAGGCTGAGAAGTCCCACAATAAGACATCTTCCAGTGGGAGAATCCAGGAAGCTGGTATCATGTCTCAGTCCAAGTCCAAAGGCTTCAGAACCAGGGAAGCCCATGTTATAGCCCTCAGTCCAAGACCAAAGGCCTGAGAGCCTGGGGTGGGGGTAGAGGGACCCCAGTGCAAGTCATGAACTCCAATGGCCAGAGAATCTGGACTTCTGACGTCCAAGAGAAGGAGAGGGTGTCGCAGTTCCAGGAGAGAGTCCGAGCATTTGCCTTTCCTCTACTTTTTTGTTCTATCCAGGCCCCAACCATTTAATGGTGCCCGCCTACATTGAGGACAGATGTTCCCCACTCAGTTCACTGACTCACGTGCCAGTTTCTTCCAGGAACACCCTCACAGACACACAAAAAATAATGCAGTACCAGCTATTTAGGTGTCCTTTAATTCTGTCAAGTTGATGGAAAATTAACTATCACATCATCTAAATGGGTTTCCTGCTCCAGCTCCTGCCCTACAGTCTCTTCTCAGGAGTATCCAGAGTGCTCCAGGGCCACTCTTCTGCTTAAAATCCATTGTCTCCCATCTCTGACTAAAAACCAGCATCAAAGCCCTTCCAGTGACGTTGAAAGCTCTACATGATCTGCCCTTACTATCTCTGGTCTTCTGCTACTCTTCTACTCATTCTCTTCCCTCTGCCATACTGACCAGCATATACCTGCCTCAGGGCCTTTGCACCTGCTAATTTCTCTGCCTAGAATAGTCCCCCTCCCACAGAGATCCCCATAGCTTTCTCCCTTAACTTTCAGGATTTACTCAAATTTTTCCTTTTCAATGAGGCCTTCCTTAGCCACACGTCTAAACTTACACACATCTTCATGCCTGCCCTCACCCCTAAATATATACATCCTTTGTTTTTTTTTTAATTTTAATTCTTCCTTTTAGCAGTGATTTTTATCTTCGTTCAGTCCTATTAAGCCTGGCACCTAAAACAGTTTTAGATAAAAATATTTATTGATTAAATGAATCTAAGATAATATTAGCAAAACTCCAGAGTAGTGTATATTTTGCTTTTTGTTTTTGCCGTACCTCAAACACAAAACTATCTTTTTGTTTTTGTTTTTAAGCAAAATCAAAAGCAATGCTTTAGCTTATATGCATAGTCCCTTAATTTATATCTCCATCTTTTAAAGGGTCTTACTTCAATTATAGTTACAAGTTCTACTTTTAAACATCTCTGCAGGAAGATATTCCACAATTCTGTCAGTAACTCCAATATTCAATTCTAATCAACAAAACTTTTAAAATTTCAGCCCATGTAAGACCTTTAGGCCTTTGTTTAAAGCTATTTCCTGTGTCTATCTTCAGTGAAAATGGGTATAGTTGGTATCATACCTTTGTGAACTATTCTGTCCTCCAAATTAGATCATTCCAGATTCCCTAATTCTTCCTCCAAGGTAAAGTTTGCCAACTTTTCAATCAGCAACTCTGGGACTCTTCTGCCAATCATGCTCAAGGTCTGTAGCCTTTTAAATGAATGAGTATCTTTTGGGTGCAATCTTTGATAACTCAAAGACCACTTCAGGGAGACAAATGGAGAAAAACACCAAAGAAGATTCCTACCCCCTCCATTCTTATTTGCCACCACAAAGTTGCCTAATAATCAGCACAATGAATGAAGTTTGCTTTATATGAATTAGGAACAAAATTGAAGCCATGTTAAAAGTACATGCATAAGTATCATATAAACAGCTCCACATATACCATCACCCTCTAATCTGGCCAAGGCCCCCAACCTCTCTTGACCTGACTTCTGCAGCACCTACTCTAGTAGTCTCCTTGTCTCACTGCAATCCTTTCAAATTCTCCATACTGACCCACAATTGCCTCTGAAAAACAAGACAAAACAAACAAACAAAACAACAACAACAAAACTAGATACCTTCATGTGGCATAAGAGCATAAGAGGCTTTTTTGGATCTAACTGCTGCCTCCCTATCCAGCCTAATTGAACACCTACTACTCCCAGGCTTTTAATTTAGACTGAGCTTGTCCAACCTGTGGCCCACAGGCCACATGCAGACCGGGATGGCTTTGAATGTGGCCCAACACAAATTTGTAAACTCTTCAAACATTATGAGAATTTTTTGTGATTGTTTTTAGCTCATCAGTTATTGTTAGTGTTAATTTATTTTATGTGTAGCCCAAGACCATTCTTCTCCTTCCAATGTGGCCTAGGGACACTAAAAAAATTGGACACCCCTGATTGAGACTCTACTCACTGAACTAATTTGAGTTTCCTGAGTATACCACAACCTCATAATTCATTGTTTTTGTTTACAATGTTTCCTTTGCCTAGACTATCCTCTCTCAACTTATCTACCTAACTTTTAATCATCTCTTGGAGGGGCTGTCTTTGAAGGGACTCATTATATAATATCCTCTTCCCTGTCTCAATTCTCAATAAATTGAAAAATAAGGAATGATGGGGCTAGGATATCAAAATAGCACTTAGATCATGGCTGGAGCCCAGATATGAGGTCATGTCTTTAGGTCTGTGAACACAGAGTGGATGCTAATAAAGATCCCGAGTTGGGTAGCTCACCTGCCAACTGCAGCAGCAGTGGGTGGGATTTAGCCTTCCCCGATGGCCAAGCAGAACCTGAAGAAGCCCTGCTGCCTGTGGTCCCTGCAAGCAGCAGATCCCAAGAGAAGTGAGAGAGAAACTGAGCCTGGAAAACTCTTTCATGATGTTTCATGATGGAACAACTTTCCATCCTGAAAGGATTACCTGTGATTCAAACTCATTAACCCAAATTCAAGAACTGCAAGTGCTTGTTATTATACCCAGAGCCTCCTACCTTTGACTTTCTCATTGTCCTTTGATCTTTCATGACTCTTTGGTCACATTTGCTGTGCCAACACATAGTTAGTCTTCATATATTGTATCTTGAGCATTTTCTTAGTAAATGCTCTTTGCAAACTTACCAATTAGGCAAATCATTTTATTTTCACTGGGCCAGAGCAAGTAAAAGGGCAGAGAGAAGCCAGGAATGTGCTTTTAAAAATCCTTCCAGAAGTGGGAGTAAGGAAGTCCAGCCTTCTTCAGGCCTCTTTCCATTGCTTGCTGCTTTATGTATCCTCCCCTACCTTATGCTGAGAGATTTAGAGGCTCTTTCCCCTGGTCAGTGGTCCTCATGCAGGGGTGATTTTCCCTCAGAGAACATTTGGCAATGTCTGGTGATATTTTGGGTGTCTCAGCTGTGAAAGGGGGTGATACAGTTTGGCTTTGTGCCCTCACCTAAATCTCATCTTGAATTTTAATCCCCTAGATGTTTAGGGAGAGATCTGGTAGGAGGTGATTGGATTATGGGGGTGGTTCCTTCATGCTGTTCTCATCATAGTGAGTGAATTATCACGAGATCTTTTGGTTTTATAAATGGTAGTTTTTCCTGTGCTGACACATGCTCACTCTCGCCTGCTGCCATGTAAAACCATGCCTTTGCTTCTCTTTTGCCTTCAGCCATGATTGTAAGTTTCCTGAGGCCTCCCCAGCCACACAGAACCGTGAGTCAATTAAACTTTTTTCCTTTATAAATTAGCCAGTCTCAGGTATTTCTTTGTAGCAGTG
Source organism: Homo sapiens (assembly GCF_000001405.40). Lineage (NCBI taxonomy): Eukaryota > Metazoa > Chordata > Mammalia > Primates > Hominidae > Homo > Homo sapiens. The sequence goes on along the minus strand of NC_000007.14, from coordinate 96,750,976 downwards.
TGAGAACAGACTAATACAGTAAATTCATACCACAAAGAGTAGGATACTGCTACAAAGATACCTGAAAATGTGGCAGCGGCTTTGGAACTGTGTAACAGGCAGAGGATGGAACAGTTTGGCGGGTTCAGAAGAAGTCAGGAAGATGTGGGAAACTTTGGGACTTCCTGGAGACTCACTGAATGGTTCAAGCCAAAATGCTGATAGTGATATGGACAATGAAGCCCAGGCTGAAGTGGTCTCAGATGGAGATGAGGAAACTATTGGAAACTGGAGTAAAGGTCACTCTTGCTATGCTTTAGCAAAGAGATTGGTGGCATTTTTCCCCTGTTCTAGCGATCTGTGGAACTTTGAACTTGAGAGAGATGATTTAGGGTATCTAGTGGAAGAAATTTCTAAGCAGCAAAGCATTCAAGAGGTGACCTGGGTGCTTTTAAAAGCATTCAGCTTTATGCATTCACAAAGAGATGGTTTGATATTGGAGCTTATGTTTACAAGGGAAGCAAAGCATAAATGTTTGGAAAATTTGCAGCCTGATGATGTGATAGAAAAGAAAAACCCATTTTCTGGGGATAAATTCAAGCTGGCTGCAGAAATTTGCATAAGTAATGAGGGGCTGAATGTTAATCACCAAGACAATGGGAAAAATGTCTCTAGGGCATGTTGGAGATCTTGGCAGCAGCCCCTCCCATCACAGGCCCAAAGGCCTAGGAGGAAAAATGGTTTCATGTTCCAGGACCCCTACTGCTCTGTGCAGCCTCAGGACATAGCACCCTGTGTCTCAGCTGTTTCAGCTCCAGTTGTGGCTAAAAGGGACCAAGGTACAGCTTGGGCCATGGCTTCAGAGGGTGCAAGCCCCAAGCCTTGGCAACTTACACATGGCGTTTGGCCTGTGGGTTCACAGAAGTCAAGAATTGAGGTTTGGGTACCTCTACCTCGATTTCAGCAGATGTATAAAAATGCCTGGATATGCAGGAAGATGCTTGCTACAGGAGTGGAGCCCTCATGGAGAACCTCTGCTAGGGCAGTGCAGAAGGGAAATGTGGGGTTGGAGCCCCTAAACAGAGTCCCCACTGGGGCACTGCCTAGTGGAGCTGTGAGAAGGAGGCCATCATTCTCCAGACCCCAGAATGGTAGATCCACCAACAATTTGCACTGTGTGCCTGGAAAAGCTGCAGACGCTCAACATCAGCCTGTGAAAGCAGCCAAGAGGGGGGCTGTACCCTGCAAAGCCACAGGGGCAGAACTGCCCAAGACCGTGGGAGCCCATCTTTTGCATCAGCATGATCCAGATGTGAGACACAGAGTCAAAGGAGGTCATTTCAGCCCTTTAAGATTTAATGGCTACTCTGCTGGGTTTCAGACTTGCATGGGGCCTGTAGCCCCCTTTGTTTTGGCCAATTTCTCCCATTTGGAATGTGTGTATTTACCCAATGCCTGTACCCCCAGTGTATCTTGGAAGTGACTAATTTGCTTTTGATTTTACAAGTTCATTGGTGGAAGGGACTTGCCTTGTTTTAGATGAGACTTTGGACTTGAACTTTTGAGTTAATGCTGAAATGAGTTCAGACCTTGGGGGAATGTTGGGAAGGCATGATTGGTTTTGAAATGTAAGGACATGAGACATGGGAGGGGCTGGGGTGGAATGACATGGTTTGGCTTTGTGTCCCCACCCAAATCTCATCTTGAATTTTAATCCCCAAGTGTTTAGAGAGAGGCCTGGTGGGAGGTGATTGACTTATGGGGGCAGTTTCCCTTATGCTGTTCTCATGATAG